>NC_000012.12:103823764-104126794 GCF_000001405.40 Homo sapiens | reverse complement strand
ACATACAACCTCTTAATCTAGCAGTATTGAAGGAGCCATAGGTTACGGTCTGTAAGTTTTATAGCTAAGTCGTATAATAAATATTTATGAGTACCTACTCTGTGGAAGGTGCTGTACCAAGCTGTAGGAAACACAAAGCTGATTCGTGACATTAAGTAGCAAAAATCTAATAGGAGAAATGAGGAATAATAAAAATTCTAAAAATGTGTAAGAGAAAAGGCATAGAGAAGCACTTACATTTTATGAAAGAAAAGATCATTTTTGAAGGTGGTATGGAGATGTTATTTGAGATTTTTGGAGAATGGGCAAGTAGGATTTTAGCAGGTATATTTGAGGATAAAAAGTGTTCTAGGCAGTGAGTCTGAAATTAATAAAAAAAAAGTTCAGTTCTGGCTCTGTAAAAATTATGAAGAGACTTGCTATCCTAATCCCTAAATAATGGTTAAGAGGTGAACCAGAATGATTTTATTCTGGATCACTTTGGTAGTTTTTTCTATCTTGAAATAGAAATAATAAGAAGCTTTACACCTAAATATTTTTATTTCTTTAGATACTGAGGACAGCATGAATGATCATGAAGACACAAATGGTTCAAAAGAAAGTTTCAGAGAACAAGATATATATCTTCCAATAGCAAACGTGGCTAGGATAATGAAAAATGCCATACCTCAAACGGGAAAGGTAACGTAGAGGAGAAATTTAACTAGGTTTTTTCAAGGGAAACACGAAACTACATGAATTCATAGGTCATGGGTACAGTTAGCTGTTGATTTCAATCATTCAGGCTTTCAGCAAATCAAATATTTCTTTCATGTCTACATACACAGTTACTGAACAGTGTCCCATTTTCAATTCTGTCATGTCCCTAAATGTTCTCCTCTCTCCCACTTATTGGAGGCAGATAAAATAGAATTTAGACTGTTTTTTTTTTTTTTTTTTTTTTTTGGGGACAGAGTTTCACTCTTATTGGCCAGGCTGGAGTGCAATGGTACAATCTCCGCTCACTGCAACCTCCGCCTCCCAGGTTCAAGCAATTCTCCTGCCTCAGCCTCCCGAGTAGCTGGGATTACAGGCGTGCACCACCATGCCCAGCTAATTTTGTATTTTTGGTAGAAATGGGGTTTCTCCATGTTGGTCAGGCTGGTCTTGAACTCTCGACCTCAGGTGATCCATCCGCCTTGGCCTACCAAAGTGCTGGGATTATAGACATGAGCCACTGTGCCTGGCCCGACTGTTTTAAAAAATAGGTACGTTGTCAGAACTATCAGGTTTGGGTGTATGAAGCTGTAACTTTTTTTTTTTTTTTTGAGACGGAGTTTCGCTCTTGTTGCCCAGGCTGGAGTGCAGTGGCGTGATCTCGGCTCATTGCAACCTCCACCTCCCAGGTTCAAGCGATTCTCCTGCCTCAGCCTCCCCTGGTAGCTGGGATTACAGGCACGAGCCACTGTGCCCGGCCTGAAGCTGTAACTTCTCCCATCCAAGTACTAACCAGGCCCGACCCTGCTTAGCTTCCGAGATCAGACGAGATCGGGCGCGTTCAGGGTGGTATGGCCGTAGACTGAAGCTGTAACTTCTATAATGTTGCAGTAAATTTAGGTCGTATTGGTCTGATATAGGTGTAATAAGAATTTTCCAAAACAAATCCTGGTATTTGGAAACAGCTATTTTTACATAATTATAGATACTAAGATACATTTAAATTGATATTTTTTTTTCTTAAGTAGTTTTGTCTTCTTAGAACTTTTAAAACTCATTGTCATTGCTCATCACTTGGTCTGAATTAAAATTCACACGTTTTATATCATTTTCTATTGGTAATTTTTCTGTCATTTTATAGTTTAAAAAGACTTATGGAAGTAATAAAGCTTACAAATAAATATGCTATTAAAATACATCACTAAGCTTAGAACTTACAGTTTGAGAATTTTGTCCTTATGTTTTAAGGAAAAAAAAGCACAAATGCTGATTATTGCTTACATAGGCTATGTATGACCAGCTATGCCGCTGGTCAGTACCATAGCCACAAGCCATGTGCTCAGGAGCACCTGAAATGTGGCTGGTCTGAATGGAGATGTGTTGTAAATTTGAAACACCAGATTTTGAAGACTTAGTATGAAGAAAAGAATTAAAATTTCTCATTTAAAAATTGATTCTATGTTTAAATGGTAAGAATTTGGCTATATTGGGTTAAATTAAATATATTAAAATTAATTTTATTTTATTTTATATGGCTACTAGAGAATCTAAACTGACATATGTGGCTCACATTATATTATCTTGCTTGACTGCATTTATGCAGTTCTTGTTTACTTTCTCCAGTATGGAAAATAGGCATGGCGGTGAAAGACAGTGTGTTTCGGCAGGGAGTTTGAGTGGTATTGCTGTTACAAGTGGCTTTGCAATTGCTTGATTAATCCATTGGAGTTTCATTTTTAGACCCCAGACCCTTAAGGGAAAAATTGTTTTTATAATGAAGTGGCAGATGTGTGCTTCTTTAGGCAGGCTTTTTAGTAAACTCAAAACCTGTATCTGACACTGTGTATCCCAAATAATAAAAAAGTCAAAGTCACCGTATGTTATCATTTCTCTCTTTTCCAAGCCTTATGTGAATTCAGTTTTTTAGTTCCTGTTTTGCTTTTTGTTTTCTGGTGTCTTTATTCATGGAAATGCTAGGGCAGAGAAGTGGTACTTATGTCGCCCACAAAATATGCATGGTGGAATGGATTTTCCAGGGGCACTGGGTTATTAAGAGTTTTCATCCTCTGTGGGGTGGTAGGAACATCCAGTGATTGCTGTTTTATATCTTTTTAAAATTTTTTTAATTTTTTTTTTGAGACGGAGTCTCGCTCTTTTTGCCCAGGCCTGGAGTACAGTGGCTCAATCTCGGCTCACTGCAACCTCCGCCTCCTGGGTTCAAGCAATTCTCCTGCCTCATCCTCCTGAGTAGCAGCAATTACAGGCACCTGCCACCACGCCCAGCTAATTTTTTGTACTTTTAGTAGAGATGGGGTTTCGCCATGTTGGCCAGGCTGGTCTTGAACTCCTGACCTCAGGTCATCCGCCCGCCTCGGCCTCCCAAAGTGCTGGGATTACAGGCATGAGTCACCCTGCCAGGCACTCTTTTACATCTAAATTAGATTTGTTTCTGTAAATAGTTGTCAAGGCTTCTCTCACTTGTATTTGAGCTTTTATTCTGACTCTGAGGTGTGGACTTTTGATAGCACACATTGTGTTAATGTTATAACATATATTTAAGAGATTAAATAGTCATAAAGTGAAGATGTGTTCTTCTGAATAGGCTTTCATTTTTGTAGGTTGTTAGGAAGGTGATGGTTATAGTTTCTGTAATTTACCTATGATTTTCTCTTCAGATTGCAAAAGATGCCAAAGAATGTGTTCAAGAATGTGTAAGTGAGTTCATCAGTTTTATAACATCTGAAGCAAGTGAAAGGTGCCATCAAGAGAAACGGAAAACAATCAATGGAGAAGATATTCTCTTTGCTATGTCTACTTTAGGCTTTGACAGTTATGTGGAACCTCTGAAATTATACCTTCAGAAATTCAGAGAGGTAAATAAAATATCTCCCATTGTGCTTTTTTTTTTCTTCTTTTTTTTTTTGAGGTGGAGTATCGCTCTGTTGCCCAGGCTGGAGTACAGTGGCAAGATCTCGGCTCACTGCAACCTCTGCCTCCTGGGTTCAAGCAACTCTCCTGCCTCAGCCTCCTGAGTAGCTGGGATTACAGGCGTGCACCACCATGCCTGGCTAAGTTTTGTATTTTTAGTAGAGACGGGGGTTACACCATGTTGGCCAGGCTGGTCTCAAACTCCTGACCTCAGGTGATCCACCTGCCTCGGCCTCCCAAAGTGCTGGGATTACAGGTGTGAGCCACCATGCCCGGCCCCCATTGTGCTTTTAAGAAAATAAGAGACATTATTTATTTTAACTTTGTAAATGTATTACTTGTTTTAAAAATTCATTTTGTAGTAAATTATGTAACATTTCTCAGAAGTATTTAATTGCTTATATCAGCAGTCCTCAACATTTTTGGCACCAGGGACCTGTTTTGTGGAAAGCAATTTTTCCACGCTCTGGGGTCAGGGGAGGGGTGCGAGGGGTAGATGGCTTCAGGATGAAACTGTTCCACCTCAGATCATCAGGCATTAGTTAGATTCTCATAAGGAACGCACAGCCTAGATCCCTTGCATGCGCAGTTCACAATAGGGTTCCAGCGCCTATGAGAATCTCACGTGGCCGCTGATCTGACCGAAGGCGGAGCTCAGGTGGTAATGCTGGATTACCAGACCCTCACCTCCTGCTGTGTGGCTGGGTTCTTAACAGGCCACGGACACTCATCAGTCTGCAGCCTGGGGGTTGGGGATCACTGACTTATATTACAGTACTTAAATAGAAAGTCCTTTCTTTTTCCCTTTGTTTATTACTAACTATAGCATAGTTATATAATGATTTAAGGGCACAGACTTTGTATTCAGACTACCAGGAGGCTGAATCCCAGCTCTGCCACATGCAAATTCTGTGGCCTTGGACAGATTATTTAATTACTTTAGGCCTTGGTTTCCTCATCTGTAAAATGAGGCTAATAGTACCTATATCATAGAATTATGGATGGTACTAAATAATGTTCAGTGCTCATTAATGTTACTTCTTGCTGCTATTGTTAATTTCAAAGAAGTAGCATTAAAAGTAGTAAGGTTGGAGTCTTTTAGATAATAAAAAGAGGAAGGTATAATCATATGTCTTATTATTGATTGAATTCTTCTATATTTCTTAGGTTTATCTTTGCCTGTAGGAATGGATTTTGTGAAAAGCAGTTGAGTTCAGCATATTTATTTCCACATGCCAGCTTAGGTGTCAGATTCACATTACTTTCAAAATATATTCTTAATATCTTTAGTGTTTGAATCCCATTAAATTAGTGATATTTGCATGGAATAATTGAAGTAGGAAAAGAATGTGTAAATTCCTGACATTATTTTTACAGATCTTCAGTATCATAGGAACCTAGAAGTATTTGGCCAAATTAATTTAGGAATTTTTAACTCTCAGCTTGCTACAGTACTGCCCAGTTGGCTGAGAGACATATATATACTTAAGTGATCACTTGGATCATTTGTAGATTTATAAGCTCAATATTGGTGGTGTTTTGCAGACTTCTTCATCTGTAAGTAGAGTTACCCCTTTGATATGATGTGGAATTAGAATAATTTATTTTTATCTGTAAATACTTTGCTTTCTAGGTCATTACTAACTCTGTCTTGTTAATGATTACAGCTTATATTAAAAGTTAGCCTTCTGAAAGCCTTCTTCATATGTAATTAACCAGAAGTGTTAATAAATACTCTGCTTAGAGTTTGTAATAATAGAAGCTCCTAATTTTAGGCAATAAGTAAGCATTTGCATTTGGAAGACAATTTCATTTGAATATCAGTGACTTTTTTTTTTTCCTTCCTCAGGCTATGAAAGGAGAAAAGGGAATTGGTGGAGCAGTCACAGCTACAGATGGACTAAGTGAAGAGCTTACAGAGGAGGCATTTAGTAAGCATTGTTATAATACAAGTCATGTAGATTGTTAGCAATGATTCATACTAAGTATCTAATGGTATTTTTGGAATGTCAGCAGTGAGTATTTTGACAAAGCACTATTTTAAATAGTTCTTATCAGTTCATGCCCTTTTATTTGAAGTCAGTGAGTGATAAGTGTAGAAAAGTTTAATTCTGTAGACATTATAACCTTTCACTGATAGTTCTGACTGAGTTCTGTAGCCCCTAGTTTTTGGTGAAGATTCATATGAGATAGGAATATTAAGGAAAAGTTTGTAATATAAAATCTTATGATTTAAATAAATTTCAACTCAGTTTTTTTTAAATTGAGTATCATGTTGTCATATTGGTGAAATAAAAGGGCTATGTTGAGTAAATTTCTCATTATATATATTTCTCATATGTAAACTATATGCTGCTCAGTTATATGTTGCTCCTAGCCAAACCTCATGGTGTAGTGTAGTTTAATCATGAATCAGAAACTTCATCCAGTCTGTCTACAGATTTGTACACATGGGCAGTTAGCTAAGGTACATGTTAGAGATAGGAAAATTGAAAAACGCAATATAAAATAATGTGGTTTTTAGGGAACATTTTTTAAAATGGAAAATTGGAGGATTTATTATTTTGTCCAAGACTACATCATTGATACCGGGCAGAATTGTAATGAGACATTAATGGTACAACCTTAAGATACAACCCAAGAAAGTAGATATAGTTCATTTCCCTCTTTAACTAATTTTTTTTCTTTTAGCTAACCAGTTACCAGCTGGCTTAATAACCACAGACGGTCAACAACAAAATGTTATGGTTTACACAACATCATATCAACAGGTACAGTCCTTTGTATTTTAAATGCTTAAAAAATTTGATTGTATCGACAGGGCCCCATGGCTCATGCCTGTAATCCCAGCACCTTGGGAGGCCGAGGTGGGTGGATCACCTGAGGTCAGGAGTTCAAGACCAGCCTGGCCAACATGGTGAAACCCTGTCTCTACTAAAAATACAAAAATTAGCTGGGCGTCATGGCGTGTACCTGTAATCCCCTCTGCTTGGAGGCTGAGGCAGGAGAATCACTTGAACCCTGGAGGTGGAGGTTGCAGTGAGCTGAGATCACACCACTGCACTCCAGCCTGGGCAATAGAGTGAGACTCTGTCTCAAAAAAAAAATTTTTTTTTTATTATATCTATTGATATAGTTAATTTCAACATGCTATTAAGGACCTGATAAAGAAGGTTATTAAAATTGTGTTTTCTCAATGTAGATAACAGTATATAGTGTTCTCTTAATAGTTAAAAATAAGCATATGTTCATATTTGCATAGGAGATTTCTAGAAAGATACACAAGAAATGGGAATTAGACTTGTTATTGTCTTTTTATTCACTGAATTTTTATAATATGCATATGGTACTTTTAATCTCCTTTTCTTTAATTCTGCTCAATTTAAATTTTCTAATCTTAGATTTCTGGTGTTCAGCAAATTCAGTTTTCATGATCTGAAGAAATGATGGAATGGGGAGTGTAGAGAAATGAGAGTCTGTATGATTCTGGAACAGAGACATCAGAAGGAAAGACTGGTGAAAAGATGTATCTTTGTATATTAATAGCTGTAATGTAGCTTCCTGATGCTTGACTAATTGAGGTGTTAATTCTGACTTGAGAATCTTTTTCATGAATGATTTTAAAGAAAAATTTGGATTTTAAAGGTATTAAAATATTTTTGTTTTGTACGAGAGTTTGTTGCTCTGTATGACTCCTGTATGCATTGTATATTGCAATTTATTACTGTCAGAGATTTGTAGACAGTTTCTTATTTTCATATTGAATCATGTTACTTTTGTAATTCAAGTAAGCGGCTGGGTTAATTCATGATGTTTGCCCTTTTAATAAAATATAAGGGTAGAGTTCATTTTGAATGCAAGTTGCCTTTATTATAAATTTGAGTTTGTCTTGGTTATACCTTGCATGATAACCTAGCTAGATTTCTAGCATTTGCTGTATTTATTAAAATTATTATTTTTTTGGTAAAACATTAATAGTTTAAGCAGCATCATTTTTTTAAAAAATGTAATTGAATAAGTGTGAATGCAGAAGCAAATATTGTCTGCCCTGTTAAACTTGGTGCCCATTAACAGTGTTTACACTGTTCATCGTGCCTGTTAATGTAGTTTTAGTTACTGGAGCTTTTTTAAGACTAGATTTGGTTTTGAGTTACATTTTTAAGAATGTGGGAATATATTTAAGTTTAATGTAGTCCTAGTGCTCTTGAAATGGTGCCCCTTTCATTTGGTACATGATTTTTTTTCAAATCATATCTTCAAGTACTATAGTATTCTCTTACAGAAGAGGAGTTTTATAGTCTGATGGTAAATGTCTTCATTTTACCTTTTTAATTGAAATGTCAAGTTTCCTGTTACACTATGGAAACCAAGAAACATCAGACATCATTGCGTGTACAGACCTTTTGCATGGGTGAGTGGATGAAATGGAGAACAGAGTGAGTGCTGTGAACGGTGTGAAATAGAAGCCAACTTCTAGTATGCTGTCTTCATCTCTGCAATAAACTAAACGTAAATAATGTAACTTTGTATAATTTAGTAGTATGTACTTGGATTGTTTCTTTTTGAAAAGTGAGGATTTGTATTTTCTCATCTATTCTTTTTGGTGTTAATTAACTTGAGGGATTTCTTTTTTAAGTTTTTAATATCAAAAATTGCTATTGTATAGTTTGCCTAAAAGGAAGTTGGAGTGAATATCATCTTTGAAGGACACTCAAATTTATAAGGTAGAAGCAATTTCCCAGATATAGGCTGAACAGAAACATTTACTTTGCCAGAAGGAGCCTTTAGGAGTATATGTGGGCTAATCAGAGGTTAATAATGTCCTCATCTCCTACTCTCCATTTAAAAAACAAACTTCATTGTAGTAAATTCAAATAGGAAAAAATGGGGGAGTAGTTAAGCAAAATCAACAGTCATCCTACTATGTTGAAAGAACCAATGTTAATATTTTGATAAATATCATTTGTCCTTTTACTTTGCTAAATATGTATATTTTTATAAAAATGGGCTCATATTGTGCATACCATTTTGTAACCTGCTTTTTTCACTTAACAATATATTGGGAACATCTTTTCCAGGTCATGCATAGTCTTCTGCATCATTTTTATTGGTTTATTATTCTGCTGTATGACTCAATCATAATTCATTTAATCTTCTATTGGATATTTTGACTATTTACATCTTTTCACAGTTATAAACAGCACTTCACTGAATCCCATGTACATCCATGACTGTTTTCTTAAATTCTTTGAATTGCTGGGTTACCAAATATGCAAAATTTTAAGGCTTTTGATACTTCGTTATGAGTGTATTTTTGAGATATTTTCCACTTGATCCAAGCAGTGTGTCACTATATAACTGATAAAAGCACTTGGTCTTTGATTATCAGATACTGTCTCTAAAATTATTTTAAAGATTAATATTTGTTCAAGTAGAGAATGAAGATAAAAAAGGAATTTGAGGCCAGGTATGGGGTGTCTCATGCCTATAATTCCAGCACTTTGGGAGGCCAAGGCAGGCAGATCACTTTGAGGTCAGGAGTTTGAGACCAGCCTGGCCAACATGGAGAACCCCCCGTCTCTACAAAAAATACAAAATTAGCAGGGTGTGGTGGTGCACACCTGTAGTCCCTTACTCCCTGGTGGCTGAGGCATTATCCCTTGAACCTGGGAGGCAGAGCCTAAAGTGAGCCGAGATCGCGCCACTGCACTCCAGCCTGGGTGACACAGCAAGACTCTTGTCTCAAACAAACAGGAATTTGAGTAAATTTTAAATTAGTATATACTACAACAAATTTCCAAACTTCATAATTTGCTAGTAGTGCTAACTAAAATTTTACACCAGGTAAAATCAGGTCACCTTTTTTATGTATTGACTTCATTGTTGGACTTCATACTCTGATGGGAAAGAAAATGGACATTCTGAATGTGTCAGGTGCATAATATCCTAATTTATGCTTGTCAGAGCTGGGGTCTCTGTCTTCCTTGGCCCATGTTGCATTTAACTGAATGTCATGTTTTCTCCTCTGGAACTTCTTATGTATGCAAGCTCCCATGTTAACCTATCATAAAAATGTTTTTTATAATTTTGTAAACATTGCTTTCTTGAGTATCTAAGAGAGAAATGGGTTTCCGTGAGTGAGTTCCAGGTAGTAGAAGGGGACTTAGGTAGCTTCTATCTTAGATAGCTTCTATCTATCCCCTCACTACCTCACTCTAACGGAGATGCTTTAAAATCCTCTTGAGTCCAATGAGGATTGTTTTTTAAATGCTGCCTTCCAAATGTCACATACTTAGATATGACAGTGTTTGAAGCTATTTGTATTTTTTTTCCCCTCCTACACTGTATTATGTGTGCAGTGTTTTCCTTTCTTCAAAAACATGCCTTATTGCCTGTTTTCTGGGTTGTCTTAGTGAGTTAAAGGAGTACCAATTAACTTTAATAATTCTAATTGAATATAGTTATGAGGGCCCAATTAAAAGGACTTCTACAGCAGTAGAAATTAGGCATGAAAAGTGGAAAGAATAGTTTCTCCCATTTGCTAAGAATGAAATCTTGCAATGCAAGATTTTTAAAAAATATTTTCTCTTAAGGAAAATTGTTATTTTATCAACAATATAAACAAGATGATGTTTGTTGCTTTATGTGATAAAATACACTTTAAGTCATTCAAATAAGTAATAATTAGGCAGCTTCTTAGAGGGCTTCAAAAGAAAGTGATACTGGGTGAAATCTATTTTACTAGTCTATTTTAAATGTATTTTTTGGTTTCCCTGAATTAGGCAGCTGATAAATTAATTTACATAAGTTAATAATTTGTATATATTGACCTTAAACTCCTATTAAGTCATATAATGTGCTTGTGAGTTAAAAAATGGAACTCTAACTTTGTTTTTTAAGGAACTATACTACACTGCCTGAAAAATATTCAGTTTTAATTTATGTTTTCTTTTAGAGCTAGAAATGTTACTTCACCAAGTTTAGCTCTCTCTTGACTGGGGAGCTCCAGTCACCCCTGATCTCGTCTAGGCTCCTTATGCCAAGTTCTTTGCCTCCCCCACCCACCTGCCATGACCTTAAACACATAGACTTCCCTCTGCCTAGTCCCACTCATTCTTCAGGTCTTAACTTCATCAGAAAAGGTCCTCAAACATTTGTAAAACCTTTGTACTAATCACCAAAAACAGAAAACAAACAGCACCACCCAAAACTGAGGAGATGTGTAATACAGCCTTTTATACTGGCTGCTGTACAGCCCCTTAGAAATTTGTTTCAAGACTGCTGCTTTTTGTACCTGATTTTAAGGATTTGTGAAACCATAAGGCAGAATCCCTTCAAATCTTGGGCCACAGATGGCACTGGCATGGATTCATTTCTCTGGCTTCTGGCCATTGCCTTTAAAGAGAGACACTTGCCTAATAGTAAAGTTACAGTTTTCCCTGATCTTACTCCAGACTGTTTCTTTTTCCACTGCATATTAAAGGGATACCTGTGCAAGACAACTTATTATAAGAACTCCTTTACCAAAATTAATCTGAGCAAGTGTGTCAGGTAAGAATAAAGTCATTAAAATATGTGCTGGCCCCCCCCCCTTTTTTTTTTTTTAAGACGGAGTCTCACTCTGTTGCCCAGGCTGGAGTGCAGTGGCGTGATCTCAGCTCACTGCAACTTCCGCCTCCTGGGTTTAAGCAATTCTCCTGCCTCAGCCTCCCGAGTAGGTGGGACTACAGGCGCATGCTGCTATGCCCGGCTAATTTTTTGTATTTCAGTAGAGACGGGGTTTCACCGTGTTGCCCAGGCTGGTCGCCAACTCCTGAGCTCAGCAATCCGCCCACCTTGACCTCCCTAAGTGCTGGGATTACAGGCGTGAGCCACTGCGCCCGGCCACTGGCACTGTCTTAAAGGCCATGTACTAGTTTTAGGGGAGCAAATTACGTTAATAGGTAATTCTTTTTTCTTCCACAAAAATATACTGAGATTATAAAATTCTGATCCATGGCATAAATTCTTGCCTCTTTTAAGGTATAATTTAGATCTTCCTTGATTGTCCTCTAAAAGCAAGCAGTAACAGGTTTGTGTCATACTTTTGCAACTGTTTTCCAGGGCTCAATTTCAGAGTACATCTGAATGAAAGATATTTCTGAACTTTGAACACTAGGCAGTTGTTGAAAACAGGTTACTGGGCAAGGAAAAGTCATAACAGAAAGTGCCTTTCAGCCAGGACAGGTATGCCAAGGAGGCTCATTCATGCATATATAATCCCCAATATTAGGTTTACAAGAAACCAAATCCAAATTCTTTTTTCAGATCAAAGCAATCATTAATCAAAGAACAATGTTTGGGACATTTAAGGAAATGGCAGAGCCATTCCTTACTTTGGAGGAAGAGTCTATCTTTAAAAAATAGTTTCTTTCTGCACATTCCCAACCTTGCAAGTAGCAGTCTCCACACCGTAAAAGTGCTATCTTACAGAACTGTACAGAGAGAACCAGACATCTTGGAAGTACCATGTATTCTACTCACATAAATATGGGCAAACTATTAATCCAGACTTCAGTTCCAAGAGTAAGACAGCCTAGATAACCTAACAACTCCCAGTTAAAAACCCCCAAATGCTTTATAACATAAAATAATGTGAACTATCAGCAAATTAATTGAATAATGCATTTTTAAAGTGTATCATGAAAGCAGGGATTTAGACAAGCTACTATAACCTATCCCTGACATTTGGAAATACGCTTTTAAAGAAACTAATGTGTTAAACATTTAAACCTCTTGAAGGATTAACCAAGAAAAATGAGAAAGCACAAATAAACAGGAATGAAGGTCAACTAACAGATGCTGTGGAGACTAAAATGATACAAGAATAATATAGACAACTTCATATAGGAAAAATCTTAAACTAAGATGAAATGGATAAATCCCTAGAAAAAAATAATAAACTGAAAAGAGGCCGGGTGTAGTGACTCACGCCTGTAATCCCAGCACTTTGGGAGGCTGAGGCGGGTGGACCACGAGGTCAGGAGATTGAGACCATCCTGGCTTAACACAGTGAAACCCCGTCTCTACTAAAAATACAAAAAATTAGCCGGGCGTGGTGGTGGGTGACTGTAGTCCCAGCTACTCGGGAGGCTGAGGCAGGAGAATGGCATGAACCCAGGAGGCGGAGCTTGCAGTGAGCAGAGATCATGCCACTGTACTCCAGCCTGGGCGACAAAGCGAGATTCCGTCTCAAAAAAAAAAAAAAGAAAACACTGATAAGAATAAAATCCTAATGTTCTTATAACCTTTAAAGACATTGAATACAAATCTTCCATTAATGACCAAATAGTTTTAAAGACTGTTCTGATCTTAAACATTTCCAGAAAATTGAAAAACTCACCATTTCATGAGGCTAGTATAATGTTGATACCAAAATCAGACAATGATAGGACATGAAAGTATTATAGACTGATTTTACTCATGAACATAGGGGCAAAACTATTTGTTTTTATTCATTTATTTTTGAGATATTGTCTTGCTCAGTTGCCCAGGTTGGACTGCAGTGGTGTGATCTGGGCTCACTGCAATCTCCACCTCCCAGGCCCAAGTGATTCTGGTGCCTCAGCCTCCTGAATAGCTGAGACTACAGGTGCACACCACCACGCCCAGCTATTTTGTATATTTAGTAGAGATGGGGTTTCACCATATTGGCCAGGCTGGTCTCGAACTCCTGACCTCAAGTGATCTGCCCGCCTCGGCCTCCCAAATTGCTGGGATTACAGGCGTGAGCCACCGTGTCTGGCCTATAGGACCAAAACTAAACAAAATATCGGCAAATTGAGTCCAGCAAAATATTAAAACACACACCCCATGACCAAGTTGGGTTTATAATTGGAATTAAAGGCTGGTTTAATATTAAAAAGTCAGTTACCATAATTTATATATTAACACATTAAAGGAGAGACAGAAAAAAAGCCTTGAATAAAATTCAATATCCAGGCCGGGCGCGGTGGCTCACGTCTGTAATCCCAGCACTTTGGGAGGCCTAGGCAGGCAGAACACAAGGTCAGGAGATCGAGACCATCCTAGCTAACACGGTGAAACCCCGTTTCTACTAAAAAAAAAAAAAAATTAGCCGGTCTTAGTGGTGGGCACCTGTAGTCCCAGCTACTCTGGAGGCTGAGGCAGGAGAATGGCGTGAACCCGGGAGGCGGAGCTTGGAGTGAGCCAAGATTGCGCCACTGCACTCCAGCCTGGGCGACAGAGCCAGACTCCATCTCAAAAAAAAAAAAAAAAAAAATCCATTCATAATACAACTATTGGCAAACTAGATAAAGAGGATAACTTCCTTGGCCAGGTGCAGTGCAGCACTGGCCATCTTAGCACTTTGGAAGGCTGAGGCAGGAGGATTGCTTGAGCCCAGGAACTGGAGACTAGCCTGAGCAACATAATGAGACCTCACCTTTACAAAAAATTTAAACATAAGCTGGGCATGGTGGCACATGCCTGTAGTCCCAGCTACTTGGGATACTGAGGCAGGAGGATCACTTGAGCCCAGCAGATCAAGGCTGCAGTGAGCTGTGATCATGCCATGCACTCCAGCCTGGATTAACAGAAACAAAAAACCAAACCAAAAAACAAAAAACTTCCTTAAACTGATAAAGGCCATTTACAAAAAAAAAGCCACTAAACAGTGAAATGTTAAAAAAAAAATCTTTAAATCAGGGTTAAGACAAGATTCACTATCAGTTCCCTTCAACATTGTTCTATAGGTGCTAGCTAGCACAGAAATACAAGAAATTTTTAAAAAGTTGTAAGGATCAGAAAGGACAAAAATTGCCACTATTTGCAAATGTTAATTTAAAAAACTCAAAGGACATCTAGATAATTGTTAGAACTAATAAAAGTTTAGCATAGTTGTTGGATCTAAAATCAATACATGCCAACATTATTTCTATATAATCAGCAATAATCACAATGGAAAGTATAATTTTAACAGGTATAATTTTATCTGTTACCAGATAGAAACAGGTAAACTAAATTTAATTAAACTGAATTTTAAAAATCAGCAACAATCAGAATGGAAAGTATAATTTTAAAAATTCAGTAATTCAGTAAAATTCAGTTACCATCCATAACAGGTAAACTGAATTTAATTAAACTGAATTTTTAAAATTATACTTTCCATTCTGGTTATTGCTGATTATATAGAAATATTGTTATGCATTTTGAATGAAATTAACAAAGTCAATAAAAATAATGAGAAAAATTTTAAGATAAAAACAAATTTTAAAAAGATAAAAATTCAGTTTACAGCATTAAAAACTATAAAACCACTAGGATGAAATCTAATACAAGATGTAAAGGCCTTTATGGAGAACATTTTTAAAGTTCATTGAGACATGAAAGAAGACCTAATAAATGGAAAGCTACACAATGGTTTTGGCTGGAAAGACTCATTACTGAAAAGATGTCAGTTTTCTCCAAGTGGATCAACAGATTATTTACAATTACAAAGACAATACACAAACTGAGAGAAGATATATGCAATATATTTAACTGACCAAGGATTGGTATCCATCATATGAATCAATGAAAAAAAGACAGACAACCTAATAGAAAAATGGGCAAAAGACAGGAATATTTCACAGAAGAGGAATCATGATGGACCCATATATGAAGAGACACTCAATTTCATTAGTAATCAGGGAAATGCAAATTAAACCCACACTAAGAAACCACATAATAGCCATCCAGTTGGCACATACAAAGATAGTCAAGACCAAGTGTTAGCCAAGATGTGAAGCCATGGGAACTCTCAACCACTGCCAGTGGGAGTATAAGTTGGTACAAATGTTTTAGAAAACAATTACCAAGTAAAACCCACTCCTTAGAGCAGCAGTTCTCAGTTTTGGTCTCAGAACCTCTTTCTATCCTTAAAAACTATTGACGGCCTCAAAGAGCTGTTGTTCATGTGGGTTATATCTATCAATATTTACCATATTAGAAATTAAAATTCAGACTTCTTAAAACAGAAATATACAAGTATACTTGATTAGCTGCCAGAGTGATGATGTTATCATACATCTGGAAAATGTGAAAAAATCGAGAATGAAATGAACAAATAATGCCTTAGTATTATTATGAAAATAGTTTTGTCCTCACAGACCCCTCCCAAAAAGGTCTCAGGGACCCCCAGGCGTCCCTGAACCACACTTTGACAACAACTGTCCTAGAGCAACTGCTGTAAAAGTGCACCAGGAGACAATACAAGAAGTCATTCATTCCTCAAATATTTATTGAGCATCTACCTGGTGCCAGGCATTGTTCTGACATTGGGAATATGGTAGAGTACAGAACAGACAAAACTTCTGCCCACACACAGCTTACATTGTAATTGGGCAGAATGTTCATAGCAGCATTGTTTGTAATTGCAAAATGCTGAAAACAATCCAAATCTCCATAAATAGAAGAATGGATAAATAAATTGTGAAATAGTCATACAATCGAATACCATATAGCTGTGAAAACATGAAATACAGTTACATGCATAAACATGGATGGGAATCTCAAAAACAATGTCAGAAAAAAGAGGTCACAGAAGAATACATACAGCATGATTCCATTTACATAAAAGTTCAAAAACAAATTTAAACAATATATTACTAGGAATACATACATAGATGGTAGAGTCACAAATAAAAACATGGGAAATTATTAACAAAAAATCCAGAAGAATGTTTACCTCATATAATCTATGGAGGGAGAACAAATGGGGGATTCTAGGCAGCTGAGAATGTTCTAGTTCTTAAGCTGAAGGCTGAGTACGTGTGATCATGTTATTTTTTAAACCATACATACACAATATACTTTTGTATTATTTCACAACAAACATTTTAAAAGAAAAAAGATACAAGGTTATGCAATACGTACTTTCATCAACAAAGGGAGAATATCTTCTGATATTTCAGCCACTACTGTGCTATGCAAATCAGTCAATTATAATAATGGGGGAAGCAATACATGATAATATGAAAAGGAAATGAGTATGGACTATTCCTCACGGAAGTTAACTAGATTCCCACAGGGTCAAGATCCAATGAGATGGCAATATTATAGCACTGTTCTTCCAAGTTGGCTTGGACTCACTGGCATGACTCTGGTTAATTGGTTACTTTGTTCTCTGGGTATAATTATTTATATAAAGCAGACAATGAAATGATAGGTGATATAAATTCCAAATAAATTGACAAAGAAACCACCTCTTTACTGAATTATGTTGACTTTCAAAAGTACAAATATCCTCTCACACATTCTCCTAATAATGATTTATGTATTAAGTATTCCAAAAATATGGAAAGTGTATGGCAGCAACTGACCGTTTCTCCACATTGCTCAATAACAGGTGCCTTGCTGATCACACAAATGTTATAACAATTTTGCAATCACGTCTTTACCAAGGTTATCAATGTCAGTGCCATTATGTAGACTTAAAAAGACATAGTTAAGATGCAATTTCTCCTGATTCAGAAAACTAGCTAGAAATTTTGATAAACAATCTAAAAATCCTCAAAAATTAAATGGATCTTGAAATAATCAGTGTGTCCCTGTATCTAAACAGGGCAGGTTAAAGTTATTATCTTGGGTTAGGAAGTTGCAGGAAAGTAGAAAGTATATTCTCCAGGTCCATTCTCTCCAACTGGGTCTAACACAGGATTGCCAACTCACCAGAAAGCTCCAGGTATTGCTGTAGCTATTTTTAAAATCCTAGGCAGCTACAAGACCTAGAATCTTATCCACATGTAAGCTGGGCTGGACAATGCCACCAGGGGGTGCTAAATCGCAACTGGCAGGATGATTGTGAATCAAGCAGTTTTATCTTCAGATCTCTGCCCACTCTCTTACATGCTATGCTTTGTTACAGCGGATGATAAACATTATGGCTGTAGCTTTTTGCCCCTTCCCCAATATGGAAAGAGAAAAGGAGGTAACTCTTCTTAAATTCTCAGAGAACGTCTACTCTATCTTCTCAGTAGGAGGAATGGATAATCTTTTTGGTTGGAGCTGGACATTTGTTGGAGTATAATTTACTAGTGGACATGGTTTTTCTATGTTCAAAAACAAACACTAGCTGCTACCTTTTATTTTTAACCTGTATGTGCTCATACCAAAGGGCTCATCTTGTGCCTTCCTCAATTCTCATGCTCAGGAATGATGGATCTTTTAGCTTCGTATCTTTGCGGGGGTAAGAAGACCATGAAGGGGAAGTGGGTAGAATGGTGGTGGTGGGGGGGGACGTTTCCTTCTCTGTGACATCTTCCATATCTGATATGCCACCAATTCATACTTTCTTCTCTTTTATAGGTAAACACCCTGACATCTCTAGGCACTCTTCAAATATCTTTTGAACAAGCAAATTAAAATCAGTAAATAAGGAATACTTCTGTAACCTTCACAACCTCATCTCTATGACTTCCCAGCATTCTCTCTATCCAAGACCAAAGGCTTTATAACCTTGCATTCTCATAACTTTTTTGAATGTGAGGTACTGGCAGGAGTGGTAGCCAGATTGTGAATTTGACGATTAAGTAGCAGGCCTTTGCTCAACCTAATTTATCCAAAATACCAAATATATAAAACAAAAGAACCTCATGCTCAGTTCCAGATCCCCTCTGCTGAGATTAATAGGCCCACAAGTGGACACTATTTTGAACAAGGAAGCTGGTGTTCTCAGATTTTATGGCCTTTTTTTTTGAGATGGGGTTTCACTCTTGTCGCTCAGGCTGGAGTGCAATGGCGCGATCTCAGCTCACTGCAACCTCCGCCTCCAGGGTTCAAGCGATTCTCCTGCCTCAGCCTCCTGAGTAGCCGGGATTACAGACGCCCGCCACCATGCCAAGCTAATTTTTGTATTTTTAGTAGAGACG
The DNA here is from genome assembly GCF_000001405.40 of Homo sapiens. NCBI lineage: Eukaryota > Metazoa > Chordata > Mammalia > Primates > Hominidae > Homo > Homo sapiens. The sequence continues at coordinate 104,108,261 of NC_000012.12, read as the reverse complement.
GGGTTTCACCATATTGGCCAGGCTGGTCAATCCTCAGGTGATCCACCCGCCTTGGCCTGGGATTACAGACATAAGCCCTTCATTCGGTTTACAGAATTTATTGATTTTTCCCCCAGAATTTTGTAGTTCATGTTTTTCCAGGAATGATCAAAGTAAGTTTTTTTCTGGAGTCACAGAAATACATAAGTCTAGGGACTAACTATAACTAGAAAACTTAGAAGGGAGTTTTGCCAATGTCATCTCATTTTCCTGAGTGTAAGAATCTTTTGTCCTACAAGTTTAGAGGTGATAACAGTGACCTGACTTGATATTAACAGAATCCAATGCAGTTCCAATCCTGGTAACCATGTCCTTCAGCAGTTCCCTGAACTTATATAGGTAGGTAATTTCTAGTGTCAGAGATTAACTTTTGACAGTTTTAGCTTATTTTGATCATCCAGTGTTAAAAATCATAATCCAGCAATGCCCATAACCTCATGAAAGATCTTTCTTCTTTCTTTCCTTTAAGAAAAAAAACAAACCTGATCTGGTAGAAGGACCTTTTCCAATCAAAGACCTCCTATACTAAATCTCTTATCCCAGAACTTCTTTTAACCTAATAGCAGGGCAGGGTAAGACAAAGCTAAAGAGTTTGCATTTCCTCCAGATACTTGGCAAATCTGCAAAAAATCTCTTTCCCTTTCAAAGCTTCCCTCCCATTTTGACCTCTATTTAGGAGGAGTGGGAATATGAAGAAGTGTAAAGGTGACAATTTTCTTTACCCGCTTGTTAAAATATTTAAGTACCAGTTAACTAGCCAGCCAACATGGAACGGGTATAAAGACCCAGTCTCTGCCTTGAAGACCTACCATCTAGCAGATGGAGAGGGACATGCTAACAAATAGGGGCGCTAAGTTTTTAGACTGCTATGACAGAAGATTTAACAAAGGACAGTGGGAGAACAAAAAGAAGGGGTTAAATCTACCTGGTGGTGGAGTATGTCAGGAAAGACTTCTTCAGATTGGCAATTTGGCCTGAATCTAGGAAAAAAAATGAATGGGGACAGGTGGGAGTAAAAAAGGGAACCATAGACAGGAGGAGGTGTGTAAAGATGGACAGAAAGCATGGTATGATAGACACTACAAAAATGAGGAAGTGCCGAGACAGTGGACAAAAGTTTCAAATGACAAGATTAAATACGATAAAAGAGTTCCCTGGATTTGGGAAATGGGAGGTTATCCTTGAACTTTGCTAGAGCCATTTCAATGGAGCAGCAGGTCAGAAGTCTGGCTGCTATGAATTTAAAAGGATGAAAAGAATAAAGAAAAATATTTTAGAGTAAATGAAAGACAAAAAAAAGGTGACAACAAGTTTAGACTATTTCTTGGAGCCATTTGCCTTTTTACTTTCAAGCATACTAGTTCAGGTGTGACAAGGGTTACTTACATAGGATTTACATTTCTATGAGAAAACGACTCCCAACTGCCATCTTAAAAACTTAAAAACAAGTTTTTAAACACAATCCATTCTTAATTTAAAGGCTGCCTATATTATTTCAAACAATACAGGCAGCCTTTTAAATATATGTTTAACAATTATTAAACTTGTTAATTATTAAATATTAATTATTAAACATGTTAATATATGTTTAATATGTTTACATAATGTTATTTTAAATATAAAATCAACATTTCTACAGATTTACTCTGCCATCACTAACTTTTCTTTCATATCCTTCAAAATAAATAACACCTGTAATTGTTTATAGTAGAAAAGGTGCTTTATTTTACATATCATTGGTACACGATACATAAAACTGCCTAAAATCAGTCTTGAAAAACACAACAGTCAGTCAGTTACACCTTAAAGGGTCAAAGACCAAGTCTATTTTGCAAGCTACTTCATTTATGATCAAATGACTACAATAATTTTAAATACTAATAATGTCTTCATATCCAATGTTACAAATGATTTTTGTTACAAGGGCTGTAATTTTTTAAAATAAAAATATCTTTAGCTATAGACCTTATTTCTAATCAGAATGAATCTTTGCTAGTCTACAAGTCTTTGAAATAATAGATCAACAATTTCACCTTCCTATAGATAATTGTATTTATGTAATTGGGTAATGAGGCAGGAGTCCTTCATACATGCAATCAGATTATTTCAATTTTTTAAAAAATGCAGATAAAATTGAGTTTATATATACCCTATGTCTAATTAAGTTGCCAAAGAAGTTTATTAAACTAAAATGAAGCCAATATGATATTTTAGAAAACATAATTCTGAGAGCATGCAACATCAAAAATATTTTTACTACTTATGAGAGCCAGAGTTGCAGAACACAGAAGAGGACTGGCACAAAGTCTTGTTATATTTGAACTGCTTACCTGACTGGGAAGAGTAAAGAAAGTCATTTAACTCAGTGCAAATCCTATGAAAAATATCTGCATGATACAGCCTACTGCTACACAAAGGGATCTTCATTTAGAAAATGTGCAAATCATAAGAAGCTAAATGCACTTCTCTTGCTATTTGCTCCAATTCATTCTATTCATCAGCACACAGCTCTAAGATCTCTTATTAACTACTAATGTCAAAGCCACAGAGATTTCTTAATGGCATTTTTTAGTCAGCAATCCCTTATCACAGAGATAAATATGACTGGTGCTTAATGTACAAATGCCAAAAAAAAAAAAAAAATAGAATCTGGGCTAAGTCTCAGGGCAAAAACATTTATGATTTTAACAAATCCCTCAGTATAGAAAGACTTCTCTTCCCTCTAAACAGTTAAGTCATATGTTAGAACCACAGGTTCAGAATCACCTCCTGATCCAGAAGAGTGGAGGCTTAACTGAATCAAATACTAAACAGGTATAAATGTGCACACTCAAACAAATATTCTATCCTTTGCTTAAAATCAACTTATTCCTTGTTATCAGGAGAAGGGCTTCAAGATGCACGTTGTTAATTAATGCAGAGAAGAAAGGGTTAAAAGCCAAACTTTTTCTATTAAAGCAATAGATCTTTAAAATAACTGGGCTTGAAACATATACTTTTAGTATAACTTTCCATTCATATTCTTTTATAATTAAGTATACACATATACACAACAAACCCTAATATTTAATATGTGCAAAATTGCTTACCATGTATTTTAACTTTGGTTAAGTATTTGTTTAGCCTATATCAGATACATTACAGAAGCTAGACAAATGATTACAAACATAATAATGAGGTAAGTTAAAATTCTACTAGTGCAAAAAGCAAGCATATGCCAAAAGCAAAGCATATGAATTAAACAAATGCAGAATGAAGCTCTCACCAAGGGCATTGCTGGGATAACAAACCAGAGAAGCTCCTTGTAAACATTGTAAAGTACACATTTAAAGAGTAAAGATTCATACAGCCACAAAAAAGGTATTCTAACAACACCATAGTAGTGCATTTATTTTATCTTTAGAGTTTGGAAACCACTCATTATGTGTCTAACAATTTGCATATTTTCTTCAAGAGAAACTTAATTAGTGAGACACATTAATTACAAATACTGTAGTATAAAAATCCCAGTTCTTTACAAAAATTATATATTAAAATATTCTATACACTTTAAATTAGTAACTGGAACACACATATATATCAATTCTGCACAATTAAATCCATCTTTGCTGGGGGGTATCATACATGAAATTTGAGGACATAGCTACTCAGTCAACCTAAACTGGCATAAGGTTATGTGGTATAAAAAAAGATAGACCTGTGCCCCTGCAGTTATTGAAGCTCTTAGTTTGAAATATCTTTTCTGCAATTATTGCTCTGTATATTAATTCCAGATTTAAATAGGCAGTGGAACCATGAAATTCCTAAAAGGTTTAAAACAAGTTACCTGTAGCAGAGTGTTTATAATGCCTATCTGTATCTTTAAGGTTGTAATGGAACCTGAGTTAGCTGTCTAATGCTTATATTTTCATAGTAAAAAAGTTTATACAATTTCAAGGTAAAAACAATGCAAAAATAAAACATTTAGAGCATTTACAAAAATCTTACAAATGTTTAAAACACTATTTTAAAACTTGTGTCCTGTTAAGGTGCTTGTTTTTTTCTCCAATAGGAGGACATATACTTTAATTTTGAATTCAATTATGAAGATTTTAATTTTAGCAAAAGCAAAATTAGAGCCATTAAGACAGATGAAAATGTTCAGGGACATACTTCACTTCTACTAAAAACACAAAACCTTAGTGCTGAAAGGGACCTAAAAGATAAACTGCTTTAACTCCCTCATCTGTTATGAGGAAAATGAGGGCCAGATAAGTTAAGTGCTTTGGCCAAAAATATATTCAAATATATTGGCCTGGTAAGAATCAAGAAAACTCATTGTTCTTGTTGTATTTTACCATGATTCTTGGAAAATAATAAAAGTTCAAAAGCAGTTTCTAAACTTGCCTCTTTTTTAATTTCTTAAGCTCTGTGCTAACTGTAAACAAAGAAAGGAATCAAATAACTATTAGAATTATTATAGTATCACACATATTATCCAATAGAAGACAGTTGTTAGAGGAACACTGCTCATATAGAATAAAGATAGAAGGAGTACTCAAAGGTAGGACATTTACAATGTAGAGAACATTTACTATATAAGACAGCATAGTATACAACAGCCAGTTACCAGAATCATCTCAATAACTCTAGGATGACTGGGTTACACAGCCCTTATAAAAGATATTGGGGTAATAAAGCTTTCTAGCTTTTATCTTAATTTCACTGTTTTTCTTTATAAAAGAGCTATATCTGTAAGGAAGAACTCATATACTAATTTTCAGAGAGTCTTTGCTTCTTTTCTTTTATTTGGATCTATAATTCAGCAAATACATTTTAAGAACAATTTACAAACTCAAGTTCATAACTGCTGGAAATACAGCCAGAGAATACTCTTTTAAATGACAAATCTTCATAACCAGTTACTAATAAATAATCATCATCACAATAGCTTCAGTAAAAAAACCAATTCAATTTAAAGGTGCTTTCTTATTGTTACCTTGAAGCCACCGAACTTGTGTAGCTGGTCCATATCCCTTTTCATTCTTTGCTGATATCCTGAACACAATGGCAGGCCTGGATGTATAATCAATATGTGCATTTGCAAGTTGCCCAGCAGTTACTATACATGATGTCTTAAGACCACAATAAATCCTCATGAACACAAGTTGACTTGGATTATCTTGTATCTGTGCTGTGCGGATAGCCAAGTAGGCTGAATATTCCAAAATATTTCCAGAAGGTGAGGTTGGAGGTTCCCAGGAAAGGTGGATACCTTCAACATTCTTGAAGGGGGGGGGAAAAAACAGGTTAAAGGTTCTTAAGTTTCCTCTGTTATCACTTATTATGTTGAGTCTATCTTTAGAATACAAAATGTTCATTTTTACTAAAATAATTGCATTAGATGTTACATCTTTTATTGTTGATTTTTAAAACCTACCTCATTTGGATCTACAATGTTTAATTTCATGCTTGCTTTTCAAAAACACAACTAAGTTTAAATGTCTGCCTGTAATATCCCAAAACAGGGATTTTTATTTCCTAAACAATCTCTAGGGAGGGACAGGACATTAGGATAAAATATAATCCAGTTTCGAGTGCTCTATTAAAATTCTCCAGCCAAATGTTTTCGTTCCATAATAACAAGAACAAATTTAGAAGCATACCAGATTTCCCTGCCTTTCTGTGATTTGGATGCTGTAATTTTGCTTGAAATCACATGGACACATAGAGGGAGACAACACACATTGGGGCCTATCAGAGAGTGGAGGGTGGGAAGAGGGAGAGGATCAGGAAAAATAACTAATGGGTACTAGGCTTAATACCTGGGTGATGAAATAATGTGCACAACAAACCCCCATGACACTCATTTACCTTTGTAACAAACCTGCACATGTACCCCTGAACTTAAAATAAAAGTTAAAAAAAATGAATGATTAGCTAAAATTATTTTTTAAACTTTAAATCCATCCTTTTAGGTATCTCTCATTTCATTAGATGGTAACAAGAATTTCTAAACTGACAGTTTACTTCACATGTGAAATTTCAAATAATTTAAAATCACCAACAAGTCTTGACCCGATGTCTCACCTTTGAAATTCTGACTGCAGAAGGAGCTCCAGGAAAACCAGGAATACAAGTTTTAAATTCACTGATTTTGCTGAAAGGACCTATCCCACAACCATTGATTGCAGCAACCCTGAATCTGTATCCTGTGCCTGGAACAAGATCTTGTTTCTTAAGCAAGCTGTAGTCAGGTACATCTGCATTTCCTACCTAAAATGTAGTATATGCAAAAGTCAAAGAAAAGGTACAACTAATATATTAAAATTTTAAAAATTATTCAATTTTTATTAAACAAAAAAACTTTTAAAGAATAAATTATGTTTTAAGGTTCTGGTTCACATTTATCTCCCTCTCTCTCACATGGAATGAACCCTCCAATAGACAAGCAACTAAGTCCATAAATCTGTGCTCCTTATCCAGAGGTGAGCACTCTTTCCAGTTGAGAATCACTGATTACACAGAGAAATGTAAGAGCATTCTGCACGTGAACAATGTGAAGGTAGAAAAAAAGCTGACAACTGCCATAAACACAACTATCCCATCATCATGTAAACTTATCTTGAAGCAGAAATCTCAGAAGATATACCGTCAAATAATAGTCTGCCCAGGAACAATACCCTTTAGAGACAGGCAAGCAAGCTTCATAGAAAAGGAGTGACTAGCATGTAGTACAGAGAATTTTTTTTTTTTTTTTGGAGACGGAGTCTCACTCTGTCTCCCAGGCTGGAGTGCAGTGGCACAATCGGCTCACTGCAACCTCCGCTTCCCGGGTTCAAGCGATTCTCCTGCCTCAGCCTCCCGAGTAGCTGAGATTACCGATGCCTGCCACCACACCCAACTAATTTTTGTATTTTTCAGTAGAGACGGGGTTTCGCCATGCTGGCCAGGCTGGTCTCGAACTCCTGACCAAATGTGATCCACCTGCGTCGGCCTCCCAAAGTGCTGGGATTACAGGCGTGAGCCACCATGCTCAGCCTATAGAGCATTTTTTAAATTAAAATTCAACAGACACCAAATAAATGTTAAATAATTAGATTATATACTCTAGGTAGGAAGATAATAACATTTACAACTTTCAAACAATTTTTACATATTCTCCCTAACTCTCCCAGTTAGACAGAGTGCCACTGTGTTCTCGTACTTTAAGGGAGCCATGTCATCTCTATTTTACAGATGAGGAAACTGAATCTAAGAGAGATTAAACAAGTTGACTTGCCAAGATCACACTGCTGAATGCTGGAGCTAGTGATTTAAACCTAAGTTTACTAGCTCTAAATTTTAGGCTATTTTTTTCTTTTAGGAAAAATCAGGTAGCTACTAGGCCCCTAGACACAGACACGTCTTTATATATGAAATCAAACTACAGTGAGAAATTTCACTGGGCATAATACTAATTATTAACTAGAATTTCTATTTTTGTCAAGAATTAGAAAAATTCTGTATGAAAAAGAGGGATATGAGGAGTAATAGTAGAGCAACTAAAATATATATAAATATATAGGATATAATCCTCATTTGTGCATATCTTCGGGAGATTCAAAATGAACATCTATTTCCTTGGCAATTCTCTCTCAGAAATTGTCCATTTAATAATTTTTTTTTTTGAGACAGCATCTCACTCTGTCATCCAGGCTGGAGTGCAGTGGCCTGAACATGGCTCACTGCAGCCTTGACCTCCTGGCTCAAGTGATCCTCCCACCTCAGCCTCCCAAGTAGTTGGGAGCAGAGGCACGTACCTTGCCCAGAAAACTTCTTTATTTTTTGTAAGACAGGATCTTGCCATGTTGCCCAGGCTGGTCTCGAACTCCTGGGCTCAAGCTCCTCCCACCTTGGACTTCCAAAGTACTGGGATTACAGGCATGAGTCACTGCACCTGGCCTTCATAAATTTTTCCAATGTGCTTTGGAGCTGTTATCTATTTAATAATTCTTAGAAGCTTAAATGTCTAATTTACATATATACATAAAATATCTCATATATGTATATGAGGTCCTCTTTAAGGGGTTTCAGAATCAAGGGAACATTAGATTGTATTTAATAGCATATCAGGGTTTTTAGATTTCTTTTAATTGTAAAATGAGGAATAAAAAAATTCTTTTTCAATAGGAAAAAAAAAGTTCCATTCTCTAGACACACCGGTTAACAAAATTAGAGCTATTTCAAAAAACTCTTATTTGTGCTAGTCAGACTAGATTATTTATGACTTAAAACCCAGCTCATTGGCTGGGTGTGGTGGCTCATGCCTGTAATCCCAGCACTTTGGGAAGCCGGGATGGAAGGATCACTTGAGCCCAGGAGTTTGAGACCAACCTGGGCAACATGGTGAAACCCAGTCTCTACAAAAATTAGCTGGTCATGGTGGCTTGTCCCTGTAGTCCTAGCTACTCAGGAAGCCAAGGTGTGAGGATAACTTAAGCCCAGGAGGTTGAGGCTGCAGTGAGCTCAGATTGTACCACTGCACTCCAGCTTGGGTGACAGAGCAAGACCCTGTCTCAAATAAACAAACAAACAAACAAAAAACTCTCCACCTCAGTGATTGTATAAGTTTTTTTTTTTTTTTAAATTTAGAGATAGGTATTGCCATGTTGCCCAGTTTGGAATGTAGTGGCTATTCACAGGTGCTATCATACTGCACTGCAGTCTCAAACTCCTGGGCTCAAGCAATCCTCCTGACTCAGCCTCCTGAGTAGCTGGGACTGCAGGCATGCTCCACCACACCTGGTTCAAAGATTTTTTAAATGACATGCTTGTGATGTAGTCCATACAAAGGGCCTTAACACAGAATACAATGTAACTTGGTGATATGATTTGGATCTGTTTTCCCACCAAATCTCATGTAGAATTGTAATCCTTAGTGTTGGAGGTAGGACCTGATGGGAGGTGATTGGATCGTAGGGGCAGAGTTCTCATGAATGGTTTAGCACCATCCCCCCTTAGTATTGTATAGTGAGTTCTCATGAGATCTGGTTGTTTAAAAGTGTGTGGCACCTCCCCACTCCACGCATTGCTCCTGTTCATGCCATGTAAGACATGCCTGCTTTCCCTTCACCTTCTGCCATGATTGGAAGTTTTCTGAGGCCTCCCCAGAAGCTGAGCAGATGCCAGCATCATGCTTCCTGTACAGCCTGTGGAACCTTGAGCCATCCAGTCTCAGATATTTCTTTTTTTTTTTTCTTTTTAGATGGAGTCTTACACTGTCACCCAGGCTGGAGTGCAGTGGCACCATCTCGGCTCACTGCAAGCTCCACCTCCCGGGTTCATGCCATTCTCCTGCCTCAGCCTCCTGAGTAGCTGGGACTACAGATGCTCGTCACCACGCCTGGCTAAGTTTCTGTACTTTTAGTAGGGACGGGGTTTCACCGTGTTAGCCAGGATGGTCTTGATCTCCTGACCTCGTGATCTGCCTGCCTTGGCCTCCCAAAGTGCTGGGATTACAGGCGTGAGCCACTGCGCCCGGCCAGTCTCAGGTATTTCTTTACAGCAATGCGAGAATGGCCTAATACATTTGGTATACAGAATTCTCAATTATATAGATTGTGGATGGATCCCAATTTTACTCATTCAAGTGACCTGAATCAGGGTTCTAAAAAAGAAATCTCATTCTTAATTTTTTTTTCCTTTCCCTAAGTTATTGGTAGAGAAAAATCTCATCCTTGAGGCTTATAATTTACAATGTAGAAAATATATCAATAGCTACCTTTGAGATGCTTTGCTTCCCTTTTGGCAGCAAATAAAACTGGCTCACCAAAGCTGTATTATTTTTAAAAATTCCCACATCACACCATTGTCGTTCTCCCGCTTTCACTGTGGCCACTGGATTTGAAGGAGTCTCTTTCTAATTTCAGAGAAAAAAAAATTTATGAAGACTCTTATTGAATATACGAAAAATTTCAAGATTTAATAAGTCCATGCAGTGATCTACAAGTAGGTATTTGGATAAACACCACAACATTAACAACTCATAAGTAAATAAAGTCTTAACAGATTAGGTCAACTGACAGTGAAACAGGGATGCCAATTCAAACACAGGAGTGACAGGCATTCTCCAAGTCAGTAGCTCTGTACTATCAACCTAGCTGGAGTTAGCATGCTTTCCAATCAGTGATATGTTAAAATGCCAGCTATTTTATAGAACATTGTCATTTCAGAGACTCTCTCAGAAAATGTAATTCCTTTAGCGTAACATTACAACTTGCTCCAAAGGAGCAAATACAGAAAAATTCATTCCAAGCTGGCTCATTTCTAGATCCAAAAACAACTAGCAAAAATTCAGTGATCTTTGCACTTGAAATACCTGTGATTCTCCAAACCTAAAAGGAGAAAAAATGTTCAAAACTAAAATGCAATTTGAATATACTTTGGTATATACTAAAGAGGAGTATATTAAACAGTTTTACATTTTTTATCCTGTTTTAAAACAAATAAACTTCCTCTACCTTAAGCTACTTTTAGTGGTAAGTGAATTATACTTATCCCTGGAACTAACCTTTTAAAGCCATCTTCTTATAAATGAGACACTGTTTCCAGAAGCTCAAAACAAATGTGCACTTCAGTTATTTATTTCTGTCTTAAATATATAACAGCAGAGGTACATGCTTATAATTCACATTTTTTTAATATTTAGGCTATCACACATGACAAAGTGAGCTAACTAGAAGAGTCTTTAAAGTTAAAAAAAAAAGTAATAGCTTTAAACTTGTTTTCATTCTATAAAGTTGTAAAAACTCTCTTCAACAACTTTTATAAAACAACTGGCTCCAACTCAAATAACAAATACAATTCTGGCTGATGCATGGCAAAACAGACTCAAGAGAAAAAAAATTCATTTTAGTAATCCTTCCCTAAGAAGAGTCTAAAAACACTAGAACTTAACATTCTGGAAAGATGAAAGCTGATAAAGGTAAATATATGGTCATAACCCATAAAGTCATGATTGAAAGAAAATAAAAACTAAAGAGAATTCTTAAAGATTCTAAAGGTTAAATTTAGGTCAAATGAAAACTCTTGCTCACAGAAATTAAGTTGAAATGACTAATAACAAAAAAAAACCTCAAAAGTACATATATGTATGTATTATCCTTGTATTTATCTAAGTAAGACAATCTTGGTATATTTGTAAGGCACTTTCCTGGCATTTAAAGTTTGGTGCCATGCATACCAAATTTGGCCTATGTAAGACAACCAAATATCAGAGATTATTGGGCTACCCTACATTTATGTCAATCCACTATTGCAATATTCTGTTGTGCTCCTATTAAGCAGCTAGCAATACAGCCATTCAAGTTTTATGTTCCATAACACACCTTATCTTTTAACCATTAATGTAATTTACACATATATACACATATATGTATGTATATATACATACACACATTTCTGATTATAAAAATAACATTGCATTATAGAAAAATATAAAAAGCATAAAGAAGAAAGTCAAAAGTATCTGTGGCCCCCCACCTGGATTTCAGAGTGGTTATGTGTGGGTACATGTGAGAGTATAAATGTATGAACTGCATGTATTTTTTAATAAAATTGGGAACACAACACATATGTTATTTTTTATCCAGCTGTTTCACTAAACATTATACTGTGAACATTTTCCTATTCAATCATTTATTTCTAAATTTATGTCAGTTCATTACTGAGACCTGAGAATCTTTTTATGAAATTATTTAGAAGTTGCTCAGCATTTAAAAGTACATAATCATGTGTAAACATGCATCATCACCAGGTCATGTACTTACAGAAAACGGCGTTGCTGTAGCATGTGTCTCTACACGGCTGATCTTCGTTGCAGGCAGTGCATATGTTTCATCAACTAAAAATTAAACAATTTATCAGATAAGATTTACATAACTTATCAGATACATTAAAATATAATTTTTAAATATATATTTAATGCCACCAACTGTAAACTTAAAAATGGCTAAGACAGCAAATTTTATGTTACATGTATTTTATCACAATAAAAAACAGCCAGAGGGTATTGTACTATTATTTACAATAAGTAGTAATATTGACCCTTTAACTCAAAACAATTCATAAACTTCATTTTTCAAGGGTTTGATGACTAGCTAAAACTTCAGAGAATGTTCACTAAAGATGCAATACAATTCCTATTTCAAAAGAATAAAGAATTTATCAAATTAGAAATCAAGCAAGTTGGAAGAATTGTTAATACACAGTCTAGAACCAATCTTGTCTAAAAAAAAGTTTGCTAAATTTATTCATGGTAGGAAAGACACATTCTGATTGTATTTCAATAGTGTGTGCTAATCTAAATATTTTATGCAGAGAATATTTTATAAAATAATTTTAAATGAAATGCTTTATCTGTTTACATTACATTCTGGAAAGATGAAAGCTGATAAAGGTAAATATATGGTCAAAATCCATAAAGTCATGATAGAAAGAAAACAAAAACTAAAAAGAATTCTTAAAGATTCTAAAAGTTAAATTTAGGTCAAATGAAAACTCTTGCTCACAGAAATTAAGTTAAAATGACTAATAACAAAATTCCAAGATGAAATGCAACTCCCATCTAAGACAAGTAAGTTTGATGAATTTATATACATAAATGGTTCAAAATACAGTATGTGAAACACATTTCAAACCTTCAGATTTGGTACTGAATGTTGTTAGTGAAGTTTCATCTTTAACAACTGCCCCATTTGTACTGGATGATTCAGTTTTAATGGTCTGCTGGGTTACCATAGTTTGTGTGCTGGAAACAGTACTGGATACAGATGTTTCAGGAATTACTGTTCTTACATCCAGGCAACTACTTAGAACACCTACATTTGCTGAAGTGTGAGGACCTAAAATAAAAGGGAAAAGGTAATTATTAATATGATATCTGCAGATAATTGTTGTGTCTTATCGTTCTTGTCATATGATTCTTGGTACTTTCAGTTTTAAAATCATACATGAGCACCACAAATGGTATTAGTATGAATTATCCATTAGGCATAAAATGTTTAGAAAAATAAAGTGCATTATATCCATAATGGATATCCAACTTTTTACCTTCCTCGTTCATTCTAAACACCGAACCATTGTTCTTGACTTTCCACTAAATCATAGATCAAATGGCTCTGCCCTTCATTTCAGGAAAAAAATATTAGAGGTCATTAAGCATGAATTATCTCAATTTTCTGCCTTCTCTGGCTGCAAACTAGAATTGTACTAATAATTGTGCTCATCCTCCCTGTCTTCCATTGCAGAAGATTTGCTGACCTCTCTCCTAAAAAATCTGAATGTATCTTCCTGTACTCTTGGTCCCATTCCTTCCCCTATATGTTGGGACCCTCATCAATCATTCCTCTCTCTTCAGGGTTTTCAGATTCTTTGTCAGTAGGTTTTGGTCCTTGGCTCGTAAACATCATCAAATCCCTGAAGCAAACAACGCACCTCTTTGTTTACCCAACAATTCCCACCAATTACCCTCTCCCCTTACTAATTCCCTTTAGAACAGTTTATACTTCCTTGATCTCCCCAAAATTTGATTTCTAGCACACTACTTTAATAAAATAATTCTGGCAAACATCAATGATTTCTAGGGGATATTTTTCAATTTTCATTTACTTGACTTTTCTGCACTGTAAACAATGCTGACCACATACTCCTTTTTGAAGCTATTTTTTTTCCTATGACGTATATTTATTCATTCCACAACAGTGAAGTCTACCATGTATGAGACATTGTATTTGTTTTTATAATGGTGAAATAAGGCAGGCATAGATCATGCCTCACAAACTTAAGCCTTCTTCTTGTCGCCCTTTACATATTTTTCTGTGCGTTAAATACCATTCCCAAATCCATACATATGTCCTGGACACTGTACCAGGTGCTAGGAATCTAGCAGTGAACAAGTCAACAAGATCCTTGCTCTTTTGGAGATTACATTTAAATACTCTTAATTTCTAAATTTATGTTTCTAGCCTAGTACTGCCTTCTAGACTCCAGGCCTAAGTATCCGACTGCCCATTAGAAATCTTTACCAGTATATTGCTGAAGTGCCTCAAAAACAGAGTTCAAAGTTGAACCTATCTTTTCCAAAATCTGTTCTTGCTCCTATATTTCCTATTTTGGTGAAGAGTATCATTATCTATTCTATTGTCCAACCCAAAAAACTGGGAGTCATATTCAACTCATTTTTATTTCTCATATACAACCAGTTGTCAAGTCTAATAGATGAAACCTTCTAAACGTCTCTTAAATGATGAATTCTCGCCTCTCCATTTCAGCCACTGCTTTAGTCTCTGTGTATCTCCTGGAGTCAGCCACTGCTTTAGTCTCTATGCATCTCCTGGAGTCCTAAAAGAATCCCTAACAAATCTCCTAATCATTTTCTACTATAGTTCTTCCTGATGGAGAGGCTATTCTTTAAAAAAAAAAAAAATTGCCTCATTTAAATTCCATAGTTCATAACTAATCATTACTGTTCAGGTAAGTGCTTACTTGGTATTTTAACATTATTCTAACCAGGTTGAATATGGCAGTTTTTTGCTATTAGGAAAATGGATCAAAACTGTACAACATTTACTTTTTCAATGACTATTAAATTCCCCACCGATTTTATAAAAAGCTTTAGTTTAAAATGTCATCCATATACCTTCATTTTTCCTTAGCATATCCACCACATGACTATTATGATTAGAAGCATTTGATGCCAAAGATGGATATAAAATGGCATTAGAATCCGTCAGTGCTTTAAAGTCTGGTTTGTTTTTCATTGAAGTTTCTTTTGTGGCTGGCTGTTCAGTTTTTGTGCTGTTTATTGTATCATTGATCTACAAGAAATATAACAGATTACTGTAGTAAGCAATATTCAATGAAATACAAATACATGTAAAAAACAAGCAAAATAAGTTACAATTTAAATACTTTTTATCAAAATAGAAAACACCTAAAAATTACATTATTAATTTCTACAGGATTATTCTTCAATTTTATAATAGTTTCTAAGAAAACAATTTCTTTTCACTTAATCTCCATGCTCAAAAGATCAGTTTTGAAGAGGAAAGGGAGAGTATATTTTGAGGAAAAAAAACTACATTTTAGTAAGTGATAGCTAGTATCACAAGCAAATACATATATAACACAGGAGAGAACAAAGCTACTGGGTCTGGTCAAATTTTCTTAAAGGGCAGACATGTATCCTAAAAATATGATAACTACAAAAGTAAAATCTCAGCTATATGGAATCTTCAAGCAAATAAACTATTTTATATGACTGAGTTTTCCATATAAAGATTTCATACATATACATATCATTATCCTATACCATGAAGTATTTTGGATAAGAATCTCCCTAATTACATTTTTCTTAACCTTCTTAAACACACTATAATAAACACATTCACACTTTTTAAAAAAAATTATTACTACTATTATTATTTTTGAGATGGAGTTTTGCTCTTGTTGCCCAGGCTGGAGTACAATGGTGTGATCTCAGCTCACTGCAACCTGCACCTCCTGTGTTCAAGCAATTCTGCTGCCTCAGTCTCCCAAGTAGCTGGGATTACAGGTGCCCACCACCATGCCTGGCTAATTTTTTATATTTTTAGTAGAGACAGGGTTTCACCATGTTGGCCAGGCTGGTCTTGAACTCCTGACCTCAGGTGGTCCACCCACCTCAGCCTCCCAAAGTGCTGAGATTACAGGAGTGAGCCACAGCGCCTGGCCTAAAAAAATTATTTTTATTTTTATTTTTTTTGAGACAGGATCTTGCTCTGTTGCCCAGGCTGGATTGCAGTGGCACAATCACAGTTCATGGCAGTCACTGCCTGCCAAGCAATCCTCCTGCCTCAGCCTCCCAAGTAGCTGGGGCTACAGGCACACACCAGCATGCCCAGCTAATTTTTCTATATTTTGTAGAGATGAGGTTTTGCCATGTTGTCAAGGCTGGTCTTGAACTCCTGAGCTGAAGGATCTACCACCTTGGCCTCCCAAAATGTTGGGATTATAGCTGTGAGCCACAGAACCCAGCCGCCACATTTAAAATCTTTTGATAATTCAAGTCATCAATGTGAATATCAGTTATTAAACCTATAGGTCTACCTAACCATAAAAGTGACCTGGCTTCATTCAAATACCCTAATATTGTTGTTCTTTCTAATTACCTGTTTTTTGTTACTGTTCTCTCTCTATTTTTATTGTTGGCTCATAATTTCTCATAGCTCTGAGGATACTTGTCTATAATATGCCCTGTGCTTGCCCTTAATTGGTGGTGCTACTGTTTATAAGTGATGATGATAATGATAGCCACAACTATGCCAGGCATTATGGCAGGCAGTGTACTATATATATCCATAAACTCTGTATCTTACTTAATCTTCACAAGAATCCTATCAGTAAGATAACTTGACCCTTTTTTTATAGATGAAGAAAATGATACTCAGAGAACTTAAGTAATACACCTACAGCCAGGTAGCCAGTAAGTAACAGCTAGAATTCGAATTTGGTTTATTTCATTCCAAAATCCTTACATCTGGAATGTGCTTTTTGCTTAAAATCAGACACTCAGTCTAACTGGAATTTTATAAAATAAGTATAAATAAATCTTGAGAATTTTCATTAAACACGATAGATTAAACACATTTGCTCTTCAGGAGATTTCTCCAAAACCCAATTCAAATGACAAAAAAGGAATTTTTGAAAGTATGAAGCTATAACCTTTTAAGGAAAAAGAGAATGGCAGAAGAGAAAATAGTAGATAAGATGTAAGACAGAAAAGCTGGAGCTAAGAGCCTTCTCCTAAGTGGAAAGTCACTGAGATGTGGCCCATTTGTGCCCCAGGGCCCAGTGCAGTCAGTGGTGGCAGAGGTGCAGAGTACAAGAAAACGCTGGAGGCCTGTCACACAGAAGCCTGTTTAAGAAGGGCTGTAGCCCTAGTTCTGCTCTCCCAGCATACCAAGCCAGAGAAATTCCTCTCCTCCATTCTAGCTGAAGATGGGAAATAGGCAGAAAGGTTGAAATGTGAGTCTCTAGACTACGCTACGGTATCGCTCAAGTGATACAAGTATGAGGATGATACAAGTATGGGGAGAGGCACCCCTACTGAAAATAGGAATTAAATGAAAGTCTAAATGCTGAACAAAAAGATACCTTCCCTCCAATCCCCTTACTAAGCTCCCAGAATTCTGATAGCCAGGCTCATAACCCCTAAGCAAGAGGTTGGAGAATTCTTAGGGGAAACTAATTGGTCTAAGAAAAAAGACCCACTGATACTTACATTTGTTGGTCCCCGCCCACTTACTCTTGTTAAGGTTTACTAAGCAACAAGCCACACCCACATGCATAGGCCTTCCAGGCTTTTTTAAAGCCTCACTTTAAACAAAAAGGGACAGCCAAGTATCACCAGACACTTGATGACAACCTCTAATGTGGAAGTCCAAGGTTAAAACACATTGAAAAATAAAAAGGAGCTTGAAAAAAAGAAACATAACAAAGAGCAGACTAAAACTCCAAAATTTTTGAAGTATAATTCTTCAAGAGAGAAGGAAAGATATTATATTTATGAAACAAGAATAGGGTGCTATTAACAGAAATAAAGAATAAAATGAGGCTTTTAGAAATTAAAAATGTGGTTGGATATATTTAAAATGTAAAAATTGGAATACACAGAGAAAACAGAAGATAAAAAGCAAAATCAGAGGACTAGTTTATAAAAAAAAAAGAAAAGAAATTGAGGGAAGAAATCATCAGTAATGAAGGTCATGAGTTTCCCGAACAATGGGATCCACTGGGTGAGGCACACCAAATGAAGACATGCACTCTAAGGCACACCATTGTTGAAATTTCAGCATACTGGGGATAAAAAGATAAAAAATTAGGTCATATATAAAGGATCAGGAATCCAAATGGCATCACACTTTTCAATACCAACACCGAATGCTAAAAGACACTAGAAAAAATGCCTATAAATTTCTGAGGGAAAAACTTCCAATATAGGATTCTATAAGCCAGCCAAACTATTAGTTAAATAGGCTAAAGATATTTTCAGATATGCAAGATCTCAAAAAATTTACCTTTCAAAAGCCCACTTCTCAGGGGGTTGCAACGAAATAAAGGAAAATACAAAGAAAGAGGAAGAAATAAGGTCAAGAAATATGGGCTGTAACACAGGAAAGAGATAAATTCCTATTATGAAACAGAGAGAAGTTAGTTCTAAGGTGACAGCTGTGCAGCAGGCCTAGAGAAGAACCAGTACATAAGGACAGGGGGCTCCAGGAGGAATGGTTCCAAGGGGGGAAAAAAGAAACTACCTTTATGTCCAAATATCTTAAGTTTTATAATTTTTTAGAAAATTTGAGTATGAATTAATGATAGACAAGAAGAAAACTAAGCAAGTGAAAAAGTGAGGCCGTTAATGCCAGGAAAAACAAAGTTGCATGAAAAAGGAGTAATTATCATAGCACACTACATGGCTCACCTGCAACTATTTCACCATCACAGTGTAAACATCAAGTCATAATTCTACTAAAAATATGTGAAGGATGTGGGAACAGGAAAGGAGGGGATGAGGCAAAATTGTAAGAGATCATTAAATTGTCATCTTTCATTATTGAAGACAATTGATCTAAAAGTAGACCCTTCAACAACATGAGTTTGAACTGTAAGGGTTCATTTCTGTGTGACTATTTATTTATTTATTTTTTGAGACGGAGTCTTGCTCGGTCACCCAGGCTGGAGTGCAGTGGCACAATCTCGGCTCACTACAAGCTCCGTCTCTTGGGTTCACACCATTCTCCTGCCTCAGCCTCCCAAGTAGCTGGGACTACAGGCACCCGCCACCATGCCCGGCTAATTTTTTGCATTTTTTTTAAGGAGAGACAGGGTTTCACCATGTTAGTCAGGATAGTCTCGATCTTCTGACCTCGTGATCTGCCCGCCTTGGCCTCCCAAAGTGCTGGGATTACAGGTGTGAGCCACCACGCCTGGCCGTGGATTATTTTTAATAAATACAGTTGGTCCTCCATATCTGTGGGTTCCACAACCTCAACCAAACACATATGGAAAATACAGTATTCGCAGGATGCAAAAACTGTGGATACAGAGGGTCGAGTTTCCGCATTTGCAGGTTCCACAGGGCCAACTGTGAGACTTGAATATCGAGGGGACTGTGGGGGGTGGGTCCTGAAACCAAAGCCCTGCAGATACAGAAGGACAACTGTGCATAGTTAGATACCAAAAGAAAGCTACGATAGTTTAAAGTAGTTGCTTCTAGGGAACAGAAATCAAGAGCAGGTAGGGACAGGGTAGGAAACTACTGCTCTTCATCATAAGCTTTACAGTATCATCTAAATTTGTGATACACACACATACACATATATAGTATATAATCAACATATAACATAGGAATATATATAATAGAAATATTATGTCTAATATGACAGGCTACTTACAAACTGTATGAGCTTTACTTGTAATAACCCCTTCCTGACATACTATAAGTATGACATGATATACTTCTGGACCTATGCCTTTACTGGTCTTCAGTCATACTCAGAACGTATGAGCCAATACCTACATCAATTTCCTTGAAAACAGTCTACTGAGGTAGATGGCAGTTTACCAAATAAAAATAATGAATCTTAGTAAGCATATTCGTTAGTCTCTACCAAGACCTACTGTGATGCACTTCATAAACAAGAAAGAACCTCACAAGTGTTCAATTTAGTAACTGATATTCTTCAGTAAACAAAATACACAGTAAAGAAAATATTTTATACATATTTTTAAAGTACATCTTTAGATGTTTGTTTGTGTGACATTTAGAAATGGCAAAATAATAAACACATAAGTACACATTACATTCAATTAGTCTGATGCTCTGTGTAATGCAGCTAGGCTTCCCTTGGCCTGGGTTTTCAATTCAGGCTTCTGTCACAGCGATCTGTGAAGCTTTCTTCAAAAACAGAGCTACCTGGGCATTTTCCTAAAGATTCTGCTTCACTAGATTTGAGGAAGAGCTTGGGAATCTGTGTTTGTTTGTTTGTTTACCTCAGAGATAACTCTCAAGTGCAGGCAGGATTAAGGACCCCTCTTCTAGAGTAGTAGTATGCTAAATATCTGAATAAAAATTGAGACTATAACCATAAACATCCAATTACCTTCATACACTTTTTTACTTACACTGTTAGGAACGATGTTATTACTGCCTTGTCTGTGAGGGTCCATCCTGACTCCTGAAGGAATGAGAAAGGTTCAGACTGATATGCTCTTAACTAGCTTCAATAAAATATAATTAAATATTTTTAAAGTTACATATTAAAGTTTAAAAAGTAGTATCTTTACCAAAGGTTATATGTTTTCTTAATAGTTTGCTTAAGTTGACTGAAATCCTCTCTGGAAAAATGTGCAAAATTTGTGTTTGCTTTTACTTCCAAGGCCTATTTAGTTAAAAATACTTTTGAAAAAAGCTAAGATATTTATGAAAGCAAATTAAAGCCATCTGCTGAAGTCAACTAATATGTCAATTTAGGAAAGTACATAAAAATGAACTGCAGAAAACACAATCTATCCTACGTGTCTATGTGTTCTACTACATCATAATGGTAAGACATCCAAGTTTTAGAACTGAAATACAATGTATTTGAATTATCAGGCATGGACCTAATGTCATAAAATTTCTTAAACCAAACCTAATCACAGACTTTTCTGCAGTGTATGTGTGTATATATATATACATATATATATATATATATGTATATATATATACACACACACATACACACACACACACACACACACACACACACACGTACTGCAGTATATGTGTGCTTGTGTGCGTGTGTGTGTGAATTTTTTTTTTTTTTTTTAAGACAGAGTCTTGCTTGTTGCCCAGGCTGGAGTGCAGTGGCATGATCTCAGCTCACTGCAACCTCCACTACCTGGGTTCAAGTGATACTTTTGCTTCAGCCTCCCAAGTAGCTGGGATTACAGGTATGCACCACCATACCCGCTAATTTTTGCATTTTTAGTAGAGATGGGGTTTTACCATGTTGACCAGGCTGGTCTCAAACTCCTGACCTCAGGTGATCCACCTGCCTCAGCCTCCCAAAGTGCTGGGATTACAGGCGTGAGCCACCGCGCCCGGCCAGTATATATTTTTAAAAGCATGTGAGCACACATACTTTAAGCATGAAAATTATGTTACCTTGCATATTTGGTGCTGCTGAAGAATCTGATGATGCAGCTTGGTATGGCAAGTCTGTACTCAACTGCAAAAGATAGCCCTCAACTGTAGACACTTCATCCCACTTGACATGAAAGGAGTTGGTAGTGGCTTTGATCAGCTGTACTTGAGATGGTGCCGGTGGTTTCTCTATAGAACAATCATGATATTATACATTTAAGTTTCCAGTGTATAAATGGTTTGCTGATATAATTTGTGTGGACCAGAGCTTTGAAAACATCAGCAATGAACATTTCATCTGCTTACCAAGACAGGGAAAGTTTACTCAGATAAACACAGCTACAGTAGGTCAAATAAAAATAGTTTGGGGTTCTTATTCTATTTATTTATTTATTTATTTATTTATTTATTTATTTTCTTAGACAAATATATCTATAAACAAAACAATCCAGTACGAAACTACCAAACTATATGAGTCTTCAGATTTGGAAATGTGTTTAATCCTAGAAGGAGTTTTTCTGGGGGAAGCTGGGAATCCTAGAAGGTTTTTGGGGGGAGGCTGGGGAGAGGCAAGGGGAGCCAAGTATTAAAGCTACATTATTTTATCTTTCTTAGAAGTTCTAATATTCTTTAATTTTATGAGCCAATTTTCAGCCAACAGCGTACATTTTAGCAATTCTGTTAATGTTAGCAAAGATAACTTGGACATGATATTTTACAAAAGCATAACTTCTCTGAAGTTAATACTCCCTTATCAAGACTTGTACTACCAGCTGGGCATGGTGGTTCACACCTGTAATCCCTGCACTTTGGGAGGCCAAGGCAGCCTGGCCAACATGGTGAAACCCCATCTCTACTAAAAATACGAAAATTAGCCAGGCGTTGTGGCTGGCGCCTGTAATTCCAGGTACTCGGAAGGCTAAGGCAGAAGAATCACTTGAATCTGGGAGGTGGAGGTTGCAGTGAGCCGAGGTCGCAACACTGCACTCCAGCCTGGGCGGCAGAGTGAGACTCCGCCTCAAAAAAAAAAAAAAAAAAAATGGTGGGAGGAAGAGATAAATCCTTAACTTCCATAGCAGAAAGTGAGCACATTATTGCCTAAATGAAAAAAAAAATACATCAAAGTAACAATATATGCATGTGATATAGAGATATGGAAGTAAAGAATCATTTAACAGAGTTAAGAACAAATAAATGCTTGTAAAGCAAGTAAAATGAGGAAAGGTGCGAGCAAAGAACGTGATTTTTCATAGAAAGCCTCATGGAATTCTATTACTCTTTTACATGCTATCAAATGCAAAGTTTAACTAAAAGTGAAAAAAAGAAAAAAAAAAACAAGATGAGCCCCCTCTTCCACCAAAACTGATGCTAACTTATCAAGAGGAAAAGCAAAATCTATATTTTGCCCTTATGATCATAGCCATGATTACTTTTAGAAGAATACTGATATCTAAAGCTCATTATGAAAAGGTTTATAGAAAAACAGGCCATTCAAATCCAATTTTTAAAAATCTTTTTAAGTCACAGATCCCTTAGAGAATCTGTGCAAAGTGATATAATCCCTACAGAGAAAAATTCAGTCATACACATTTTTTTCATCCAATTTCAGAGACTGAAGCTTATCCTTAGACTTTAGTTAATAATTTCCAATTTCAAAGATAAACTAGTAAGTTGAATTTTCTATATTTTTTTCTTGCTTGCTAGTATATGCTTCTTCCACAGAAAGCATTTACTCTCTTGTTTCATTATTTTTTCAACTATCTTAATTTTAAAATTAAACTCTTTTTACATTACAAAAACAATACATGCTACTGTAGAAAATACAGACAAGTAATGACAGAAAAGCTTTGAAGAAAATGTATAATCTCAGCTCTCAGATAATGCTTTGGTGTGTGTCCTTCCAAGTTTTCTATTTATAATTTTGAAAACACTGGAGTCATTATACGTTTTATAATCTGTTTTTCTCATATAACATCACATATTACATCTCCAGATCTAATTTCTCTAATGGCCTCTAGATTCATCTATTCATTCAAATGCCTGCTTGATCTTATTTCAAACTTAGCATGGTCTAAATGGAACTCTTGATTTTCTCCACAATGCTGTTTTCTCTCAATCTTCCCTGTCTCAGTAAAATTCAAGCTAAAAACTTCATCCTCCATTCTTCCCTTTCTTTCACTTGCCACACAAATTATCAACCAGTTCTGTCAACAAGAACTCCAAAATATATCCTGAATTTATCCAGTCCTCCCCTCCTCCATTGTCACCACTATAGTCTAAAACGCTTTTTTGACTACTGCAAGAGATTTCTAACTTGTCTTGCAGTGTGCACCTACAATTTTTTCCATACAACTGCCAGTGACCATTCCAAAATGTACATCAGAATGTGTCACATCTCTCCTTCAAACTTACACAAAACTTCCCACTGTACTTTAAAAATAACTTAGAAATTCTAACACCACATTCAAGGCCCTATATCCTGTGGTCATCTCTCTAACCTCCATTCCTACACTTTCCTCTTTGTTTACCCAGCTCAAATCTGTTGCCAAACACACCAAGTATTCCCATCTCAGACTCCTTGTATGTGCTGTTCCCTCCTCCTGCAGTGGTTTCTCTGGCCTTTTTATGTGGGTAGCTCCTTCTCACCATTCGAATCACATCCCATGTCATCTCATCACAGAAGCCTTTTTTGACTACCCACCCTGAAGCAGCCACCACTCCCACGCCCAATACCTAACACCACTATCTCATGTATTCATATGATTAACAGAAACTGAACTTATTTTGTTAACCTGTTTCACTATTGCTCATTATCTCCTTGCTGTCGTACCCCCTCAGAATGTAAGTTCTTTGTGAGAGCAGGCGCACTATCAGTCTTGTTCGCTGCTATATTCTCAGCATTTAGAACAATTCCTGCTACGCAGCTGTCAATCAGTATTTATTCAAAATCGATGTGAGGTACACATTTTTAAAAATTTTGGTGCTTTAATAATTATTTTCCCCCTTTCGAGATGGGGTCTTGCTCTGATACCCAGGCTGGAGTGCAGTGGAGCAATCAGAGCTCACTGTAGGTAGACTCAGACTCCTGGGCTCAAGTGAACCTCTTGCCTCAGCCTCCCAAGAAGCTGGGACTATAGGCATGAGCCACTGTGCCTGGCTAATTTTTTGTTTGGTAGAGATGAGGGTCTCACTATGTTGCCTGGGCTTGTCTTGAACTCATGGCCCCAAGCAATCCTCCTGCCTCAGCTTCCCAAAGTGCTAGGATTACAGGTGTGAGCCACTGCACCCAGCCTCTAATATATTTTTTTAAAATCTTTTATTTTAAAATAATTTTAGATTTACAGAAAAGTTGCAAAGATAGTACAGCATTGCCATAACCCCCTGACCCCAGCTTTCCCTTTTCTCCAGCTTCCCCTAATATTACCACATTTGTTAAAACTAAGAAATTATTGGTGTAATACTATTAACTCAACTATAGACAACTCAGATTTCACCAGTTTTTCAATTAATGTCTTTTTTTGTTCCAGGATCCAATCCGGAACACAACATCACATTCAGTTGTAATGTCTCCTTTGTCTCCTCCAGTTTTTGATTATTTCTTAGTCTTCCCTTGTTTTCCTTCACTTTGAAACTTCTGAATAGTACTGCTCACATATTCTTTGTAGAAGATCTAGAATGTCCCTCAGTTTGGGCTTGTTGATGTTTTCTCATAGTTAGGCTGAGGTTATGGATTTGGGAATACCACCGAGGTACTTTCACTTATCACATGATATTAGGGAGTAAATGATACTAACTTATCACTAGTGATATTAACCTTGATCACTTGATTAAGGTAGTGCTTGCCAGGTTTCTCATGCTTGCCAGGTTTCTCGTGCTTGCCAGGTTTCTGTAAAGCTACTATTTTCCCTTTCCATACTTTATTCTTTGCAAAGGAGTCTTTAAATCCAGCCTACACTCAAGGAGAGGATAATTATATACTTCTCAGGAGTGGAGAATAACTATACATATTGTTTCTTCCATTCATACTTAATTATGGGAAACAAGAGGTAGTAGCATTTACAGTAAGTCTCAAAAGGCAGACATTTGAGTGCTTACCTAAAGGAAAAAGTTTATTTGTTAAATATTCTTACCTACCAGTATCAAGATACCAAAGATCCTTGCAGCAAACTTGACTATTCAGTGCTTTTTTGTAGCCATCTCTTCCACTCCAAAAATACAATCGAGTGCCGATTGCAACAGCACAGTGGCCAGCTCTTGGTCTTGGTCTTGAATTTTTTTTATCTTCCTGAGAATCTGATACTAGGGTGGTCCACTCTGTTGTATCTGAAAAGATAGAAATATCCATGACTAATCTTTTGTTCTTAACAAAATTACAAAAATTATCTTATTAATAAAGATTAATTCAATGAGTAACTCTTAAAAGACTCACCCAGATTTAGGTAAGAAAATGAACTGGTACATCTCCATTCACAATCATGAGGTGAAGTCTCAGTATTTTCCCCCTTATGTGGGACCCATCCACCAAAAATGTACATCCTGAGCAACAACAAAACAAAAACATAAAGTAGCTTATTTCATTTTACTTCTTGGATTTGAAGTGCTAAGAATAGAAAAATTTCCTATCAGTTGACTCAGAGCTTCAGAACTATTCATTCGCTTACCATTGTCAAGGTAATGGGAATAAGAAGATGAATAAAGTGGTCTTTTTTCAAGAGTTTACAATTTTATGAAGCAGTACAGAATCACAATTATTTCTCTCTGGCAAGTTACTTAAAGTGAAGAATATTTCAACTATAATATACTTAAAAATCAATATTGCCTATAATATACTAAGGGTACCTCAGTCAGAGAGACACTCAATTGATCTATGACATCCAAAGTCAAATTTAAAATTGTATGCATATAGTAACCGAAGAGGATTAAATTTCATATAACTTTGGTCATTGATATCACTTAAACAAAAAACTTTAAACTGTGTTCCTTTAGGGCCCTAGGAGTTCTTAAGACAAGCCTGATGGCTGCTGGAAGAGAAAGGCTCATTAGGCAGAAATCAGGGCCCATTTGACCTGATGTCAACCAGATCTATTTTTTTTTTTATGCCAACCAGAGATTTTTTTTTTTTTTTTTTTTTGAGACAGGATCTTGTTCTGTTGCCCAGGCTAGAGTACAGTGGCATGATAACGGTCCACTGCAAACTCAACCTCCTGGGCTCAGGCCATCCTTCCACCTTGGCCTCCCAAAGTGCTGGGATTATAGGCATGAGCCACCACGCCTGGCTACAGCTCTATTTTTTAAAATCCATTTTATATGTTGGGGTTTCAATGGAAAATTTCATTTTATAAAATGCCTCTTCAGTTAAAAAAATGTATAAGATTTTGTTTAAATGTAAAGACCATCCTGTTTGGTTTTGAGTTTATTTAAAAAAAAAAAAAAAACTAGGTTCTAAATTACAACAGTCATTTCCTAAACTATTACATTTAATATTTAATATTACTGCAATAGTAAATATTTCATTAAATTCTAATTAAACAGTACTTCTAATTGTGGCACAATGTTGCACAAATAAGGGAATTTGTTGATGGTAGTAACAGTCAACATTTATGGAGTGCTCACTTCATACCAGAAACTGTTCTAAGCATTTCATATGTATTAATCCATTTAGTCTTCATTACAGCCTTGTCAAGTAAGTTTTACTTTAATCCACATTGTATACTTAAGGAAAGTGAGGTACAAACAGATTAAATTTTCTTGCCCCAGGTCAAACAGGACAAGTGCCAAAGCTGAGTCTTGAATTTAGGCAATCTGGTCACAGAGTTTGTATTCTAACCATCAACTCTATATTGCAATCTAAAGCATAATCATTAAGAGCATGTGCCTCAGTACAAATGAAGCA
Source organism: Homo sapiens (assembly GCF_000001405.40). Classification (NCBI taxonomy): domain Eukaryota; kingdom Metazoa; phylum Chordata; class Mammalia; order Primates; family Hominidae; genus Homo; species Homo sapiens. The sequence continues at coordinate 104,081,142 of NC_000012.12, read as the reverse complement.
CTACCAAAAATATGAAAAAGGAAAAGTGAGTTAGGTGATTAGTTTGGCAACACCCAGGTTAACACTTACATAAAGCCTACACTGGGCAGGGCATTATAAGGAATGCAAAGAAGTAAAAGAGAGAGCATAAGAAAATGGCACATTAAGTATTTTAACTTCTACAGACAAATTATTTTAGCTTCAGTCAGCACAATCAAACTTTGTTAAGTTTCATAATCTATTTCCAAGAAACTACTAGCATTACTTTCTTTGTGTGCTTCTTAAGTTGTTTTTTTAAAAAAAACAGAAGCAAAATACAAAAAACCACCATACTTGTTTCCTATAACACTGGCTGTATGAAGGCTTCGTGGAAGTGGCACTGTCCCTTTAGTTTCTGGTTTTGACCATGACATAGTTTCTAAAAGTAAAAATAATTATATTAGCAACTTGATCTAACAAGAGTAAATTACCTCAACTTCCATAATTTTAAAAAATAAAACAAGGACTTACCAAAATGAAACAAAGTATTTTAGAACAGTTATTTGAACATTATCTTAAACATTTCCAGCTTACATAAACTGCCAATCAGAAATTTATTTACACTTAATGTTAGTACAGTTAGCCCTCCATATCTATGGGTGCTGCATCCATGGATTCAACTAACCACAGACTGAAAATATTCACAAAATCTTTGGCTGCACTGCACATGTCTTCTTTTTGTCATTATTCCCTAAATAATACAGTATAACAACCATTTATATAGTATTTACACTGTATTAGGTGTTACAAGTAATCTCAAATGGAGATGACTTAAAGTATATGGGAGAATATGCAAATACTACACCATTTTATATCAGGGACTTGAGCATCCATGGATTTTGGTATTAGGGGAGGTCCTAAATAAATCTTCCACAGATACCGAGGGATGACTGTATTTGTAATAAATAAGTGTGCTTAGGGTGCCACCAATTGTGAATTAAAAACAATATTAGAGATTTTACCACTTTAAGTAAGAGTACACTGGACAGAAGATAGTCAAAGGTGAGAGGCACACTACCCTCCAATCATTCATTCCTAGGATCCCTTTAGAGAGAACTACCTAAGGGTTTTTTACTGACCACGAATAACATTGTTAATGCTACATTTCCTGTAGATAGGGTAACCATATAAAGTTATCATCCCCAACAGGACATTTTTCAGAGTGAAAGGGAGTATTGTACTATTGATAATTACACAAGACAATAAGCATAAACCAGAATCATCCCAGGTAAACCAGGACATAAGGTAACCCTATTTATAGAATGCACAAGAGAGTTACTGTCATAAACCAAACATTCATTTTCTCAATCTGATTTATCAGCAACCATTCATATCACACATACACTGTCCCTGGGGCTACAAGTGCTGGTTATAAATCTAAGTACAACTCAATAAATACTGCAATCAATAATATTTTTCAAAGCATTTTTTAATTTGCCCTATTCCTGAGCCTGAATCAAGTTAAACTTACCTAAGTCAAGCTGCCATAGGTCATCCAGGCGAGCACCACACATTCCACCAAAAACATACATTTTAGGACTTCCAGAATCTTTTTTGCAATATATAACAGCTGTGTGGGATTCTCTTGGAGAAGGCACAACCCCTTTAGTCACTGGAATGCTCCAACCCACAACACCAGAGCCATGCTGTAGCTCCAACTCATAAAAATCATTTAAATATCTAGGATATCATAGAAAAAATTAAAACATTCAGATAATATATACCCTTTATTTGCATTTTATTTCTATTTATAAAGATAAAATGTGCTTACTGTGAAAAGTTCATATAGTACAGAAAGGCATTAGGAGAGCAGAAACCCCAAACCTCATTCATACAATACATACTTATCAAACACTACTATGTACCAGGCACTCTTCTGGGGCTCAGTAGTGAGCAGAAGAGATTAAAAATAATTCCTGTCATCATTTAGCCAACACTCTTATCAATGACAACTTGCCAACTGTTGGTGTTAAAACATAGCTACAAATCCTCTGACAATCTTCCCATCAGGAAGTTGGGTCTATGTTCCCTTCCCTTGATTCTGGACTGGTTTGTGACTGCTTTGATTAATAGGGTATGGTGAAAGCACACTACGTGACTTCTGAGGCTGGGTCACAGAAGGCCTAAATGGCTTAACTAGAACACTCACTCTTGGAATCCTGAGCCACCATGTAAGAAGTTCAACTCCCATAAAACTACCATCTGGGTGGCCATATGCAGCTATGTAGGGTGACAGAACCAGCTGAGTTTGTCCTTCAGCGTTGCAGTTGAGGCATCAGACATAGAAGTAACCCCTTCAAGCCTTCTCAGCTGACTGCCCAGCCATCCCTCCTGTGGCCTATTTGAATTCCTGACCCACAGAATCCATGAACATAATCAAATGGTTATTATTCTGCATCATTAAATTTTGGGGCAGTTTACTGTATGGCACTAGATAACCAGAACAATCACTATTGAAAATATTTTGATAAATATCCCTTAAGACACCTCTGTCTATGGATAAACACATATGGATAAATGAGGCATACTAAAAATGCTGCTTTGTAACTTTTAAAATTTTCACTATAATGTCATAGCAATGTCCTACATAGCTTTTTAACTTTAGAAAGTGGCACTAAGTTTCATGGATGTTTTGAAGTTTTGAGCAAAATGACTTTTGTAGAAATCTATTTCCTACAAAATTATTATTCAAGTGTAAGGGCAAAAATTGTAACATTTCAGGACATATAAAACTTCAAAGTTTAGCTACATAATTGTTTTGCGGAAAATAATTCTAGGATGTTATCTAGGAAAAAGAAAAATAAATCTAAGAATACTTTGAATAGGCCTGGCGCGGTGACTCACGCCTGTAATCCCAGCACTTTGGGAGGCTGAGGCGGGCGGAACACGAAGTCAGGAGATCGAGACCATCCTAGCTAACACGGTGAAACTCTGTCTCTACTAACAAAAATACAAAAAATTAGCTGGGTGTGGTGGTGGGCACTTGTAGTCCCAGCTACTCGGGAGGCTGAGGCAGGAGAATGGCATGAACCCGGGAGGCAGAGCTTGCAGTGAGCCAAGATCGTGCCACTGCACTCCAGCCTGGGAGACAGAGTGAGACTCCGTCTCAAAACAAAAATAAATACATAAATAAATAATAAAGAAATAATACTTTGAATAAGAGAAATGGTAGTAATTTATGATTACATCTAAACTGATGTTCAAATATATGGTTATGAGATCTAAATAACCACTAAGAAGAACTTACTACAAAGTTAATTTTTAATATTTATCATAACCTGGAATAAGATTCAAAAATATATGGAACATACAGAAAAAGGAGGTAGGCAAAAGAATGTTTAAAAAAAGACAGTAATTTATTCCCAAGGATGACAGGATATTTTCATTGTAAACATGTGTTAATTTCCAAGCAACTAAGGTATGCACAAAATTAGCACATATAATTCTCAAATCACTAGAGGGAAACAGTCAAAGAAAAATAATAAATAGGGAAAAAGTAAAGAAATGGGAAAAAAAAGCAAAGTATAGTATATAGAAAGCAGTTAATAAGATAGTTTAAAAAAAAAAAAAAAAACAGGCCAGGGGCCAGGCACGGTGGCTCATGCCCAATCTCAGCAGTTTGGGAGGCCGAGGCGGGCAGATCACCTGAGGTCAGGAGTTCAAGACCAGCCTGGCCAACATGGTGAAACCCCGTCTCTACTAAAAATACAAAAAATTAGCTGGGCGTGGTGGTGGGTGCCTGTAATCCCAGCTACTCAGGAGGCTGAGGCAAGAGAATCACTTGAACCTGGGAGGTGGAGGTTGCGGTGAGCCGAGATCGCATGGCTGCAGTCCAGCCTGGGTGACACAACGAGACTCCGTCTCAAAAAAAAAACAAAAAACAAAAAACAAACAAACAAACAAACAAAAAACAAAAAAGCCCCAGCATAAACAATGTCAAAAGAAGAAAATACAAACTTAAAAAGTTTAGTACACGTTGGAGAAAAAAAGGTCAAATTTTCCTAAAAATCCAGATAATGACCGCTCACACAACAGACACAGATAAAAAGATATAAACTGACAGTTCACAGAACAGGAAATAAAAATTATACAAACATATATATATACACACAGACACAGACACAGATGTATAAACACGCACGTACACGAACACACATATACATATACATATGCAAATGTTTTCCCTCATCACAACTTAAAAAAATCTGGCATAGGCAAGAAAAGGGAGGAAAGGCAACGAAGCAGAGTGGATGGAAAACACAAAATACAAGGGCAGAATAAAACTGCCCTATTATAAGACAAAATCTGATCAGGGTTGGTGGTGGGGGCAGGAATGCAGGGGAAACAAAATACAAAATACAAGCGCAGAATAAAACTGCCCTATTATAAGACAAAATCTGGTCAGGGTTGGTGGTGGGGGCAGGAATGCAGAGGAAACAAAATACAAAATATAAGGGCAGAATAAAACTACCCTATTATAATACAAAATCTGGTCAGGGTTGGTGGTGGGGGCAGGAATGCAGGGGAAACAAAATACAAGAACCCCAAATCTAAGTATAAGCTATGAAAATCAAGGATAATATTAAAACTATCTAAAACTAATGTGGCATAGGCTTAAACTGTTGAGAATGGATATCAGCCAGTATGCTATCCAGTTCATATTGGCTATTAGCCCCATTTACAAAAGACAATCTGCAACAAAACGATGTACACAAGTTGAAAATTAGATACACAAGAAACAAAACACAGATCCACAATCACAGTGGGAGACTTGAGCATGTCACTCAAAAGTTGATAAGACCTAGACTCACAAAATAAAAAAGCTTCGAACATTCATTTAATAGAGCCAGGTGCAATGGCACATGCCTGTACTCCCAGCTACTCAGGAGGCTGAGGTGGGAAGATTACTTGAGCCTAGGAGTTATCCAGCCTGAGCAACATAGCAAGAACACATCTCTAAAAGCAATAATAATAAATACATAAAACATTGATTTAATAGACAAAGAACCTTGTACACAGTCAAGAACTCATGGTCTTAATGAGCACCTATGGAATCACAAAAATTGACTGTGAAATAGGCACAAACACATCTTTATAGACCACATTTCCTGACCACAATATAATAAAACTAGATATTGGCAATAATAACAAAACTTTCCACTTGGAGATCTTTAAAAAATTGTAGCAAATTACTTTTAAAGAGAAAATAGAAATCAATGACAATAAAAGCAGTATGTATCAAACCCTACGGCATACGGCCAAAGATATAATCACAGGAAAATAACACTGAAAAAAAAATGAACTAATGAGCATTCAAATTATTAGAAGTTAGAAAAAGCATTCAAACTACTAGAAGTTTAAAAGATGCTGGGCATGATGGCTCAAGCGGGTAATCCCAGCACCTTGGGAGACTGAGGTAGGAGGACTGCTTGAGGCCAGGAGTTCAAGACCAGCCTGGACAACATGGCAAGATCCTGTCTCAACAAAAAACTTAAAAATTTAGCCAGGCATGGCTGCATGTGCCTCTAGTCCTAGCTACTCAGAAGGCTGAGGTGGGAGTATAGCTTGAACCCAAGAGTTCAAGGCTGCAGTAAGCTATGATTGTGTCACCACCCTCTAGCCTGGGTGACAGAATGAGATTCTGCCTCTAAAAAAAAAAAAAAAAAAGGTTAGGAACAAAAGTTGAAAGAAATGGAATAGAGTTAAAGAGTCAAAGAAAATAAACTAAAAAGAAAAACAGACAGTCAATAAAACTAAAAAATGGCTCTTTGAAATAAATAAAATAACAAATCACTAGCAAGTCTGATTAGACAAAACTAATATTTAGGAATAAGAAATGAGATATAAAAATGGATATAGAGATTTTAAAGATAGAGAGAATTGTCTTTATAACTTTAAAACATTTTTAAATAAATAATTTTTTTTTTTTATTTTCACAGACAGGGGCTCATTATATTGCCCAGGCTAGATTTAAACTCCTGGGTTCAGATGATCCTCCTGCCTCAGACTCCCAAGCAGCTGGGACTATAGGTGCGTACCACCACACCTGGCTGTCTTATAACTTTTAGAAATAAATTTAAAAATCTAGATAAATGGGTAACTTCTCAAAAAAAATTACTAAAAATTATGAAAGGTTGAAAACCTAAATAGATCAATACTTATAGAAGAAATTGAAAAGGCAATAAAAGATCATATACCAATCCCAGGTAAATATGGAAAATTTCTTCTAAATATTCAAGGAATTAAGTTATTTAAATATAATAAAAGATGGAGGGCTTTCCATGACCTCAGAACATAACCCTGATTACATTTTCAAGGATAACATAATCCTGATACTCAAATCAGATTACAATAGCACCCTACTCCCCCATATAAAGACAATACAGGCAAAATCGCTAATAAATATAGGTATTATAAATAAATGTTAGAAATGTGATTCAGCAAAGAAAAGAATTCTGTAACACAGTAAAGTGAGATTTAACTAGGAATAAAAAGGTGGCTCATATTTCAGAACCTCAATTAATTAATTAAAATAATTCACAAAATTCATGGATTAAAGGAGAGACACAGTAAGCTCCAAAATGAATTTAAACTACCTCAATATACATTTCTTTTTCAAAAGAGAGAAAAATAAAACTAGTAAGCTGGAAATTTAAGAACATTTTGGCCAGGCATGGCGGCTCACGCCTGTAATCCCAACACTTTGGGAGGCCAAGGTGGGAGGATCACTTGAGCCCAAGAGTTCAAGACCAGCCTGGGCAACACGGAAAGACCTTGTCTCTATGAAAAAGAAAAAGAAAAAAAAAGTTTTAAAATTAGCTGGGCATGGTGGCATACACCTGTGGTCCCAGCTGGCTACTCAAGAGGCTGAGGCAGGGGGACTGTCTGAGCCTAGGAGGTCGAGGGTGCAGAGAGCTGTGATCATGCCACTGTACTCCAGCCCCAGGTGACAGAGTGAGGCTCTGTCTCAAAAAGAAAAGAAAACGTCCTTAATGTTATTAAAATCACATACCAACAACCTATAGCAAATGCCACAATTAATGATAGAAAGGTAAATATATTAATGAAACAGAATAGAGTCTAGAGCAGGAATCAACAAATGTTTCCTGTAAAGGGTCCGATAGTAAATATTTTAGGCTTCATAGGCCATAAAATCTATTGCAACTACTCAACTGTGCTGTTTCAACATGAAAGCTACCAACAGCAACACAAAATGAATGGGGATGGCTGTGTTCCAATAAAACTTTATTAATAAAAAAAGACAGCAGGCCACATTTGGCCCACAGGATATAGTTTGCAACCCCTGGTATAGAAAGCCTAGAGAGACACATTTATACAAGAATTAAGATATGACAGAGATGGAATTTCAAACCAATAGAAAACATGGCTTATTTAATAAATGGTGTTGGGAAAATTGAAAATCAACTAGGAAAAGAAGTAAAAAGCCTTACACTAGTCACAAAAGTATATCACAAATGCATTAATGTTCTAAACAGAAACAAAAGTTTGAATGAACTAGAAGAAAATATAGAAAATTTATTTTTATAATTTTCCTGAAGGAGAGTCTTTCAAAGCAAGATTCAAAACCAGAAAGCCATAGAAGAAAATATTGTCAAACATGATGAAACTAAACAGAAAACCCTTTTTAAAAAAGGCAAAGCGGGCTGGGCATGGTGGCTTATGCTTGTAATCCCAGCACTTTGGGAGGCTGAGGCGGGCGGATCATGAGGTCAGGAGTTCGAGACCAGCCTGGCCAACAAAGTGAAACCCTGCCTCTACTAAAAATACAAAAATTAGCTAGGCATGGTGGTGGGAGCCTGTAATCCCAGCTACCTGGGAGGCTGAGGCAGGAGAATCGCTTGAACCCATGAGGTGGAGGCTGCAGTGAGCCGAGATCGCTCCACTGCACTCCAGCCTCGGCGATGCAGCTAGACTCCGTCTCAAAAAAAAAAAAAAAGGCAAACAGAAGACTTAGAAAACATATTTGGAACATATAAAAATATATATATGTAAAGAACTCCTAAGAATCAACAATAATAAAAAAATTGAAATCCATTTAAATATTAGAAATAATAAATGAATTCAACAAGGTCACAGGATACAAGATAAATAACAAAACCAAGGTTGTGTTTCTATATACTAGCAATGAACAATCCAGAAATGAAATTAAGAAACCAAATCGGCCGGGTGCGGTGGCTCACACCTGTAATCCCAGCACTTTGGGAGGCTGAGGTGGGCGGATCACGAGGTCAGGAGATCGAGACCATCCTGGCTAACATGGTGAAACCCAGTCTCTACTAAAAATACAAAAAAAATTAGCTGGGCATGGTGGCGGGCGCCTGTAGTCCCAGCTACTCGGGAGGCTGAGGCAGGAGAATGGCGTGAACCCAGGAGGCGGAGCTTGCAGTGAGCTGAGATTGCGCCACTGCACTCCAGCCTGGGCGACAGAGCGAGACTCCATCTCAAAAAAAAAAAAGAAACCAAATGGATTCATAATATCCTCAAAAAGAATAAAAAACTTAGGAATACATTTACCAAAATTAGAAAGAGCAACACATACATTGAAAACTACAAAATATTGCTGAGAGAAAATTTAAAAGATTTAAATAAATGGAGAAACATCCCATGTTCATGAATTGGCAGACCCAATATTATTAAGATGGTGATTCTCCTCAAACTGATATATAATCAGTGAAATCCCTATCAAAATCCCAGTAAGCCTTTTTGTACAAATTTTACTTTTTTTTTTTTTTTTTAAACAGTCTTGTTCTGTTGCCCTGGCTGGAATGCACTGATGTAAACATGGCTCACTGTAGTCCTGGCCTCCTGTGCTCAAGCAATCCTCCTGCTCTGGCCCCCCATGTAGATGGGACCACAGGCACATACCACTACACCCGGCTAATTTTCTAATGTTTTGCAGAGACAGGGTCTTGCCATGTTGCCCAGGCTGGTCTCATACTTCTGGGTCAAGTGATCTGCTGGCCTCAGCCTCCCAAAGTACTGGGATTATGGGCGTGAGCCACTATGCCTGGCCAAATCACATTTCTGATTAAAAAATAAAATAAAACATAAAACATATCCAGAATATATAAAGAATTGTTACAACTCAATAATAAGAAAACTATCAATTTCAAAACGGGCACAATATTTGAATAGAAATTTCACCAAAGATATATGAATGGCTAAAAAGCCCATGAAAAGATGTCCAACACTATTAGTCATTAGAGAAATGCAAATTAAAACCACAATGAGATACTACTTTACTCCCGCTAGGATGGCGACAATAAAAAAGACAGACAATAATGAATATTAGCCAAGGTGGAGAAAGTAAAACCCTTATATATTGCTGGTGGGAATGTAAAATAGTGTAGTCAGTTTGGAAAACAATTTGGTAGAATTTCTTAAGAAGTTAAACAGGTTGAGGTGGGAGGATCACTTGTGCCTGGGAGGTGGAGGCTCCAGTGAGCTGACATTGTGCCATTGCACTCCAGCCTGGATAACAGAGTGAGACCCTTTCTCAAAAAAATAAAATAAAATAAAATAAAATAGTTAGGTCTGTGTGGAGGATCGTATTAATGTGTTCCCAACTCTTCTTTCCCCGTAGGCACAGTATATATCCTTAGACCACTGACTCTGGCCTTGGCCATATGGCTGGTTTGACCAATGGAATGTGACCAGAAATGAATGTGTGCTTTAAACATAGGCTTTAAAAAGCATTGTATGTAACCGCATGCACCTACTGGCCCTCTGAAGTAGAATACCCTTGAGAAGCTTGCCCCATTATAAACAATAACCTAACAAAAGCTAATACATGAAAAAGGGTACATGAAAAGTGTTACATGAAAAAGGTTCCAAAAGATGTACATCAAACTGAATTATGTGTATTTGCCTATGTTGGGGGATAGTGCTGTTGAAAGAATACTGTACACTTTCTGATTTGACTTTTTACCAGTGTTATTTTAAAAATCTGTTTAATGGAAAAAGTTTTTTAAAAGACATGTGTTGAAAGTAAAAGTATTGGCCGGGCGTGGTGGCTCAAGCCTGTAATCCCAGCACTTTGGTAGGCTGAGGCAGGCGGATGATGAGGTCAGGAGATCAAGACCATCCTGGCTAACACGGTGAAACCTCGTCTCTACTAAAAAACACAAAAAAATTAGCCAGGCATGGTGGCAGACGCCTGTAGTCCCAGCTACTCGGGAGGCTGAGGCAGGAGAATGGCGTGAACCCGGGAGGCGGAGCTTGCAGTGAGCTGAGATCGCGCCACTATACTCCAGCCTGGGCGACAGAGTGAGACTCCGTCTCAAAAAAAAAAAAAAAAAAAAAGTAAAAAGTATCCGGATTACTGTGGTGGGATAATTTTTTTTCCTTTTCTGTAGTTTCCACATTTTCCATGATATTTTAGTATTTCTATATTTTAAAAAAGTTTGGAAAAAAAGTTAAGATCCTACCATCAATCTAATGCAGGTAAAAAGACATCATAATGGTTGATAACTCTACTGTATTATATGCTATGGCAACCTGAAAGTGCTTTGAAAATTATACCAATGATCTTATTTCACTATCACAATGACACTGTAAAACAGGTATTTAATCACTCCCATTTCACAGTGAAGGAAACAGGCTTAGATTATTTGCTCTAAAGGACACACATGATAAGACCTGAATCAGAAAACAGCCCTTTGGACTCTAAATCTCCAAAGCTTGAGTGCTAGAATGACAATGTGATCAAAACACTATGTGAATATTATTCGGGCTTAAAAAGAAAAAAATATTGCAGCCATAAAAAAGAATAAATTTGGCCGGGCGCAGTGGCTCACGCCTGTAATCCCAGCACTTTGGGAGGCCAAGGTGGGCAGATCACGAGGTCAGGAGATCGAGACCATCCTGGCTAACGCGGTGAAACCCCATGTTAGTCTCTATTAAAAATACAAAAAATTAGCAGGGCGTGGTGGTGGGCGCCTGTAGTCCCAGCTACTCGGGTGGCTGAGGCAGGAGAATGGCGTGAACCCAGGAGGCGGAGCTTGCAGTGAGACGGGATTGCGCCACTGCACTTCAGCCTGGGAGACAGAGCGAGATTCTGTCTCAAAAAAAAAAGAGTTCATGTCCTTTGCAGGGACATGGATGAAGCTGGAAACCATCATTCTCAGCAAACTAACACAGAAACAGAAAACCAAACACTGCATGTTCTCACTCATAAGAGGGAGCTGAACAATGAGAAAACATGGACAGAGGGAAGGGAACATCACACACCAGGGCATATCGGGGGTTGCAGGGCAAGGGGAGGGAGAGCATTAGGACAAATACCTAATGCATGCGGGGCTTAAAACCTAGATGATGGGTTGATAGGTGCAGCAAACCACCATGGCACATGTATACCTATGTAACAAACCTGCACATTCTGCACATGCACTCCAGAACTTAAAGTAAAATAAAAATAAAAAAATAAAAAAAGAGAAAGTCTAAAAAAAAGAAAGAAAAAAATATACTACCATTTGCCACAGCATGGATGGAGCAGCAGGACATTATGGTAAGCGAAATAAGACAGACACAAAGAACAATATTGCATGATCTCATATGTGAAATCTTTTTTTTTTTTTTTAACAAAAAAGGTAAAACATATAGAAATAGAGAATAAAACAGTGGTTACCAGGGTCAGAGTGACAGGAAGGGAAGGAAATGGGGAAATGTAGGTCAAAAGATACAAAGTAGCAAATACCTAGGATAAACAAATTGAGAGATCTAATGTACAACATGAGGACTACAGTTAATAATAATGCATTGTATTCAGGATTTTTGTTTGTTTGTTTGTTTGTTTTTTTAAGATAAGGTCTAACTCTGTCACCCAGGCTGGAGTGCAGCAGCACGATCTCGGCTCACTGCAACCTCCACCTCCCAGGCTCAAGAAATCCTCTCACCTCAGCCTCTGAGTAGCTGTGACCACAGGCGCGTGCCACCATGCCCAGCTAATTTTTTGTATTTTTGGTAGAGATGGGGTTTTGCCATGTTGCCCAGGCTGATCTTGAACTGCTGGGCTCAAGCGATCCACCCACCTCGGCTTCCCAAAGTGCTGGGATTATAGGCATGAGCCACAACGCCTGGTGGTGACTACAGCTGCTCATGCCCCAGGCAGAAAAAAATGGGTAACTATATGAAATGACGGATATATTACCACTATAGTAACCATTTTAATATATATACAAAATATCTATCTTATACCATCATGTTATATACCTTAAATTTACACAAATAAAATTTATTAAAAAAAAAAACTACATGGAACAGTATAGTTCCCCAAAGGAAAGAGGAATTCTTTGCAGACAAAACCAACATTAGCTATAATAGGGGTCAACAATGTAGATAGCCCCATTATTTACAATCTGTGCCAGCAAACTACACCCTGTGGACCAAACCTGCCTATGAGCTGCTTCATAAAGGCTTATTGGAACTCAACATACAAACAAACAAACAAAACATGATGTGAAAAGAAAAGAGGTAGTGAATTAATTCTGTTTGGGAAAAAGGAGGAAATAATTGATTGTAAAAGTATATGCTAGCGTGAACTACTCTAATAGCTTCCTGTATAAAACATGGAAATGATAGCTTTCATTTTATAGTCAGAGTTTTGTCGCCAAATTCCCAGAGAAATCTAATTTTAAAATAACCATCTGTTACTTTTCATTATCATTTATGAGGCAGCTAAAATGCATTATGGCTCAATATATACAAATATATTGATACAAGCAGTTACATTAATATTAATTTAATAAGATGATTTCTCATTAGAAAGACACAGTTTTTTTGTTTTTAGCTCCAATGCTTTCTGAAGAAAAGACACAGTTTTGAAAACAAGTATGCTCCAGGTACTAAGGAAAACACAAACACACACAAATCTGTCCACTGTTAGGTTGAAATGCAAAAAGCTAAGCATCATCCCTTTTAAAAATTAAAGATGGAAAAAATAAAATGTTCCTACTCTAAATCATAAAATAAGCATTTGGTCTGAAAGAGTCAGCATACCTGGGAACATTATTGTTTGAATCTTCGCTTTCGTTTGCCAGGCCACCAAACAAATAGCATTTGTTACCATATAAAGAGAAGCTATGTCCAAGCCGAGGACAAGGAGGTAAACCAGAAGGAGGGGGATGGGGTTTCACTTTTTTCCATAACCAACGACTTGCCTAAAAAAAAAAAGGGCACAAATACAGTCAGACAAAATCAAGAAAGCACTCCTATATTGTCAATAGTGCAACATCATATCAATACATTTTAATCTAAATCCCATCAGAAGGCACTAAAAAACTACTTTTGGGACAAATGACAAATAACCAGCTAACTTCTGGAATTAAAATATATGTTCCAGTAGACATTCAAGTTACTCTTCCATATTCACAGATTTCCATGGCAAACTCAGCATATAATAATAAACACTAACTGTTCTAAAGTAGTTTCCAAATGAAAAATAAAGTATTATACATAGCTTCAAGATTAAATGTAATTTATATATTCTTACTTTCTGAAAAAAGGTAATCCATGAATGGTAAATATTTTAACCTTTTAAAGGTAAACATAAAGCTCATTTAACATATCAAATTCCAAAACTTATTCTCTGGCCATGGATGTTTTCTTTAGCTAAAATTATTTTTGCAATGAGTTGCTTGTAAATAGGTATAACCACTCACATCTGCCAATTAGCAGATACCCGCATGATCACCGCCCTAGGGATAAGGCACAGATCAGGAAGAAAAGTCAACAAGGGCTATGAGTCTGGTTTAATAAGACTCAAATTTAGAAAGGTTATGGGAAACTGTTACTCCTCTTTTGTATGTATTGTCAAGGTGGGGGGTGTAGTAAATATTAGTATGAGGGTAACAATTTCTAAAACACTAAAGCAGTGGTTTTCAAAGTATAGCCTAGGGGCCAGGCATGGTGATTTTCCAAATGTGGAAAGTTTTATTCAAAGTTGTGAATATGTCAGTTGATACCAATGCCAACTATCCCTCTGTGAGTCCTGCAGTACTTAATACTTAAGAATTTGCGGCACAGCACGGTGGCTCACGTCGGCTAATCCCAGCACTTTGGGAGGCCCAGGTGGGTGGATCACCTGAGGTCAGGAGTTCAAGACCAGCCTGGCCAACATGGTGAAAACCCGTCTCTACTAAAAATACAAAAATTAGCTGGGCATGGTGGCGCGTGCCTGTAGTCACAGCTACTCAGGAGGCTGAGGCAGGAGAATTGCTTGAACCCAGGAGACGGAGGTTGCAGTGAGCCGAGATTGCGCGGCTGCAGTCCAGCCTGGGTGACAGAGCAAGACTCTGTCTCTAAACAAACAAACCAGGAGCATCAGCAGCTGGGAACCTGGTAGAAATGCAAATGCTCATGGCCTTCCTCTGACTCAGAAACTCTCTGGGTAGGACCCAGCAATCTGTGTTTTCACAGGTTCTCCAGGCGCTCCTGTTGCAGGCTAAAGTTTCTACTGCATTAAGATACAAAAACCTAAATATATAACATGTACAACTGATGCTACGTAACAGATATCTTGATGTTATAAATGTTGCACTGGGTATGGGAAAAAGACTTGCCAGGAAACTTTGGGTTTTAAGTGAAGTGGAAACATTTTCTATAAAGCTATAAAATGTGAAGTTTACATTACTTGAATAATATTACTTGAATAATAGTTTACTTGAATAATACATTACTTGAATAATATTAAAATGTGTTAAACAATGTTAGTAATGTTGCAATCTTTTGAAAAATTATGAACAATATCATTATTAAAGCCTCAGAATGAAACAATATTAAATACACTTACTTGTAACTCATATAACTCATTGCTGTATCTTCCATATTCAACCATTCCCCCAAATACTAATATTCTGGTACCATCACAGACAAATCCATGGGCAGCACAGCCTGGAGGGATATCTCCTCTAACAGCTGGCAGAAACCACTGATTCGTAGCTAGTTGCCAAAATAAAATGAAAACCGATTATAACAAACAACGGTTATCATATACTATCAGCAAATATATATCATCAATATCAGTGGGTCTCAACTGGGGATGATTCTGCCCCCCAGAAGACATTTGGTAATGTCTGGTGACATTTTTAGTTGTCACAACTGGAGGGGGCTGTTACTGGCATCTAGTAGGTAGAGGCAGGGATGCTGCCAAACATCTTACAATGTACAGGGCAATACAGGGCAGCTTCCCCCAACCTCAACAAAGAATTACCTGGCCCAAAAGGTCGAGAGTGCTGCTGTTGAAAAACCCTGATCTGTATCATTTAATTCTTACAAAACGCCCTGCTGGGTGAGTATAAAAATCTCTATTTTACAACTGAAAATTGTGAGGCTTAAAAAGGTTTGGTAACTTTAGCGCTGATCCTGGGCAACCGGCAGAGCAAGATTCAAATCAGGTCTAATTTGTTCCAAAGCCAGGGATTTTACACTAAGACCAAAGTGTCAGTAACTTTTTACCTTCATATGCTGGGGCGCTGGGAGGAGGAGAGGGTGAAAAAAATAAAACTTCTCAGACTCCACTATTTTGTTAACCTTCAAATTATTCCTGTGATTAAGTTGTTTGATCAAAGAAAAGTTATCGGTCATGAAGTAGACCCAAAATTCCATCACTGTCTTTACACCAAACAGATTTCTTGTGACAGCCTGAGCATTTACAAGGGGAAAAAAAAATTAAATCCAGTTTCCTTTCTATTCCACAGAGGTCCTCAAAGATAGGGGCTCCCTGCCCAGGGGCACTTGTGATCTGCAGTGGTGCTCAAGTTATGACAGTCCTCTTTCCGAGGGCCAGTCCAGAAGGGCGTCCACACCGAGTATGCAGACACAAGGCCGCCTCACCACGTCCCCGCCGCTTTAGAGCGCGGCTCACGGAGGGGCTCTTGACCGTTACCTGCCAAACACCGGGTTGTATTTGAGGCGAGAGTGCCAGAAGGCCTCTCGTTTTCCCTCCTCACCCCCTAGATGGTCTTCCTCCTAAGGAAGGAAGGCAGGCAAAGACGGGAAAGGCCCTAAGGAACTTTGGTTTGGAGTGGGTTTTGTTTTTTGACAGAGGCGAGATTTCGGGGAGTGGCCCAGGCGGTTGGACATGGTCTTCTGTCGCCTGCGTCCGCCTGTCGGGCTGGGGTGGGGGCGTCCGGGATCCCCCGCCTGAAGGCCGGTGCGCCCCGCTCGGGGTCCGTTGCGCCCCAAGGGCCCCGGAGATCCTGAGCTGCGGTCCGGGACAGAGCTGCCGGACCCGGGCTGCCCGGCTGAGCCGCGCTCCCCGCCGCCCGCCCAAGGAAGCAGTGACCGGGCGGTGACAGCTGTCAGGGCCGCGGCCGCCGCCTCGCCTCCCCTCCCCCTCCGCAGCTCCAGCAGGCGGGGCCGACGAGCCGCCGCCGCGCCTACCCGTGTTGTAGACGTGCAGCTCATCCGCGATGCCCTCATTTCCCCCTCCAAAGATGATCATCAGCTCCCGGATGGCCACCGCTCGGTGTCCGTGCCGGGCGCGGGGGACCGGCCCCGTGAAGGAAGAAACTCGCCTCCAGTTGAGGAGGCTGGGAGCCGCCATCTTCCCAACCCCCGCCCCTCTGCCCACAATGCACCGCTCCCGCCTCAACCGGCTGCTCCCTGGGGAGGGCGGGGACCCGCCTCCAGCTGTGCTGGGGTCACGTGGCCGCGGGCGCCGGCGGCCAGGCTGGAGGCCCGCGGGCAGTGGAGAGACGCTGGGGAAGGGGGGTCCTGACAGGGGAGCCCCGCCCCCACCCCAGGCGACTTGGCCAGCGGCCACCCGGAGCAACGCACCTTAGGGTGGAAGGACGCTTCCCACTGACCACGTCTCCCATCCCCACCCAGAGCCTCCCGTTCGGTATTTTGGGAAGAAGCCACAGCATCTTCCTTTACGTCCACTTTAATTGAGCATCTAGGATGTGTGGGCGAGGCAGTCTCACAAGCAACGTGAGAGAAGCTCGGGTAGAGGTTCGAAGAGCTGGGAGCGCAGGGCGGGGACCTCGCACGGGAGGGTGCGGGCGGGAGCCTGCCTCGCGAGCCCGGGCCACGGCGGCTGCTCCCGACCGTGACTGGGACCCGGGCAGGGAAGGTCGCTACAAAGCCTGCCGGGCGAACCGAAGGCAGCTTTGTGCGGAGCCATGCCAGGAAGCTTGGGAACCGTGAGCCACAAGAGGTATTTTTGGTTTGTTTGGCTTAAGCAGAGGAGAGATGGTTTTCTAGGTTTCTGTTTCATTGCTAGCTAACAAGTGAGGGCTGTCCACAGCCTGGCATGCCCTAAGTGCCTCATGTGTATTAACTCATGTAATCCATCCAGCAATCCAGTGTGGTGGCTCCTGTTATCTCCCTTTCATGGACGGGGAAATGAGGCACAGTGCAGTAAGGTAATTTTCTGATGGACACAAAGGAGAGGTGTTGAAAAAAAAGACTGGGGCCAGGATTCCAACACAGGGCTTCTGATTCCAGAACCCCCAAGCCCTTATATCATATACCATACTGCCTCTGATAGCAGTCATATCCAACCATTATACCATACTGCCTCTGGTAGCAGTCATACGCAACTCTTTATTTTTATTTATTTATTTTAGATAGGGTCTGGCTCTGTTGCCGGAATGCAGTGGCGCGATCAGAGCTCACTGCAAGCTCGAGCTCCTGGGCTCCAGTGATCCTCCTGCCTTGGCCTCCCAAAGTGCTGGAACTACAGGCATGAGCCACCGCACCCAGCCAATGCAACACTTAATAAGGCCTAGCTGCCCTGTGATTTGGTCCTACACATAATCACACAAGTCCATTAGGAATAAAACTGCACTGCATATGGGATTCATGCCAAATGAGTAGATTTTAGCCACTCTTGCCACAGAGACACAAAAAGGGTTGGTGGTAACTATATGAGATGATGGATATGTTAATATGCTTCACTATAGTAACCTTGTGACTGCCTGTTTCAGCTGTCCCCAACCTTTTTGGCACTAGGGACCGGTTTCATGGAAGACAATTTTTCCACGGACTTGGCAGGGGAGTGGGTGGTATGGACTTGGCAAGGGGATGGGGGCTATGGTTTTGGCATGAAACTGTTCCACCTCAGATCATCAGGCATAAGATTCTCATAGGGAGTACACAATTTAGATCCCTCCTATGGGCAGTTCACAGTAGGGTTCGAGCTCCTATGAGAATCTAATGCGCGGTTGATCTGACAGGAGGCAGAGCTCAGGAAGGTCATGGGGGTTCCGAACAGGCCGAGGACTGGTTGCTGGGGACTGGGGACCCCTGGTCTATATGATATCAACTTCATATTGTATATCTTAAATATCCACAATACAAGTTATTTTTTAAAATTTTAATTGAAAAAGGACTGGGCATGGTGACTCACACCTGTAATCCCAGCACTTTTGGAGGCTGAGACAGAAGGATCCACTGATCCCAGGAGTTTGAGACCAGCTCGGTCAAGATGGTGAGATCCCATCTCTATTTTTATTAAAGAGAGATAAATAAGAGATACAAGTCCAGTGGAAGAAAAAATTGAAAGCAATTTAAATCCCTACCTCAGATTCTCAAGAGGTACTCAAAGGAGAACACAGACACTGTATAGTAAATTTCCTAAAACTCTTTTTTCCTCTTATTTTACCATTTTCAATTTCTCTTATATGCCTCATTCACCCAACTCCCTTAAACCTCAGCATGCTTCTCCACCTTCTCATCTATCTAAGCTTTTTTTGAGAGATAACTCTCTATGTTTTAAAAAGGAATTCTCAGGACGGGTGCGGTGGCTCACACCTGTAATCCCAGCACTTTGAGAGGCCGAGGAGGGCAGATTACCTGAGGTCAGGAGTTCGAGACCAGCCTGGCCAACATGGTGAAACCCATCTCTACCAAAAATACAAAAATTAGCCGGGCGTGGTGGTGCATGCCTGTAATCCCAGCTACTTGGGAGGCTGAGGTAGGAGAATCACTTGAACCTGGGAGGCAGAGGTTGCAGTGAGCCAAGATGGTGCCATTGCACTCCAGCCTGGGCAACAAGAACAAAACTCAGTCTAAAAAACAAACAAACAAACAAAAACCCCAAAAGGAATTCTCACTATTTTTTTTAGCTTCTGCTTCTTAAATTCTCCCTCTCACTGAGTATTAACCCATTTTTTTTTTTTTTTTTGAGATGGAGTTTTGCTCTTGTTGCCCAGGCTGGGGTGTAATGGCGCCGATATTGGCTCACTGCAACCTCCACCTCCTAGGTTCAAGCAATTCTCCTGCCTCAGCCTCCTGAGTAGCTGGGATTACAGGCATGCACCACCACGCCTGGCTAATTCTGTATTTTTAGTAGGGATGAGGTTTCTCCATGTTGGTCAGGCTAGTCTTGAACTCCCAACCTCAGGTGATCTGCCCACCTTGGTCTCCTAAGGTTCTGGGGTTACAGGCATGAACCACTGCGCCTGGCCAGCCCAATTTCATAATATGTCCAAAGAGAATTTGGAAAGGGAGGGAGAAATAAGATGTCTGCGAACAGAAAAGAGGTTATGAATATTTATCTATTAATATTTTTCTATGTCACATACATAACATAGGAGGCTCTTAAATGTTGCCATAATAAAGTTTTTATGGATTTGAAATAAAACTGGAAGAGTTGGAATAAAGCAGTGAGTTTTTCATAAAACCCAAAGTGTTTAATTTAAAGAACTGTACTTTGTTCTGAGAGTTTTGTGCCTAGATGGTAGTTTTTTTCTAATGCCCTTATAGCACAAGGTTAAAGGAAAAAATCAAACGTTCCAACCCTAATGTTGAACTTCAAATTTAAAAAAACTAGTCTATGATATTTGAAAGCCCAAGTACCCTTGAACTAGGAGAAAAATTAAGGCAAAATATTTTTAAGACAAAAGAGATTGCAAGCTATAACTGGTGGCTTAGATAGGGAGCTGCAGGGTGATGAGGAAATGTGTACTAGTTTCCTAGGGCTGCTGTGAAACAATAGGAATGTTTTGTTTCACAGTTCTGAAGGATATATAAGTCTGAAATCAAAGTGTCAGTAGGGCTGTGATCCCTGCAAAACCTGTAGGAAAGAATGCTTCCATGCCTCTTTCTAGCTTCTGGTGGCAGCTGTCAATCCATGGCAGCCCTTGACTTGTCAATGAATCACTCCAGTCTCTGACTCCATCACATCATCACGTGGTGTTCTCCCTGTGTGTCTGTCTCTTCTTTTTTTTTTTTCTTTTTGAGACAAGGTCTGGCTCTGTCATCCAGGTTGGAGTGCAATGGTGCGATCTCAGCTTGCTGCAGCCTCCACCTCCCAGGCTTAAGTGATCCTCCCACCTCAGCTTTTGGAGTAGCTGAGATTATAGGTGTGCACTACCATGCCTGGCTAGTTTTTAAATTTTTTCTAGAGATGAGGTTTTACCATGTTTCCCATGCTGGTCTTGAACTCCTGAGCTCAAGCAATCCTCCTGCATCAGCCTCCCAAAGTGCTGGGATTACAGATGTGAGCCACTGCGCCCAGCCTCTTCTCCTCTTATTATAAATTCACTAGTTATATTGGATTAGGGCTCATCCTGTGATCTCATCTTAACTTGATTATATCAGCAAGGATCCCATATCCAAATAAAGTCATATTCATAGGTACAGCGGGTTAAGGCTTCAGCATGTCTTTTGGGGGAGATACAATTCAATCTATGACAAAGTACATAATCCAATGGGAAAGATGTTTTAGTAGAGCAGTTTTGAGTAATCTGTCCTTGAGGGAGGCATCTAAAATAGGTCCCCATTTCACAGTAAAGTACCTTCAATCTCTGAAACTTCAAGAATGTAGTTTGGAAACAACAACCTAGGAGGAGAGTTTGGAGAAGAGGGATGGAAAATAGCACCCTGAAGAAGCCAGCATTGATGGGGTAAAGACAAGAGGAGGCACTCATGAAGGAAATAGAGAATAGGTAGCCAGAGAAGTTAAAAGGGAACTGGGTGAGGGTGATGTCAAAGAAGCCACAGGCAAAGAGGGTTTCATAGAGGCAGAAGTGGTAAGGAAAGCCAAAAGCCACAGAGAGGTCAGGGAAGAAGAGGACGAAGAAGCAACTGTTGGATTTGCAAATTAGGAGGTTAGTAGTGGCCTAGAATTAAAATGTTTTCAATGGAGTGGGAGGGAAAGAAGCCAGAGAGAACTGAAGCATGAGTTAGAAAATGCGGATAACATGTGTAGTCTATTCTTTACAGAGACTTGGCCATGTAAGGAAAGAAAGAACAATGGCTGGCAAGGAGAGAGAGGTACTGTGTAAATTGTTATTATTTTGGATGGTGAGACTTGTGGGCCCAGAAGAAGGATCCAGTTGCAAACAAAAGGTCGGAAGAGCACAACCAGCAATCATTTCCAACCTTCTCCTTGCCTGCCTCTCATTATTGAGGCTGGGAAGGAAAAAAACAAACAAACAAAATACAAACAAATAAGAACTTTCCCAGACTACTGTACCCACTCTCCTTCAAGATCTGCTCTCCTTTTCTTTTCAGTAACAGAATCTGGACTCTGAGCTGGGCACATGACCATTCTAAATAAAAACTAATTTCCCAAGCTTCCCTCAACTTGTTGTGGCCTGTGGCTAAATATTGACCTATGGGTTGTAAGCAAAAGTAATATATATAATTCCAGAATGTGTTCTAGAGGAGGGAAGCTTCCTTTCTCTTACTCTTTCCTGCTGTCTGGAATGTAGATGTAATGGCTAGAACTGGAGCAGCCATCTTGGACCATGAGCTGGAAGAAGCCTAATTTCCTGAGTACTTAGTGAAGTAGAGCAGCTCCACTGGAAATTACATCCCATAGGGCAAGTAGATCTGTTCAGAAAGAGCTGGGATTTGGTGGATCAAAGTCCTGGAGGATCAAGAAAAGATGGATCCTGAAGTCCATGTATACCTACATGTATACCAGGGTTGAATAGATACATTAATTCTCTATTATAGATTATATAAATATTATGTATTCTATACATGTACAGGAATCCCTCTTTAGCCATGGTTTCACTTACCCACAGTCAATGCAGTCTGAGAATATTAAATGGAAAATTCCAGAAATAAGCAATTTGTAAGTTTTAAATTGTGTAACATCCTGAGTCACATGATGAAGTCTTGCGCTGTCCCGCTCTTACCTGCCTGGGATGTGAATCATCCTTTGTCCAGTGTTTCCACACTGTATGTGCCACCTGCCCATTCGTAATTGAGTAGCTGTCTTAGTTAGAGGTATATAGGATTTGGTGCTATCCGTGGTTTTAGGCATCTCTGGGGGTCTTTGAATGTATCCCCCTTGGGTAAGGGAGCATCTGTTGTGTTATAGAAAGCTCTATTGGACAGTGCTGCTCTAGACTTTTTAGGCATATGTTAGAGAAGGTACTTTCATCTCTCACTACTTCCTCTCCTCTCTGCCCACTCCTCCGTATCAAACACCCACCAGAGTCATTTACCTGGACTGTTTCATTTGGGGTTAAGATCAAGGGCTTTAAGACCCAATAGGTTGTAGCTACTTAACTAGTTGTATGGCCTTGGTCAAATTATTTATCCTCTTTGAACCTCAGATTCTTTGTCTATAAAATGGGAATAATAAGAGCATCTGCTTCTTAGGGTTAGTCAAAGGATTAAATGAGATAATATGGTTCCAAAGTGGCAGCAAGGAAGCAATCTGGCTTCACACCCCCCAATGGAAAACCCAAAACTAATATTCAACACTGAAATTATCACCAGCAATATCCGAGAACTCAAATATGAGGATGAGACATTTGCTGGGGCCACAGAGAAGTTTAAAAAACTCTGAGCAGATGGTAAGAGAATCAGACTTCCATATCTGTAATCCCCTCCCCACAATCTGCCAGGCACCAACTGCATGAAAATTTCCCCCAACTCACAGTCTGTACACTGTAAAAAGTGAGATCAAGGCATAGACAACCAGCTTCTCCACAATCTTGGGTTCCCTTGCAGGAGACTTGTCCCAGCCTCAACCACTAGAAGCATCAGCAGTCCCTAGAGGAGAAATATCCCTGAGAACAGCCAGAGACAAAGGGGAGAGGTGAGACTACCATCCCAGCTCTGGAAACTCTGCTGTGTAACTTGACAAAAAGAGATGGAGACACCAAATCATAGTGGCTGTTCAGCAGCACCACACTGTAGGAGGTTGGGTCCATAGGTCCCTTGGACACTGAACCCCTAGCTAGCCTTCCCAAACTACTGGGATATCCCCCATTAAGGATGAGGGGCACTGATTATTTATTAGAATGGAGGCAAACGTGGGTTTCAGCACCATCTAGTGCTGAAAATGGGGCAGTGACCTAGCAAGGGGGGAAAAAAAGAAAGAAAGAAATAGGTAAATGAAATAATACATGTAAAGTACAGGCAGTCTTCACTTTGCATGATAACACTGTTCTGTAAACATGATATGCAAGCCAACACCCTTCAAAGTGATCTCAATTATCAGTGGGAAAAATTACAATTGTTTTGTGATGTTTAAAAACTTTTGTCAAAATATTAAAAACTTTCTTACTGTTGGATATAAATATATAGAGAAATGAAAAAATTGTAAACCTAATATTTCTTTATTATGCCATAATTTAAAACAGAAATATTGAGAATTAATGTGTTTTGCTTTTTTTTTTTTGAGACAGGGTCTTTGTCACCTGAGCTGAAGTACAGTGGCATGATCACAGCTCACCACAACCTTGACCTCCCAGGCTAAAGCGATCCTCCCACCTCAGCCTTCTGAGTAGTTGGGACCATAGGTACATAACACCACACCTGGCTAACTTTTTTATTTTTTGTAGAGACGGGGTCTCCCTATGTTGCTCAGGCTGGTCTTGAACTCCTGAGCTCAAGCCTCAGCCTTCCAAAGTGCTGGGATTACAGGTGTGAGCCACCATGCCCAGCCTCCTTTCTAAGTTTTCCTTTGTGCTTTCAATGTTGTGAGATATCTTTCAGCATTCCTTTAATGTGAATTTTTTGCCCATGTCACTTTCTGGAACATCTTTATCCTTTTCCTTACAACTTCCTTCCTTATTTGTGTTCATAAGTTTACCTTTACTAAGTCTCTCTGGATGCCCATCTGGAGTTGAACAGTGGCAATGTCAACATTCCCATGGCCACCAATTTCTTCTGTAACTCCAGTGATCTTTGATTTGAACTTCACTGCCACAATAATCACTTTTTGTTTCTTTGCTTCACTTTTATCTTTATTGGCAAATTCTATCGTCCATTTTTTACAATGTTACTTGGAGATAAAGAGGCAACACAACTACATGCTTTGCTGTCTGTGCATAACTAAATAACAGATGTCCAGTGACCAGTCACCAGCAGACTAGAAATGAAGTGATGTGCTGTGGTCACTGACCATGGCGTGCATCTGTTATTTACATAGTAATTTTGTGGACTGAAAACCTGGCAGCAAAGCTTGTATTTATGCAATTACTTACAGTGAATATACTGTGGTAACTGAAATTTGAACTGTATTATTGGGGGACTTGTGTTATATAACTAAACGGTGCTAATTGAAATCTGTGCTGTTACCATGCCAAGCAAGGACTGTGCTATACTTACGCAATGTCTGACATGTAGTTAGCATTTAATAAGTAGTAGATTGTTTTATTTCTATCATTATCATGATTTTATTATATTTCTACACTTTCTATTCCTCCTCCTGAGCTGCAGGCCAAAAAGTCAACCCTAGAGTGAGAATCTGGTGCTGGAGGTGGCAGACAGTCCTGTGTTTTCAGCCAAGAGTGTAAATTGCAATGTCTTTAATCTCAATTGAGGACTCAGGCCAAGGGCCAAAGGCTTATTGCCAGAGGTCTGAGAAGAGGTTCTGGGGAGTGCTAGCAAGTGGGCAGAACTCGATAGCAGAGATCCTGGGCAGGGACTGTTGCCAAGGTGAGGGAAACAGATGGTGTCTGAGAGGTCTGTTTACAGATTGCAGGGCTCCAGCCATGGATCTTGGCTGAAGCTATGTCCAAAGCATAGAGAGGGCAGCTGGCAAGAGCAAGGCAGGGCTCCAGGCTAGATAGAACCTAACTTAATTGCCAGAACAGGGAACTGGGCCAAGGAAGAAAAACAGTTACCGCATGCGGGAGAGAGGGAACTCAAGTGTGAGACTCAGGTGCTGGAGCAATTGCTGCAGTTCAGGGAGTAGCAGGGGAAAGCAAGAGCACCGAAGCTCAGGGCAACAGGAAGATGACCTGCAACTGAACCACACCAGGCAAAAGAGAGGGAATTGAGGCTGCTATGGTAATTCCTGCCCCATATGTGTGATCTTGGAGCCCAGCCATGGGAGACAAACGTGGCAAAGAGGCTTGTCAGCCTGACCCAATGTGGTAATTCATGTACTACTACAGAAGACTTATTCCTTTCCTCCCAGGCAAACTTATCAGCTTTAATAGATTTTATCTAGGACCTTATCTAAAAGTTATATACTCAGTAAAGGCAGACCCAGTTAGCAAGAAGAAATGATGAACATCTGACCTTCAACTAGTAAGAAATAAACATGGAATAATAGAGACTAAGATACATGTTTTGTTGACAAGTGATACCACAAATATAAAATGCATGTGAAATGCATACATATTGCATGGGGTTGCACTCAGGCATGTAACTAAATCTAACCAAACTTAGTTGACCACTTAAGGGTTTATTTTCCTCACATAGCAAGATTTTCCATGAGTAGTTAGTTCAGGGCTGCTGTGGTGATTCTCTGCCATCTTTAGCATATGCCAGGCTGCAGAATGACAGAGTGCCAGGGACCCCATTCATATAATGCAAGGATATTTTCCATTTACTTCTACAGATCTACTCTCCACCCTTCAACCTGTTCAGTGTCCTGAGAGGCTGACCTGAATGGATTATAGCACTTGAGCTTCTTGCCCTCTGACTTCTAGTTGGATTTGGTCAATGGGAGACACTACCAACAGGAGACTGTGAGGCTGGGGTAATCAGCCCCTCGTCCCTTTTGTGCAGAGCACCACAGGTTGGCTGTATCCCAGTGGGAGGGCCGCTCTTGCTGGCCACCCTCTCCATATCCTCTCTCCAGGTCCTGGAAACCACTCTCTCTTGTTGCCCTTCAGAGTTTGGGGTGGTAATAACTCCCTGCTATTGCTAGCCCCAGGGTACTGCATCATCTCTTAACCATGTTTCCCTGACAGTGATTACACCTTTTCAATTAGTGCCTTTTTAAAAAGTCTCCACCATTACCCTATTGGAGGGAGCTGTCTGTATCCTGCCAGGACCCTGACTGATTCAACTCTATAGTCACTGTGCACAACCAGTGTGGCCATATGCAGCAGCACAGTGCAGGCCTCTTATCCCCATGGCTGCAAGGTGGCTACTTCACACGCAAGCTTCAAGGTTGGATTTTAAACAGGAAGAAAGGGCAAAAGACACCAAAGAGCTCTTTGCCAGGAAAACACTAGCTTTCAAGGAAGTACTAGACAGCAGATGTCTGCTCACGTGCCACTCTAGCTGCAGGACATCCAAGGAGGAGAATCTTTTCAAATAGGCATTTTGCTGTCCATATGAAATCGTGTTTCTATTAGAAGGGAGGAAGCAGAGCAATGAACATGGGGAGGCAGGTATCCAAAGGAAATAAAATCAGTATTTCAATGGGGAGGCAGATATCTCTTTGAAATACTGATTTTATTTCCTTTGGATATCTGCCTCCCCATGTTCATTGCAGCATTATTTATCATAGTCAAGATATGGAATCAACTTAAGTATCCATTGATGGGTGAATGGATAAATATATTGTGGTACATATATGCAATAGAATATTATTCAGCCATATAAAGGAAATCCTGCTATTTTTGACAACGTGGATGAAACTTGAGGGCATTATGCTAAGTGAAATAAGCCAGATACAGAAAAACAAATACATACAATTTTACTTATATTTGTAATCTAAGAAAGTCAAACTCATAGAAGCAGGGAGTAGGTGGAATGGTGGTTGCTAGGGTGAGGGGATGGGGAAAATGGGGAGATGTTAGTCAAACAGTATAAACTTTCAGTTATCAGATGAGCAAATTCTGGGGATCTAGTGTAGAAAATGGGTGGTGTTGGATGTGTTAATTAATTTGATTTTGGTAATCATTACACAGTGTACATGCATATCAAGTCAACACCGTACATCTTGAATGTATTCAGTCTTTCTCAGTTAAATATTTAAATTTAAAATTAAATATTCAATTATATATTATTCAATAAAATCAATTACATGTTATAGTTCAATTTCAATTAAATATTACTTTTTTTTTTTGAGACGGAGTCTTGCTCTGTTGCCCAGGCTGGAGTGCAGTGGCGCAATCTCAGCTCACTGCAAACTCCGCCTCCCGGGTTCAAGCCATTCTCCTGCCTCAGCCTCCCGAGTAGTTGGGACTACAGGCGCCTGCCACTGTGCCCAGCTAATTTTTTATATTTTTAGTAGAGACAGGGTTTCACTGTGTTAGCCAGGATGGTCTTGATCTCCTGACCTCGTGATCCACCCACCTTGGCCTCCCAAAGTGCTGGGATTACAGGTGTGAGCCACCGCGCCCGGCTAAATATTACTTTTGTTTAAAAACAACAGCAATAATAACTTCCATTTCTTGAGTCCTTATTGAGTGCCTTACATGCATGATGTCTTTTAACCCACACAAGAGTCCTATTAGTAGTCCCCACTTAACAGATGAGGAAACTGGAGGTAAGACCTGTGCTCACACTAGGTATGTCTGTCTCCAAAGGCCACTCTGGTGTCATGCATATCCTCTGTTTCTTTTCTCATTTCTTCCCCAGGGAAAATCTGTGCATACAGTGTGGACATCTAAGTCATACATAACAAGCCTATCGCATCCTTGGAGCATGGCACAGCAGGAATAAAGGAGAAAGAAGCTGGAATCAGACAGTGGGGGTCAGGGAGAAGATCTATAACATTCTGCTAGGTGGATGAGAGATTCAAAGGAGATGACATGATCTGTGAAGGAAATTGCACTGGGCAGGTGTCAGCTCAGGCTGCTGTCCACATGATGCCTGGGACATGTCTGAGGGACTAGCCTGCTGCAAGTTAACAGCACATAATTCTGGAAGGGCGGTGGGAAACCCTGAGCCAGAAGTGGTTCTTATTTTCGCTCATGTGTGTGCAGTGAGTATTTAGAGCATAGGATATTGTGCTGCCCCTGAACCTTATGACTTCCCAGAGGTGACCAACGTTTTAGCTAAAAACATTTAGCTAAATGTTTGAATGGAATTGTGCTTTAAAATAAGGTACAACTTGCTGAGCATGGTGGTGCATGACTACAGTCCCAGCTACTCGGGAGGCTGAGGAGAAAGGCCCAGGAATTCAAGTCCAGCCTGGGCAACATAGCAAGACACGTCTCTACATAATAATAATAATAATTAATACATAAAATAAGGTACAAGATGCTGGGGGTAAAGAGAGAAGAGGAGGGGCATCATGTCAAGCCTCTCCAGGAGAAAGGACACACCTGCTGGATTGTGTGAGGGATTTAGAATAGGGGCATATAAGGGAACACAGGGCAGTCAATAATTCTACACAGGCAGCAAATTTGATGCTGAAGGATGACCAATGTGGATGCCATGCCACTTAACGCTACTGTTGCAGCCGCAGATCCTAGTATTTGAAATATGCCTCAAGAAGGAAACACTTAAGAAGTGCTGAATAAGAATTCCAATCCTGGCTTCATCGCTAACTTGCTTTGGGAACTTGGGCTTTAATTTGCTCAAAGCCTCAGTTTGCTCATCTGTAAATTGGGGCAAATAACATCTGTTCAACTTACCTACCAGAAATGTTGTGTGGCTAAAAAGAAATAGAAGATATGAAAATGCTTTGGCTATATTCAAAGTTCTATATACATGGAAGATATTCAGGATCCTCCCACCTTCAAAGTTCATATCTAAGAAAACCCCTACTAAATCCTTTAGAATGGAACTGCTCAATATAGTAGCCACTAGCCACATTGACTACTGAGTACTTAAATGTGACTAGTGCAACTGAGGAACTGAATTTTTAATTTTATTTAACTGTAACTAATTTTAATTGAAAAACTGATACTCTATTCAATTACTGGAAAACTTTTAAGTACATTTGGACCAACCTGGACTCGTGAATTTACTTTTGTTCCCAGTGTTTTTTTCTATTTTTTTATTGATAACATAATAGATATACATATTTTGAGTGTGTATTCAAACATTTAATATTAATACATTCATATAATTTGTAAAGATCAAATCAGTGTAACTGGGATATCCATTACCTTAAATGAATCTACTTTTTAAATGGTATTTATAAAATCTAAATATATGTGAAGTGTTTCTGCTTAAATTTAGTGTTTGAATTGAGATGTGCTCCAAGTGTACAACACACACCAAATTTCAAAGACTTAGTTAAAAAAAAAACACTGGGAAGGGCAGGAGGAAGGGAGAGATAGGGAGAGATTTGTTAAAGGATATAAAATTATAGCTAGATAGGAGGAATAGGTTCTAGTGTAGTATGGCCATAGTTAACAATAATATATAGCTTCAAAGAGCTAGAAGGAGGATATTGAATGTTTCCAACATAAGCATCAATATTTGAGATTATAGATATGCTAATTACAGTGTTCTGATCACTATACATTGTATATTGAAACATCAATATGTACCCCATGAATATGTACAATTATTACATGAATATGTATCAAAACAAATTAAATTTAAAGACAAAACAAAGAACATAAAACATCTTCTTAATAATGTTTTATATTATGTGTTGAAATGATAACATCTTGTATATATTGGGTAAAGTAAAATATATCATTAAGATAAATTTTACCTCTTTGTACTTTTTTCTTAATGTGGCTACTAGAAAATTTTAAATTATAGCCAGGTGTAGTGATGTGCACCTGTAATCTCAGCTACTCAGGAGGCTGAGACGGGAGGATCGCCTGAACCTTGAAGTTCACGGCTGCAGTGAGCTGTGATCACGCCACTGCACTCCAGCCTGAGTAACAGAGCAAGACCCTGTCTCTTTAAAAAAAAAAAAAAGTAAAATTGGCCGGATGAGGTGGCTCACGCCTGTAATCCCAGCACTTTGGGAGGCTGAGGCGGCGGATCACCTGAGGTCAGGTGTTTGAGACCAGCCTGGCCAACATGGCGAAACCCCATCTCTACTAAAAATACAAAAATTAGCTGGGTGTAGTGGTGGGCGCCTGTAATCCCAGCTACTCGGGAGGCTGAGGCAGGAGAATCATTTGAACCGGGGAGGCGGAGGTTGCAGTGAGCCGAGATCTCATCACTGCACTCTAGCCTGGGAGACAGAGGGAGACTCCGTCTCAAAAAAAAAAAAAAGTAAAATTACAGGGTGGCTTGCATTTTATTTCTGTTGGAGAGCACCACTTTAGAAAGAGACAGTGAGCAGGGAGATCCTTATATCCTTATAGGAAATAGGAAGAGGAGCCATTGCAGAAATAAATTCTGTGATCCCAGACAAAGTGCTGGCACCATCTCCCGGGTTTGAGAACACACCGCAGAGATACAGAACAGCGCAGATTGCTGTTGAGGTCAGCTCCCAGCTCCCTGCCTCATTCCTCTCTGATTCCTCTTTTGTTCAGGCACAAAAACACTCCATCCTGAAACTTTTGTCATTATTGCCTTGGTAGAAGAAGACCACAGTTGTTACCTGGGTTTTGATTTGGGGACAACAGCATTTCAATGACTAGGAGATTTCAGGAGAAGCTAGTGGCCATGAAGATTCTCAAAATCAGCATGAACTTTATTTTTCACTGGTGTTCTTTCAAAGTTTGCCTTCGACTCAACGTGTGGTAGAAATTCACCCTGAAAGCATTTGCTCTTCTCTGGTTTTGTGTCTTTTCCTCCAGAACAGCGTTGTTTTTTGCATGTTTTGCACTTAGCCAGAGGAAGTCTGGCGCATCCGAGCCGGCCAGCCGAGCACATCTGGAAGTGGTTTCTGGGGCCGCCCCTCTCTGCCAGCGCAACTCCTGGGTTCCCAGCGGCTTCGCGCAGAGGTGGAAGAAACCCGAGACGTTCCGAAGTCAACGCAAGCAAAGGGGAGTGCGGGTCGGGGAGGAATATTCTTTTGGAAACGTAATATTGGCCTTGGGGCTCTCCAGCCCTTTGGGACTTCCAATGGGATCTTAGAAGCAGCCGAAGCAGCGTGAGGGCGGCAGCCCAGGGCCAGCCACGATTTGAACGCTCTGCCTTGCAGCTCTTCTGGACCGAGGAGCCCAAAGCCCTACCCTCACCATTCACCAGGTAAATAGAGAAATTTACGAGCAGTGTGCAGTCGTTCCGTTTTATCCTGGCCGGTCTGCAGCAGTTCTTTATTCTGCTACAGACCCAAGAAAGTAAATCAGAGGTGTCAGATTGCCCCACACAAACTTTGCCTTCAGAAACTTCCCAGTCCGAACTGGTAGCATTCCAGCGGAACCCTTTTCGGCCATTTCCAGCAAATCCAGTGTGCAATGTTTTTCACATCCTGGGCTGCTTTTCCAGACCTGGGTTTCTCCTCCTTCTCTCCACAAATATGATAATTTACTATTTGTATCAGATTTTAAACATAAAAATCAGCAGTTAGGATGTGGATGAATGCTATTATTTAATGAAGGTATGTCCTGAGCCACAAATTATTTAACTGAGCATGATTCATGTTTTCAGAATCTGCCTTAGGAAGCTGTTCTGAGGATCTCCATCCCCCCAGAAAGAACTGGCCGTTGTGGAAACCCAAGTGAGGCTTATTGTAAATACAGTAGTCGTGGTGTTTGGGTTGAAAATGCTTTTTAAACATTAAAAAAGATCTTATGTTTACTTTATAAGCAAGTGTCACACATTGGACAAGCCTGGTATATAATTTATGAAATAAGAAGGATAGTTAACATGAGAGTAAAAAAAAAAAAACCTGAGAGAGAGTGAGAGAAAGAAAACATGATGATATCTGAATGTCTGGATGTGCTTTGAAAAAAAAAATCAGTCCTCTCGTTGTTTGGCCCCTGTGCAGCCAAATATCCAAAGTGATATTGGTTGGTTTTTGTCTTTTCCTTTTCCTCCAAATGTTCTGGTGTGGCACTTCTGTGTAATATCCTTTCTATATTACATAATGGAATTCCAGTTCTCCCTTTAATGCACTTGGAAGTAGACTGTGCAATGCAGTGGTAAGAACATAGGCTCTGGGGTCAGGCTTACAGGACTGAATCTACATGCTGCCACTTACACACCTTCTAAGCTCGACTCCGGGTGAATTGTTTAACTGCATGCACCCTAGTTCCTCATCTGTAAAATGGAAATTACATGACCTAATGTCTATAGAGGACATAATACAGGACCTGCAAAGTAGTTAGGCCTCAGGAAAGGTTAGCTTCTCTGATGGTGCTGATGATGGCAGTGGTGACAAAAGTGATCATGCATCCTGTTTTTGGCAACACCTCTGCTTTTGACCATGGTTCCCTCTGACAGTCCAGTGGTCCAAGTGTTCCTCATACCCTAATATGTCATCTCTCCAGCACTTTGCTTTCTTCCTTTCTTCCTTCAGACACCTCTCTTTCTTTTATTTCCCATTCTGTCTTTCATTATTTCTTCTTTGTGCTTCCTCTTTCCTTGCTGAGAAAATGTGAGGTTCATTAAGGCACAGCCCTCATAGTTTTCATTTCTAGTTCCCGAGGAAAATGATTCTAAATCCTTTTTAATTTCAGCATTTTCCAAAGAAAGTTCTGAGAAAACATAGTCCCATGGGAAACTCTGTGAACTATATTACCCTCTTAGAGATCGCAAGGCATAATAGCATTTTAAAGGTCCTGAGAAGTCCTGTAGTAGAGAAATCCTCTTAAGGTTGTTTAACGCAATGATTCCCAAACAGTTGATCGCTGAACCACCTTATCACATAATGTAGGTTAACATTTCTAGGAGCACACTCTGCGGTGTGCTATTCTGGACACACTTGTTTTCATTTTGGTTCCTCTTTTGGACATCCTATTCTCCACCTTCCCTGGAGCTCATCCAAGGGGATGCCTTGTTTTTCCTTCTCAAGTTAAGGACATAAGATTATCATGTGTGTTGTACTGGTATATAGAAAATCTGGCCTAAATTGGAGATCAGAAGTCAGCAAACTTTTTCTGCAACGGGCCTGATAATAAGCCATATGGTTTCTGTTGCAACTGTTCAACTCTGCTGTTGCAGTATTAAAACAGCAGAGAAACAAAAAATAAGCATGGCTACGTTCTAACAAAACTTTATTTACAAAAACTAGTGTCAGGCAGGATTTGACCAGGGGTCATAGTTTGCTGACCCCTACTCTAAAGGCTTTTTGTGAAAGAATTTCTCATGCTAGCACAGGAGAAAGCAAGACAAATTCTCTATAAACTGAAGACTCTCTTGTCCTGCACCCCTAGTGCTATGGTCTGAAGGTTTGTGTCCCCCCAAAATTCATATGTTGAAACTCTAACCCCCAAGGTGATGCTACTAGAAAGTGGGGCCTTTTGGGAGGTGGTTGGGTCATGAGGGCAGCACCATCACCAATGGGATTAGTGCCCTTGTAAAATAGGCCTAAGAGGCTGGGCACAGCGGCTCACACCTGTAATCCCAGCACTTTGGGAGGCTGAGGCAGGTGGATCACTTGAGGTCGGGAGTTTGAGACCAGACTGACCAACATGGAGAAACCCCGTCCCTACTGAAAATACAAAAAATTAGCCAGGCGTGGTGGTGCATGCCTGTAATCCCAGCTATTTGGAAGGCTGAGATAGGAGAATCACTTGAACCCAGGAGGTGGAGGTTGTGGTGAGCTGAGATTGCACCATTGCACTCCAGCCTGGGCAACGAGAGCGAAACTCCATCTCAAAAAAAAAAAAAAAAGGCCTAAGAGAGCTGGTTCACCCCTTCCACCATGGAGGACACAGCTAGAACGTGCTATCTATGAGCCAGAAAGTAGGCCCCCACCAGGCACTGAATCTGCCAGCACCTTGATCTTGGGCTTCTCAGCTTCCAGAACTATAAGAAATAAAGTTTTGTTGTTTAGAAGCCACCCAGTTCAGGCTGGCATGGTGGCTCATGCCTGTAATCACAGCACTTTGGGAGGGTAAGGTGGGAGGATCTCTTGAGGCCCAGAGTTCTAAACCAGACTAGGCAACATAGCAAGACTCTGTCTCTACAAAAAAAATTTTTAATTAGCTGGATGTGGTGGTGGTGCATGCCTATTGTCCCAGCTATTTGGGAGACTGAGGTGAGAGGACAGCTTGAGCCCAGGAATTCGAGGCTATAGTAAGCTACGATCATGCCACCACACTCCAGCCTAGGTGATAGAGTAAGACCCTGTCAAAAAAAAAAATGGAGTAAGACACCTGTTCTATGTATCTTGGTGAATCTTGAGTAAACCTTTCATTATAGCAAAAAGTTAAAAGGCAAGAGATATTTTGTTAGAGGACAGACTCCTGAGTCCTGATCTTGTCCTTTCTCTTTCCTTTAGTGAATTCTTACTCTTGTCCTGTTAATGACTTTGTAGCTTGCATAGCTTAAAATGAAGTGCTCTGTTAAATGTGTCTATGCATTTGAGAACTTCAGGGTGCAAGTCTTGCAGAGTTAACTCACAGAGCTTATGTCAGTTGCTTGACACAGTGATAGCAACCATAGCGATGGAAAGTGGTTGGCTGTAGTAACTATCAAGGTGGTTAAGAATGTGAACTCAGAGCCAGGATGCCTGCGTGTAAATATTAGCTCTGCCACTTATTAGTTGTGTGACCCTTAGCAGACCTCTTAATTCTCTGAGCCTCAGTTTTCTCACCTGTGTATTGGAATAATAACTTTAAGGAGTTGTTGTGATAATCCGTGAATGAATATTTGTAAAAGTCGTAGAACAATGCCTAGCACATAGAATTGCTACGTAAGTGTTAAAATAATAATAGTTAATACTTATGTAGCAATAGCTTTGTAATATGCAGAACTATCCCGTTTTACACATAGGGTTTTGTAAGTCACCCCATGATTACACAGCTAATTAGGATTCACAGTCAGCTCTGTCTAAGGATAAAGCCCATATTTCCACTAACCTACACAGCTCTCATATTTAAGTCATTCAACAGTACTTTTAGGAACCCCCTCTTTTATCTTGCTTTTTGATTCCCAGTCATTTCCTATTACTCCCTACCATACTATAACCATGGCAGACATGATTAATCAATCACTTTCTTTCTTTCTTTCTTTCTTATTTTCTTTCTTTCTTTCTTTTTCTTTCTTTCTTTCTTTCTTTCTTTCTTTCTTTCTTTCTTTCTTATCTTTCTTTTCTTTTCTTTTTTAACTGAATCTAGTGATGGCTTCAGATTTCTTCTCAATCTAGCAATCCCAACAGCCCATACCATAGCCAATCAGAGCTGGCATGTAAAATGAAACACAGGGGCACTGATTTTTGGAGTATTTTTCTGAAGAGCCTTTCCCACTTTGCTTTTTGTTCCAAGGCAGAGCAAATTCCCTTAGCCACTGCCAGGTCTCAAAACATTCTTTCCAGGTTTGGCCACATGCCTAAACTCTTTGGCATCTGGTAAAATGGCTCCCCATGCAAGGTCTTCAGGGGCTTATTTTTAAACTTACAGGCCTCTTCTCATGCCCAGAACAACTCTCTGTACTCTCCTTTTCTTCCTACTCACAGGCCCTAGAACCTCAACCTTCTTTTCTCCCCTCTTTGAAGATGCTACTGCCCAGTGCCTTGCCTGCCCTGCAGTGGCTCCCAGCTCCACCTCTCTGTCTGTCCTGAAGACAGGCCTGCAGGCAATTTCTTGTTAAAGGCTTGGCTATTTATTACCACAGAGAAACCACACACACGGAAGTCACTAGGGCTAGGAAAGCTCACAGAGGTGTAAGGGGCACAGTTCTGGGGCTCTTTGTTGTGACAGTAGCAGGAAGGCTGATGAGATGACCAGAGCCCTCTGCTTTTATTCCTGGAGTGGGATCATCAGCAGTTCCCCTCCTTCTGGCTGAGTCCTTTCTTTCTGGGGCTGAAGAGCAGAGCAACAAGAGCCTCTCGCCTTTTCTTTCTCTCTCCTGATTCTCATTGATTCAACACACATTTATTGAGTTCCCACCTTGGGGCAGGACAGGCAGATGGAAGTGAGGAAGCCACAGTCGCTGTCCTCAGTGGTCTGTCTGGTCCTTCTTTTAAAGATAGATATGCTGAAATATTTAGGGGGAGAAGTGTCATGATGTTTACAACTTCCAAAAATATATATGTACATATGAAGTTCAATTAAGTAAATATGTCAACATGTTAGCAACTGGTGGATCTGGTGAAAGGTATATGAGTATTTATTCTTCAGACTTTTCAGCGGTCTTGAAATGTTTCAAGCGAAAAAAAGAAAAAGGAAATCAAACAAAAAATTAAGGCTACTCAAGCTGCATTTGTGTTTCAAATGAACTTGATATGATTATCGAACAACAAAAAAGTTACTATGGCCGTTAGGCCAGTGATGGATTGAGGAAGGGCAGTGTACAGAAATTCTAAAGGCAGGAAGGCCAGGTGGGAGGTTATTGCAGAGGTGTAATTAGTAGGACTCGGTGATTGAAGGAGGAATTAGGAGGGAGAAGTTGAAGAGGAATCTGAGAACCCCAGAGAAGGAGTTTCTGTAGGGGAGGTGCTAATTTCAGTTGTGAATGTAGGGGCTTTGAGATACTTGTGCAGCACCCTGAGGAGACAGTTGCACATTCATCCCTTTGGTCCATAAATGTTTTCTGAGGGCTTATATTGCCAGGCACTTGTCTAGATGCTGGGTGTATGGCAATGAATGAAACAAAATTTCCTGCCTTCATGGGGCTTATAGTCTGTCATTTGGATGGCAGCCAGTACACCGGTGATGACGAGGCAGTCTGTTGGAAGATGGTAATTGCTGAGGGGATGCAATTTGTGCATTGTTGGGGTTAGAGGCTTTTGACTAAGAGACTGAGAGACATGAGGGGGCAAGCCATGTAGATATCTGGGAAGAGGATTCCAGGCAGCAGGAATAGCACGTGGCCAAGGCTCTGAGGCAGGAGGCTGTCTGGCAAGGAGGCCGGTGTGATCACGCGATACCTTATGGAAGGATGCTGTAATGACTTTGGTTTTTGCTCTGAGAGAGACAGGAAGGCCTTGGAAGGTTTTGAACAGAGCACAGCACAATGCGACTCCTATTTTCACAGGTTCATTCTGGCTGCTTTGTTGAAAATCAGCTGAAGGGAGACAAAGGCAGAATAATATAGTCAAAGGCTAATGTGCCAGGGTGGAGCCACAGAAGGTGGTAAAAATTCTGGATCTATTTTGAAAGTGGAACTGACAAGATTTGCTGTCAGTGCACATGGGAATAAGGAACAGAGAGGGGTTAAGGAAACACCAAGCTGATTTTTTTGTGGAGCAATTTAAAAAACGGAGTCACAGCCGGGCACAGTGGCTCACACCTGTAATCCCAGCACTTTGGGAGACCAAGGTGAGTGGATCACCTGAGGTCAGGAGTTCAAGAACAGCCTGGCCAGCATGGCGAAACTGCCTCTCTACTAAAAATACAAAAACTAGCTGGGCGTGGTGGTGCACACATGTAATCCCAGCTACTAGGGAGGCTGAGGCAGGAGAATTGCTCTAACCCAGGAGGCGGAGGTTGCAGTGAGCCAAGATTGTGCCACTGCATTCCAGCTTGAGAGACAGAACAAAACTCCATCTCAAAAATAAAAATAAAAACTAAATGGAGTCACCCGAACTGATTTGGGGAAGATTATGGGAAGGGCATGTTTCGGGGGAAATACCAGAAGCTCAGTTTTGGACACGTGGATTACTATAAGTGCAGATGCCAAATGGCATCTGGAGTCTGGAATCCATGTGAGATGGCTGGCCTGGAGATAGAAATTTGGGAGTTTTCAGCATATAAATTATATTTAAAGCCATGAGTCAGGATGAAGTCTCCTAAGGAGGGAGTTTAGAGAAAGAAGAGAAGAAATCGCTAAGGTGTTCCAACATTTAGATATTCAGGAGGTAGGAGCAACCAGTGAAAGAGACTGAGAATGAGCCATCAGAAAGGTGGAGGAAAAGCAGGTGAGCCGAGTCCCCCGGGCCACGTGCAGGAAGCATGTAAGGAGGAGAGAGCGGGCACATAGTCTGCATCTCACGCACCCATGCCTCAACCCTAGTGAGGAACAAGTCCTGTGGTGCAGTTCTTTGCATGCCGGGACCTTGTTAGCCAGAAGATGTTCTCTCAGACTCTGCCCCATTCCAGTTTCTCTTGGTTCCAGATCTCTGCCTTTTACTCTACCTCAAGCTTGTCCAACCCGTAGCCCACAGGCCACAGGCAGTGCTGGACAGCTTTGGATGCAGCCCAACACAAATTCATCAACTTTCTTAAAACATAATGAGATTTTTGTGTGTGTGTGATTTTTTTTGTTTAGCTCATCAGCTATGTTTCATGTTAGTGTATTTTATGTGTGGCCCAAGACAATTCTTCTTTCAGTGTGGTCCAGGGAAGCCAGAAGATAGGACACCCCACCCTACACATTCTTAAGCTGTCCAGCATCACTTCCTTGGTTCTCCAGTTCTCTATCCCTGACTTCCTATCAGTTTTCTACCTCTTTATAACTCTGATCCCTCTCTTAATTCCCCACAATCAGCTTATCCCCAGGACTTCAGTTCTGCAAAAATTTCTTGAGAACCTACTTAATCTACTGGAATGTCTTTGACTTCAAATACCAGAAACACTGATTTACGGCAGCTTAAACACATGGGTTGATTCTGTCACATAAGAAGTTTGGAGGAGGTAGGTATTGATGGCATTGATTCAGCAGTTCGATGACATAAGAGCTGACCATTCTGTGTAGCTCTTGACCTCTCCCTCATGGTCTCAAGGTGGCTGCCTAGCTCCAGCCATTATGGCCCCATGCAAGGCAGGAGGAAGGGGGAGTTGACACTTCATCCAGAAAGGAAAAGCTTTCTCAGATATTCCCAGTAGATTTCCACTTAAGTCTCTGTGCATCAGATCTATATTATGTGGCTACTACTAGCTGCAAAGAAGGCTGGTAAAATCTTTATTTGGATTTTCCTCTCTCTCATATGGAAACAGGCAAAGGAGAAAAGGATGGGAAGAGCTGTTGGATCAGCCAGCTATCAAGGCTGCCACACTACCAAGTGCCAAATGCTTGCCATGAACTGGAAATACAGAAATGATTAACGTAGTACCCGTCCTGTCCCTGGAGCTTGCGTTCTAGTAAGGAAACATAAGAATGAACGGAGTATCTTGGTTTGGTTTGGTGGAGACCAGGAGCCTTCCCTGACCCCCATGATCTGGTCAGGTGCCCCTCCTTGATGCTAAAACAATATCCCATGCTTACATCTACCAAGGCATCTAAGCACACTGTATTGCCATTATATATTTACTGGTGTCTTCCCCTCCCTTCCCCCAAATGTGGACTAACTGGGGACTTATCTTTGAATCTCTAGTGCCTGGGTGCCTGGTATATTCGTAGAGGTTGAGTAAATGTTTGTTGAATGAATCAAAGAAATGTCAAGGGAACCCCCTAATTACCTTCTTGTCCTGGGTTGGGCCCTTATCCCATCTTAGCTTTGTTGTTGTTGCTGTTGTTGTTGAGAAAGAGCCTTGCTTTGTCACCCAGGCTGGAGTGCAGTGGTGCGATCTGTGTTTACTGCAACCTCCGCCTCCCTGGTTCAAGCAATTCCCCTGTCTCAGCCTCCCAAGGAGCTGGGATCACAGGTGCGTGCCACCACATCCAACTAATTTTTTCTTTTTTGAGACAGAGTCTCTTTCTGTCGCCCAGGCTGGAGTGCAATGGTGCGATCTTGGCCGACTGCAACCTCTGTCTCGCAGGTTCAAGCGATTCTCCTACCTCAGCCTCCTGACTAGCTGGGATTACAGGCGCCTGTCACCACGCCCAGCTAATTTTTGTATTTTTAGTAGAGACAGCGTTTTACCATGTTGGCCAGGCTGGTCTCGAACTCCTGACCCCAGATGATCCACCCACCTCAGCCTCCCAAAGTGCTGGGATTACAGGGGTGAGCCACCACGCCTGGCCCCACACCCAGCTAATTTTTGTATTTTTAGTAGAGACGGGGTTTCACCATGTTGGCCAGGCTGGTCTCGAACTCCTGACCTCAAGTGATCTGCCCACCTAGGCCTCCCAAGGTGCTGGGATTACAGGCGTGAGCCACCGTGCCCAGCCCCTTAGCATTTTTAGCTAGTTAACTCATATTTACATTCTAATAGCAAAATCTCTAACACCTTGCCAGAAAACAGTGCTGACTCCCCAATCACTTTTGTAATGTTAAAAATAAATTTATTTATTCTCACATTCAGTAGAACTCTGAACTTACAAATTTACACCCAGTAAAGTCACAACACAGCATCTAAAAAGCTAAAAGTACCTATATACTCGAGTCTCATAGTACTTAGAAAATGGGATGCTTAATTTTTCAATTTGTTAGGCTGGGCGTGGTGGCTCACGCCTGTAATCCCAGCACTTTGGGAGGCTGAGGCGGGTGGATCACGAGGTCAGGAGTTCAAGACCAGCCTGGCCAAGATGCTGAAACCCCATCTCTACTAAATATGCAAAAATTAGTTGGGCATGGTGGCACGCGTCTGTAATCCCAGCTACTTTGGAGGCTGAGGCAGGAGAATCGCGTAAACCCGGGTGCCAGAGGTTACAGTGAGCCAAGATCAAGCGACTGCACTCCAGCCTGGGCGACAGAACAAGACTTCGTCCCAAAAGAAAAAAAACATTTTTTTTTCAATTTGTTGTTTTTTATTTCAAAGAGATGTATAGTTAATCTGACTCATTTGAATAACAGTGAGTGAATTGCAGATACTGTTATCAAAGATAGCAATTCTACAGGCATAAATAATTTTTTTATTATTATACTTTAAGTTCTAGGGTACATGTGCACAACGTGCAGGTTTGTTACATAGGTATACATGGGCCATGTTAGTTTGCTGCACCCATTAACTTGTCATTTACATTAGCTATTTCTCTTAATGCTATCCCTCCCCCTGCTCCCACCCCATGACAGGCCCTGGTGTCTGATGTTCCCTGTCCTATGTCCTAGTGTTCTTATTGTTTAATTCCCACCCATGAGTGAGAGAACATGCAGTGTTTGGTTTTCTGTCCTTGTGATAGTTTGCTCAGAATGATGATTTCCAGCTTCATCCATGTCCCTGCAAAGGATGTGAGCTCACCTTTTTTATGGCTGCATAGTATTCCATGGTGTATATGTGCCACATTTTCTTAATTCAGTCTATCATTGATGGACATTTGGGTTGGTTCCAAGTCTTTGCTATTGTGAATAGTGCAGCAATAAACATACGTGTGCATGTGTCTTTAAAGCAGCATGATTTATAATCCTTTGGGTATATACCCAGTAATAGGATGGCTGGGTCAAATGGTATTTCTAGTTCTAGATCCTTGAGGCATCACCACACTGTCTTCCACAATGGTTGAACCAGTTTACACTCCCACCAACAGTGTTAAAGCATTCCTATTTCTCCACATCCTCTCCAGCATCTGTTGTTTCCTGACTTTTTAATGATCGCCATTCTAACTGGTGTGAGATGGTATCTCATTGTGGTTTTGATTTGCATTTCTCTGATGGCCAGTGACGATGAGCATTTTTTCATGTGTCTGTTGGCTGCATAAATGTCTTCTTTTGAGAAGTGTCTGTTCATATCCTTCGCCCACTTTTTGATGGGGTTGTTTGTTTTTTTCTTGTAAATTTGTTTAAGTTCTTTGTAGATTCTGGATATCAGCCCTTTGTCAGATGGGTAGATTGCAAAAATTTTCTCCCATTGTGTAGGTTGCCTATTCACTCTGATGGTAGTTTCTTTTGCTGTGCAGAAGCTCTTTAGTTTAATTAGATCCCATTTGTGTATTTTGGCTTTTGTTGCCATTGCTTTTGGTGTTTCAGACATGAAGTCCTTGCCCATGCCTATGTCCTGAATGGTATTGCCTAGGTTTTCTTCTAGAGTTTTTATGGTTTTAGGTCTAACATTTAAGTCTTTAATCCATCTTGAATTAATTTTTGTATAAGGTGTAAGGAAGGGATCCAGTTTCAGCTTTCTATGTATGGCTAGCCAGTTTTCCCATCACCATTTAATAAATAGGGAATCCTTTCCCTATTTCTTGTTTTTGTCAGATTTGTCAAATATCAGATTATTGTAGATGTGTGGTGATATTTCTGAGGCCTCTGTTCTGTTGCATTGGTCTGTATCTCTGTTTTGGCATCAGTACCATGCTATTTTGGTTACTGTAGCCTTTTAGTATAGTTTGAAGTCAGGTAGCGTGATGCCTCCAGCTTTGTTCTTTTGGCTTAGGATTGTCTTGGCGATGTGGGCTCTTTTTTGATTCATATGAACTTTAAAGTATTTTTTTCCAATTCTGTGAAGAAAGTCATTGGTAGCTTGATGGGGATGGCATTGAATCTATAAGTTACCTTGGGCAGTATGGCCATTTTCACGATATTAATTCTTCCTATTCACGAACATGGAATGTTCTTCCATTTGTTTGTGTCCTCTTTTATTTCGTTGAGCAGTGGTTTGTAGTTCTCCTTGAAGAGATCCTTCACATCCCTTGTAAGTTGGATTCCTAGGTATTTTATTCTCTTTGAAGCAATTGTGAATGGGAGTTCACTCATGATTTGGCTCTCTGTTTGTCTGTTATTGGTGTATAGGAATGCTTGTGATTTTTGCACATTGATTTTGTATCCTGAGACTTTGCTGAAGTTGCTTATCAGCTTAAGGAGATTATGGGCTGAGACGATGGGGTTTTCTAAATGCACAATCATGTCATCTGCAAACAGGGACAGTTTGACTTCCTCTTTTCCTAAATGAATACCCTTTATTTCTTTCTCCTGCCTGATTGCCCTGGCCAGAACTTCCAACACTATGTTGAATAGGAGTGGTGAGAGAGGGCATCCCTGTCTTGTGCCAGTTTTCAAAGGGAATGCTTTCAGTTTTTGCCCATTCAGTATGATATTGGCTGTGGGTTTGTCATAAATAGCTCTTATTATTTTGAGACACGTTCCATCAGTACCTAGTTTATTGAGAGTTTTTAGCATGAAAGGCTGTTGAATTTTGTGGAAGGCCTTTTCTGCATCTATTGAAATAATCATGTGGTTTTTGTTGTTGGTTCTGTTTATGTGATGGATTACGTTTATTGATTTGCATGTGTTGAACCAGCCTTGTATCCCAGGGATGAGGCCAACTTGATCGTGGTGGATAAGCTTTTTGATGTGCTGCTGGATTCAGTTTGCCAGTATTTTATTGAGGATTTCGCACTGATGTTCATAAGGGATATTGGTCTAAAATTCTCTTTTTGTGCTGTGTCTCTGCCAGACTTTGGTATCAGGATGATGCTGGCCTCATAAAATGAGTTAGGGAGGATTCCCTCTTCCTCTATTGATTGGAATAGTTTCAGAAGGAATGGTACCAGCTCCTTTTTGTACTTCTGGTAGAATTTGGCTGTGAATCCATCTGGTCCTGGACATTTTTTGGTTGGTAGACTATTAATTATTGCCTCAATTTCAGAGCCTGTTATTGGTCTATTCAGAGATTCAACTTCTTCCTGGTATAGTCTTGGGAGGGTGTATGCATCCAGGAATTTATCCATTTCTTCTATATTTTCTAGTTTATTTGCATAGAGGTGTT
The DNA here is from genome assembly GCF_000001405.40 of Homo sapiens. Lineage (NCBI taxonomy): Eukaryota > Metazoa > Chordata > Mammalia > Primates > Hominidae > Homo > Homo sapiens. The sequence goes on along the minus strand of NC_000012.12, from coordinate 104,037,511 downwards.
CATAGTATTCTCTGATGGTACTATCGGTGGTGATATCTCCTTTGTCATTTTTTATTGCGTCTGTTTGATTCTTCTCCCTTTTCTTCTTTATTATTCTTGCTAGCAGTCTATTTTGTTGACCTTTTCAAAAAACCAGCTCCTGGATTCATTGATTTTTTGAAGGGTTTTTTGTGTCTCTATCTCCTTCAGTTCTGCTCTGATCTTAGTTATTTCTTGCCTTCTGTTAGCTTTTGAATGTGTTTGCTCTTGCTTCTCTAGTTATTTTAATTGTGATGTTAGGGTGTCGATTTTAGATCTTTCCTGTTTTCTCTTGTGGGCATTTAGTGCTATAAATTTCCCTCTACACACTGCTTTAAATGTGTCCCAGAGATTCTGGTATGTTGTGTCTTTGTTCTCATTGGTTTCAAAGAACATCTTTATTTCTGCCTTCATTTCGCTATTTACCCAGTAGTCCTTCAGGAGCAGGTTGTTCGGTTTCCATGTAGTTGTGCGGTTTTGAGTGAGTTTCTTAATCCTGAGTTCTAATTTGATTGCAATGTGGTCTGAGAGACAGTTTGTTGTGATTTCTGTTCTTTTACATTTGCTGAAGAGTGTTTTACTTCCAACTCTGTGGTCAGTTTTGGAATAAGTGCAGTGTGGTGCTGAGAAAAATGTATATTCTGTTGATTTGTGGTGGAGAGTTCTGTAGATGTCTATTGAGGTCCACTTGGTGCAGAGCTGAGCTCAAGTCTTGGATATTCTTGTTAACCTTCTGTCTCATTGATTTGTCTAATATTGACAGTGGGGTGTTAAAGTCTCCCATTATTATTGTGTGGGAGTCTAAGTCTCTTTGTAGGTCTCTAAGGACTTGCTTTATGAATCTGGGTGCTCCTGTATTGGGTGCATATATACTTAGGAAAGTTAGCTCTTCTTGTTGAATTGATCCCTTTACCATGACGTAATGGCCTTCTTTGTCTGTTTTGATCTTTGTTGGTTTAAAATCTGTTTTATCCGAGACTAGGATTGCAGCCCCTGCTTTTTTTTTGCTTTCCATTTGCTTGGTAGATCTTCCTCCATCCCTTTATTTTGAGCCTGTATGTGTCTCTGCACATGAGATGGGTCTCCTGAATACAGCACACTGATGGGTCTTGACTCTTTATCCAATTTGCCAGTCTGTGTCTTTTAATTGGGACATATAGTCCATTTACATTTAAGGTTAATATTGTTATGTGTGAATTTGATCCTGTCATTATGATGTTAGTTGGTTATTTTGCCCATTAGTTGATGCAGTGTTTTCCTAGCATCGATGGTCTTTACAATTTGGCATGTTTTTGCAGTGGTTGATACTGGTTTTTCCTTTCCATGTTTAGTGCTCCCTTCAGGAGCTCTTGTAAGGCAAGCCTGGTGGTGACAAAATCTCTCAGCATCTGCTTGTCTGTAAAGGATTTTATTTCTCCTTCACTTAGTTTGGCTGGATATGAAATTCTTGGTTGAAAATTCTTTTCTTTAAGAATGTTGAATATTGCCCCCCACTCTCTTCTAGCTTGTAGAGTTTCTGCTGAGAGATCTGCTGTTAGTCTGATGGGCTTCCCTTTGTGGGTAACCTGACCTTTCTTTGTGGCTGCCCTTAACATTTTTTCCTTCATTTCAACCTTGGTGAATCTGACAATTATATATCTTGGGGTTGCTCCTCTCGAGGAATATCTTTGCGGTGCTCTCTGTATTTCCTGAATTTGAATGTTGGCCTGCCTTGCTAGGTTGGGGAAGTTCTCCTGGATAATATCCTGAAGAGTGTTTTCCAACTTGATTCTATTCTCCCCGTCACTTTCAGGTACACCAATCAAATGTAGATTTGGTCTTTTCACATAGTCCCATATTTCTTGTAGGTTTTGTTCATTTCTTTTTACTCTTTTTTCTTTTAACTTCTCTTCTCACTTTATTTCATTAATTTGATCTCCAATTGCTGATACCCTTTCTTCCACCTGATCGAATTGGCTATTGAAGCTTGTGCATGCATCACATAGTTCTCGTGCCATGGTTTTCAGCTCCATCAGGTCATTTAAGGTCCTCTGTACACTGTTTGTTCTAGTTTGCCATTTGTATAATCTTTTTTCAAGGTTTTTAGCTTCCTTATAATGGGTTCAAACATCCTCCTGTAGCTTGGAGAAGTTTGTTATTACCAACCTTCTGAAGCCTACTTCTGTCAGCTCGTCAAAGTCATTCTCCGTCCAGCTTTGTTCCATTGCTGGCGAGGAGCTGTGATCCTTTGGAGGAGAAGAGGCGCTCTGGTTTTTAGAATTTTCAGCTTTTCTGCTCTGGTTTCTCCCCATCTTTGTGATTTTATCTACCTTTGGTCTTTGATGTTGGTGACCTACAACTGAGATTTTGGTGTGGATGTCCTTTTTGTTGGTGTTGATGCTATTCTTTATTGTTTGTTAGTTTTCCTTCTAACAGTCAGGTCCCTTAGCTGTAGGTCTGTTGGAGTTTGCTGGAGGTCCACTCCAGACCCTGTTTGCCTCGGTATCACCAGCGGAGGCTGCAGAACAGCAAATATTGCAGAACAGCAAATATTGCTGCCTGATCCTTCCTCTGGAAGCTTCGTCCCAGAGGGGCACCCACCTGTATGATGTATCAGTTGGCCCCTACTGGGAGGTGTCTCCCAGTTAGGCTACATGGGGGTCAGGGACCCACTGAGGGAAGCAGTCTGTCTGTTCTCAGAGCTCAAACACCATGCTGGGAGAACCACTGCTCTCTTCAGAGCTGTCAGACAGGGATGTTTAAGTCTGCAGAAGTTTCTGCTGCCTTTTGTTCAGCTATGCCCTGCCCCCAGAAGTGGAGTCTACAGAGGCAGCTGGCTTTGCGGAGCTGTGGTGGGCTCTGCCCAGTTCAAGCTTCCCCACCCACTTTGTTTACCCACTCAAACCTCAGCAATGGTGGACGCCCTTCCACCTGCCAGGCTGCTGCCTCGCAGGTCGATCTCAGACTGCTGCGCTAGCAGTGAGCAAGGCTCCATGGGCATGGGCCCCACCAAGCCATGCACAGGATGTAATCTCCTGGTGTGCTGTTTGCTAAGACCACTGGAAAAGTGCAGTATTTGGGTGGGAGTGTCCCGTTTTTCCAGGTAAAGTCTGTCACAGCTTCCCTTGGCTAGGAAAGGGAAATCCCCCGACCCTTTGGGCTTCTCAGGTGAGGCAATGCCCTGCCCTGCTTCGGCTCACCCTCTGTGGGCTGCACCCACTGTCCAACCAGTCCCAATGAGATGAACGAGGTACCTCAGTTGGAAATGCAGAAATCACCCATCTTCTGCATCAATCACGCTGGGAGCTGCAGACCAGAGCTGTTCCTATTCAGCCATCTTGGAATGGAATCCAGGCATACATAATTTTTAAGGAAGTAAGCATGTTCTTGTAAATATTGTCTGAATAATTAAAATGACATAAAGTTATTGATAAGAACATTTTATCAAATATTAGTTCTCAAATAAGAGTTTTTTGTTTGCTTTCTTCAGCTTTATTGAGGTATAATTAACAAATAAAAAATGTATATATTCAGCCAACCCTGGTAGCTCAAGCCTGTAATCTCAGTGCTTTGGGAGACCAAGGTGGGAGGATTGATAGAACCCAGGAGCTCAAGGTTACAATGAGCTATGATTGCACTACTACACTCCAGCCTGGGTGACAATCCTGTCTCTGAAAAAAAATATATACATATATATATATATATATACACACACACACACATATATACACACACACACACATATATATATATTTTCAAGGAGTACAATGTTTTAATATACACATTGTGAAATGATTACCACAATCAAGCTAATTAACAAATCCATCACCCTCACGTAGTTGCCTTTTGCGTATGTGCAGTGAGAACTCTTAAGATCTACCCTCTTAGTAGATTTCAAGTATACAATACATTATTAGTAATAACAGTCACCATGCTGTGCATTAGGTCTCCAGAACTTGCTCATCTTATAACGGCAAGCTTGTACCCTTTGACCGACATTTCCCCATTTCCCCACCTCTCTGTCCCTGGTAACCACCCTTCTACTCTCTGTTTCTGTAAGTTCAACTTTGTAGATTTCTCATATAAGTGAACATGCTGTATTCATTTTTCTTTACCTGGCTTATTTCACTTAGCATAATGTCCTCCAGGCTCACCCATATTGTCACAAATGGCATGATTTTCTTCTTTTCTAAGGTGAAATAATATTTTATTTTGTGCATATATATGTCTACATACACACACATACTCATATATATACCACATTTCTTTATCCACTCATCCATTTATGGACACAGGTTAATTCCATATCTTGGCTATTCTGAATAGTGCTGCGGGCTGGGTGCGGTGGCTCACACCTGTAATCCCAGCACTTTGGGAGGCTGAGGTGGGCAGATCACCTGAGGTCAGGAGTTGGAGACCAGCCTGGCCAACATGGTGAAACCCTGTCTCTACTAAAAATATACAAAAATTAGCCGGGCATGGTGATGTGCACCTGTATTTCTAGCTACTTGGGAGGCTGAGGCAGGAGAATCGCTTGAACCCCGGAAGCGGAGGTTGCAGTGAGCCAAGATTGTGCCACTGCATTCCAGCCCAGGTGACGATATAACGAATCACTGTCTCAAAAAAAAAAAAAAATAGTGCTGCAATGAACCTGAGAGTGTAGATCTAGCTTTGATACTGATTTTCTTTCCTTTGGATATATACCCTAAAGTAGGATAGCTGCATCATATGGTAGCTCTATTTTGAATTTTTTGAGAGACCTCCATATTGTTTTCCATAATGGCTGTTCCAAATTACATTCCCACTAGCAATGTACAAGGGTTCCCTTTTCTCTGCATCATCACCAACACTTGTTATCTTTTGACTTTTTGATAATAGCCATTCTAACAGATGTGAAGTGATATCCTATTGTGGTTTGGATTTGAATATCCCTGATTATTAGTGATGTTTAGTATCTTTTCATATACCTCTTGGCCATTTGTGTGCTTTCTTTAGAGAAATGTCTATTCTGGTCCTTTGCCTATTTTTTTTTTTTTTTTTTTTTTTTTGCTATTGCACATCACTCCTTTATTATACTGATATGGAAAAAGGATTTAGTACAGTTATGCTCAGATGAACACTGGACCCATGTGGCAGGGTCAAGCAACTAGAACATGATTCAGAAATCAGTGAAAGATACACTTGGACAGGACCAAGAGGCATTTCACTGCCATGAAACAAGGCAGGAAGGGATTCTAATACACAAACCAGGAAGCACTCCTGCCCCTCAGAGGTCAAGGAGCTGATCCTATATTGGTATGAGGAATGGCTTATTTTCTGATGACCACATGTGGGACTATTTCAACCGCCACAAGAAACCCCAGAAGGGTTATTGTTTTGTATTATTTATATATACTATACTTTTTTAATAAAAGTAAATTAACACATAACGAAATTCAGGATTGATCCCAACCTAGAGCCAGATCCTCTGGGGTCAGGGAGGAAACAGTTGTCACATCACCACGCAGGTTACATTCGTCTTCCACTGGAATGACTAGAGCCCCCAGGCAGTAGGCAGTGACCTGACTGCAGAAGAGCAGAGGACAGACTCCGCTCATGGGGACAGACAGGCTCTGTTGCTTCTCCTCACTGGTCATGGCTTAGCATGGTTCCTCCCCAAAGTCCTTAGTAAACAAAGCACTCGCAAAAACCCAAGTCACTACTTTTAAACTCTGTTGGATAAGGGGAGCTTTTCCATAGCTTAGACTGAGAACCTGTGCTCTAGAACTGCTATTCTGACTAGATTGTATGAAGGGAGTGGGTGCAGGCGACAAAATGGCTAAAATGAAAATGGGAGCCACTGGTCCCCATCTGCAGCTACAACTCAAGATGTCTACAGATGTGGTCAGTGTGACATGTGCAGGTGGGAGGGGCAGAGGGACAAGATGGGCAGGGAGGGTGCTCCTGGGGACAGTATCTTCCCCGCCGGCCTTCACTTCTTGGCCTTGCCCTGGGCAGCCACAGCTTCCATGGCTTTGCGCACCGTCTCCTCATCCCCCAGAAACTGCATGGGCTTGATAGGCTTCAAGTTCTTGTCCAATTCATAGACAATGGGAATACCAGTCGGCAGGTTCAGCTCCATGATAGCCTCTTCAGAGAGACCCTCCAGATGCTTGACAATGCCCCGGAGGCTGTTGCCATGGGCTGCAATCAGTACACGTTTCCCCTCCTTGATCTGGGGAACTATTTCTTCATTCCAGAAGGGCAGAGCTCTGGCAATAGTATCCTTCAGACTCTCACAGGAGGGTAGCTGATCTTCTGTGAGGTCTGCATACCTGCGATCCTTACTGATGTTGCTGTAGAAAGGATGGTCGGGCTCCATCGGAGGTGGTGGGACATCATAGGAGCGCCTCCAGATCTTCACCTGGGCCTCACAATGCTTTGCAGCAGTTTCTGCTTTATTGAGACCGGTTAGACCCCCATAGTGCCGCTCATTGAGGCGCCAAGTCCTCACCACTGGCAGCCACATCTGATCAATGGCATCTAGCACTGTCCAGAGGGTCCGGATCGCTCTCTTCTGCACTGAGGTGAAGCAGATGTCAAACTCATAGCCAGCATCTCGTAGCGCCTGCCCGCCGCGCTTCGCCTCCTCGTGGCCCGCCGGGCTCAGGTCGGCGTCGTACCAGCCGCTGAAGCGGTTCTCCAGGTTCCATGCGCTCTCGCCGTGCCGGATCAGCACCAGTTTGTAGGCGGCCATGGCGGCGGGCTGGGGATGCGGCACCGACTGGGATTAGCAGATTCCGGAGTCCTTTGCCTATTTTTAAATCAAGTTATTTGTTTTTTTGCTATTGAGTTGTATGAGTTTCTTATATATTTTGGATATTAACTTCTTATCAGGTATATGGTTTGTAAATAATCGCTCCCATTCCACAGGTTGCTTTTTTATTTTATTGATTGCTCCTTTGCAGTGCAGAAACTTTTTAGTTTGATGTAGTCCCACTTGTTTGTTTTTGTTTTTGTTAACTGTGCTTTTGGTGTCATATTCAAAAAATCATTGCCAAGACCAATGCCACAGAGCTTTCCCCCTGTTTTCTTCTAGTTTTACAGTTTCACATCTTACACATTTAATTATGTTATTATTAAATTAATAAATAATAAAAATGAATAATTACTTATTTAATATGTAATTCATTTTGAGCTGGTTTTGTGTATGATAAAGATCCAATTTTTTTGTTGTTAATATCCAGTTTTCCCAGCACCACTTACTAAAGAGACTATCCTTTCCCCATTGTGTATTCTTTGTGCCTTATGGAAGAATAGTTGACCATATATGCGTGGATTTATTTCTGGGCCCTCTATTCTGTCCCATTGGTCTATGTTCCATTGATCTATGTGTCTGTTTTTATGTCAGTACCATACTTTTTGGATTACTATAACTTTGTAAATATAATTTAAAATTAGGAAATGTGATGCCTTCAGTTTTGTTCCTGCTCAAAATTGCTTCAGTTATTTGGGGGCTTTTGCGGTTCCATATGCATTTTAGGATTTTTTTTTTCTATTTTTGTGAAAAATGTCATTGGAATTTTGAAAGGGACTACATTAAATCTGTAGATTGCTTTGGGTGTTATAGACATTTTGACAATGTTGATTCTTTCAACCCCCATCACTTTTTTGAGGGCATAACTATATAAAGTTCTAGAATGTTAGATCTAATAGAATTGTCTGCTTCAGTCATAATAATGAGGAAACTGAGACGGAGAGAGATGGAGTTATTTCCCTAGAATCACACGATCATAATGGCTTGTATAAGTGGGGTTCCAACTGTTTGCCAAGTACTGTTGTAAGTACTTAATGCATGTAAATGTATTACTGCATTTAATCCTCATAAAGCCTTATATTACCTTCATTTCCTCAACTTTTTATTTAGAAATTGTTTTAATTTATAGAAAAGTTGCAAGAAGAGTATAATGGCTCAACCAATTTAGCCACATTAGCATTGTCTCAGTACCTCTCACTCTCTCTCTTTCTACACACAAACAACCCTGAACCTCTTGACCTTTCACCCCTAAATTAATGTATGTGTCTCCTACTATCAATGATATACTCCTACATAACCATACCACATTTATTCTCTCAGGAAATTTAACATTAATGCCATAATATTTCCCCAATTTCCCAAAAATAAACTTTGTAGCTCTTTTTAAACATTTGGTTCAGGATGCAGTCAAGGTTTACACTTTTTTTTTTGAGATGGAGTCTCACTCTGTCACCAGGCTGGAGTACAGTGGTGCAATCTCGGCTCACTGCAACCTCAGCCTTCCAGGTTCAAGCGATTCTCCTGCCTCAGCCTCCGAAGTAGCTGGGACTACAGGTGCACGCCACCATGCCCAGCTAATTTTTGTGTTTTTAGTAGAGATGGTGTTTCACTATGTTGGCCAGGATGGTCTCGATCTCTTGACCTCATGATCCACCTGCCTCAGCCTCCCAAAGTGCTGGGATTACAGGCGTGAGCCACTGAGCCCAGCCAAGGTTCACACTTTCCATTTCATTGTTACATTATCAAGCTTATAGAGTTCCCAACGTGGTTTTTTTTTTTCCTTTCATGATATTGACATATTTGAAGAGACCAGGGCAGTTCGTCTTCAGAATGATCCATGATTTGGATTTGACCATGACGTTATCCATGATAGAATCAGGTTAAATATCACTGGCAGGAACATATTGATATTTGTCACACCTCAAGGCACAGGATTTCAATTTGTTTCATTTTGTTGATCTTAAGTGTGATTACTTTGAGAATGTGAATTTTCTGTACCCCAACAACATTTTACCCCCTATCACTTTAGCATTCATTGAGGTTTTTTGCCTGAATTACTTATTAACATGTTGATTGTAAAATGGTATTACAGACATTTTATAAGTGAGGAATCTTAAGTTTCCAAGGGAAGGGGTTCTTATATGGTTCTTATACATTGTGCAGCTAGGATTTGAACCCAGGTGGTCTGACTCCAAGGCCCACAGTTTAATACACTAATTGTACTGGAAAAGGATTTCCACATGATTTTCCACTTGACTTTAGTGCCCTCAGTCAGAAACTGTGTCTTGTCCACTTGGGATTTTTTTGTTTTTTGAAACCCAGGAAGTGCCACCATCAGAGATGAGATGAAATTGTAAAAAGGAAGGATAGGATGAAATTCAGGCATGCCAAATCTTTATGCAATTATACACACACACACACGCACATGCACACACACACATCATTTTTTAAAGCAAACTTTCTGTTGAAACTGCATGCTTCTCAAGGACACCACTCCTGCCATATGGCTTAAGGTTTCCTACAATAATCAGCTTCGGGAACTTACCTTCTTGGCTCATTACTGCTGTGCCTTGCAATTGGCATGCGATTATCTGCATCCTAAAGCTTCTTGTTTCATCTTAAAGAGATTTCAGAGTTGGCAACACACTGGACGGGGAAAGATGAACCCCCTGTTCAGATGAATCAGCATTTACTATTCCTCTGCCTCTGGAGTGGTCTCATAGTTACAGTAACCGAGCACTCAGGAAAGAGCTGACCAGCATTGCCTGTGAGCTGTAAAGCTTCATCAACACACGGTGAAATCTGTTATCTGGACCCCAATTCTCCTAACCTCTGGTGTAGCCGCAAGGGCCCTTTGAGAGCTCAGCACTTTGTGGTTAAGGGCTTTGAAGTCAGAGAGCTCTAATTTTTAATCCCAGCCCCATCATTTACAAGATTTATGATTTTGAGCAAGTTACTGAACCTCTCCGAGCCACAATGTCCTCATTTGAAAAATGGAGATAGTAATACATCCACTTGAAAGGTGTTAGAATTAAAGGAGATAATGTACCTAAATAGCCTGGAGCTGCGTGCAAATTAAATTCGCAATAAATGATAGCTATGATTATTATCTGACCCCTACAAACTGCTCCCCATATTCACACACCATTCTGGCCACAGCAAATTTATTTGTAAAGACTTTTGTTTGTAAGAAACTGAACCTCATTTCAAAACAGTTTAAGGAAAAATTGTGAAGTTACTGGTTTTCATAACTAGGATGTCCAGGAAGTGGATGGCCTGAGGGACTTAGAGCTCAGCTTCCTTCTGGTCTTTGCCCCGTTCTCTCCTGTGATACCAGATGGCTTCTTTCATGGAGTGGGAGGAGGAGCCACATGGCCAAAGACCATTCTAGGCTTCCATCATCCCCGAAAGTTAGATGCATACATATCACCTAAAATCCTAAATGGATAAAAGGTACCTGAAACCCTATCTCAGAAAAATCCTAAGTAGTGTGCTGTTTTGACCCATTTCTTTTCCAGGTGCAAAAGGGGAAGAGGAGAAGGGTCATTGCCATGCACTCAAAGCTCTTGGGTGTTCAGTCTATAGCCCGGGAAAATAAAAGGAACATTGTAGCTGGTTGTTTACAGTGAATTAAAGAGTTGAATCAAATCTCTGTTGAAGAGTTTTCCTAGATGACTGCCAGCAAATTCTCATAACACTTTGGTTCATGAAACTGTGGGGACCTATGATATCCTTCCTTTCTCAATTACCTCCTCGGGCTATCTCTGTCATGTTGTTAGTTTCTAAAGGTTATTATTCCTGGTTTGCAGTCTGCAGCCTCCCGTCAAATGTCAAGTTCAGAAGTTCCTTTTAAAGACCATAGTTAAGAAGGATCAACTTAATTTTAAAACAAACTTTGAGTTTTCAAGACAAATTGTTTTTCATGGCAAATTAACTTTTTTTGTGTGAGATAGAGGAAGTCAGTTGCCAACTCCTGGGGTAATTGGCAAAATGTCACAAACAAGTGAATGACCATAAAAATGTGACAATATTTAACTTTAGATTTTACAGTAAAATGAATGTTGTCATCTAAAATCCTTATCTAATGGTTAAATTTTATTTTTTCATCAAACCTGTCCTATCCTATGCTTTGCTTAATGCCTACCACTTCTCCTAATGAATATCCAAGGTATTGTATTAAGCATATAGATAGATACATTGTAAATTGGGAAAACCGGGAAACAAAGTCTTAACAGGTATATTTCGAGAATAGAGGGAGGGTGTCTTAGCCTTCTTGATTTCAGAGCACAAATAAAATACTCCAGAATATAAAGCAAAGATCGAATTAGAATTTGGGGAAATGTTTGGTTGAAAGTTTTTCATGGTAGATCAACCCTTTTCTTGCCTGCTTGGTCCTGATAGTACTCTGAGAACATTATTGAATTTTTTTTTTTTTTTTTTGAGACAGAGTCTTGCTCTGTCGCCCAAGCTGGAGGGCAGTGGTGTGATCTCGGCTCACTGCAACCCCCTTCTCGCAGGTTCAAGTGATTCTTGTGCCTCAGCCTCCCGAGTAGCTGAGATTACAGGTGTGGCCCACCACGTCCAGCCAATTTTTGAATTTTTAGTAGAGATGGGGTTTCACCATATTGTCCAGGCTGGTCTTGCATTCCTGGCCTGAAGTGATCCGCCAGCCTCAGCCTCCCAAAGTGCTGGAATTACAGTTGTGAGCCACCATACCTGGCCACATTATTGAATCTTTATTTGATGATGTAGCTCACTTTTTAGTCACTGATGACTAATCATATCTGTAATTCTTCCTGTAGAAAGTATAGGAGATAATAAAAAACCTGTGTGGATCACTTGCTCCCTTCTTTGGGACACATGTCATCCTCTAGGTTCAAACTCCTTGCCAGATTTGAAGTCCCCTTTGAATACCCTGAAATTGGAACAAAATATTAAAGAAAAAAATCAGTTCCACAGAAGGAATAACAAATGGTCTCAACAAATGGCTTTCTCAACAAATGGTCTTGGAACAACTGGATAACCATATGCTAAAAGATTAAGTTTAATCTACATTTCATGATATATACAAAAATTAACTCTGAATGTAAATATTAAGTCCAAAACTATAAAATTCTCCCAGAAAACATAGGAGAAAGTCATCATGACCTTAGGTTAGGCCAAAATTTATTAGATATGATACCAAAAGCATGATCTATAAAAGAAAAAAAGGCCAGGTGTGGTGGCTGATGCCTGTAATCCCAGCACTTTGAGAAGTCAAGGCAGGCAGATCACTTGAGCTCAGGAGTTCAAGACCAGCCTGGGCAACATGGCAAAACCCCATCTCTACAAAAAATACAAAAATTAGCCAGGTGCAGTGGTGTGCACCTGTAGTCCCAGCTGCTTGGGAGGCTGAGGTAGGAGAATCGTTTGAGCCTGGGAGGTGGAGGTTGCAGTGGGCCAAGATTATACCACTGTACTTGAGCCTGGGTGATGGAGTAAAACCCTGTTTCAAAAAAAAAGAAAAAAATAAAATGAATTTGACATCATCAAAATTAAATACTTTTGCTCTGCAAAATTTATTGTTAAGAGACTGAAAAGACAAGTCACATACCAGGGGAAAGTATTTGCAAATCGCGTAACACAGGGCTTTTTTTTTTTTTTTTTTTTTTGACAAAGTCTCACTCTGTTGTCTAGGCTGGAGTGCAGTGGCACAATCTCGGCTCACTGCAACCTCCACCTCCCAGGTTCAGGCAATTCTCCTGCCTCAGCCTCCCGAGTAGCTGGGATTGCAGACCTGCACCACCACGCCTGGTTAATTTTTGTGTTTTAGTAGAGAAAGGGTTTCACCATGTTGGCCAGGCTGGTCTTACACTCCTGACATCAAGTGATCTGCCAGCCTCAACCTCTCAAAGTGCTGGGATTACAGGCATGAGCCACAGCACTGAGGCCTAACACAGGACTTGTATGCGGAATATATAAACAACTCCCAAAACTCAAAAATAAGAAAATAATTCTATAAAAATGCACAAAAGATTTAAACAGACATTTCGCCACATGTGGATGGTAAATAAACACACAAAAAGATGCTCAACGTGAGTAATCATTAGGGAAATGCAAATTAAAATCACAATGCAATTCACCCATTATAACAGCTAAAATAAAAAAAATACCGGCAATACCAAGTGCTGACAAGAACACAGAGCAACTGGAACTTTCTCACCATGCTAGTGGGAATACAAAATGAAAATGTTTCCACTCAGGAAAAAAGATTGTCAGTTTCTTTCTTTTTCTTTTCCTTTTTTTTCAGACAAGGTCTCTCTCTGTCACCGGGGCTGGAGTGCAGTGGTGCGACCATGGCTCACTGCAGCCTCGACCTCCAGGCTCAAACAATCCTCCCACCTCAGCCTCCTGAATAGCTGGGACCACAGGTGCCCACCACCATGTCTGGCTAAATTTTTTTCTCTAACTCCCCACATTTGTTTTTTGAGGGTTTTTTTGTTTGTTTTGTTTTGCTTTCATACAGACAGGGGTCTCACTATGTTGCCAGGGCTGGTCTCGAACTCCTGAGCTCAAGTGGTCCTCCCATCTTGGCTTCCCAAAGTGCAGGGATTATAGGCATGAGCCACGGCAGCCAGCCTAGATTGGCAATTTCTTATAGAGTTAAATATATATCTACCCAAAAGACCCAGCAATACCACTTCTAGGTAGTTACCCTCTATTCACACAAAAACCTGTAAACAAGTGTTTACAGAAGTATTATTCATAATCACAAAACAATGGAAACAACCCAAATGTCCTTCAGTGGGTGAATGGATAAACTGTGGTATATCCATTCAACGGAATACCATTCAGCAATAAAAAGGTACAAACTATTGGTAAAGGCAATAGCTAGTATGAATCTCAAAAACATTATGCTAATTGAAAGAAGAAAGTCTCGCAAAATATTACATCCTGTAGGATTCCATTTATATGACATTCTGGAAAAGACAAAACTACAGAGACAGAGAACCTATCAGTGGTTGCCAAGGGCTGGGTGTTGGGCAGGGCCTGACTACAAAGTGGCGGTGCAAGGGAATTCTTTGAGTGTTGGCATTGTTCTCTACCCCATTTGTGGTGGTCGTTACAAGAATCTATGCATGTGTAAAAGTCCATAGAACTATAGAAAAAAAAGGAAATTCTAATGTATGTAAATTTTTAAAAACTTAAAAATCAGCTTGTCAAATTTTGAAGCTGACATGGTAATATTCCTTTAGTAAATGTGTCATGGAAAAGAAGCCTATTTAAAATGAAAACAGACATACTGAATGTTTATTATACAGAACCATTTGTGTTCCCCTGGGTGAAGCACTCTTTCTGATTCTTCAATGCAGTCTAAAGAATTTAGAAAATACTACCTAATAAAAAAGAAATAGTATGCATAGCAATTTTTTAAAATTTTATTTTATTTTAAGTTTTGGGATACATGTGCAGAATGTGCAGGTTTGTTACATAGTTAAGTGTGTGCCATGGTGGTTTGCTGCATCTATCAACCCATCACCTAGGTATTAAGCCCCACGTGCATTAGCTATTTATCCTGATGCTCTCCCTCCCCCTGATGCATAGCAATTTTTAAGAACATCAAGAAAGAAACTCACAGTAGGAAATACGTGTAAATCCAGAAGACTGGAAAAAAATTTGCTTGTCAACATGTATCAAATACCTTGGCAGAAAAATAGTTCTCATGGGCCAATTCTTTATGCTCTGAAGCAGCAGCTGGTCTCTTTTGTTAAAAGAAGTTGTTCTTGGAATACATCTAGTTAATATGCCTCTTAGAATTTGCCCTGCATTTTTCTTATGCAAAGGACTTTATGTAAAAAGTTGGCCTGATAGAACATGAGAATGGTTGATGATGTGACAGTTATAGTTCTTGCTGCTTAGCAAAATATAATGCATCGTGTGTGTGTGTGCATGTGTGTGTGTGTGTGCATGTGTGTGTGTGTGTGTGTGTAGAATCTCCTGTGCTTACTTATATATATGAATAGATAATACATTAGTATGATTTGACATTCTGTAGATGCCAAAGCTGCTATTTATTAGTCAGAACACTCGTGTGGGGCTGTGCCAGCCATTTATAGCTGGTACCCATTTTGATTGATCAGTGCCAAGGGCCATATGAGTTATTAAATATGTTCAATATAAGTCCTGTAAGACTATCAACTGAAAAAAATCTCCCTTTTTCTACCAGCTGACCTCTATATTTTCTGTAATCTTCAACACAGAGACAAAAAGGCCTTTTAATATTGGGTTACTTGAAGTTGGGTAGAGGTGTGTATTTTAATTACTTTAATCGTGTATAACAATGTGAAACAGGCATATCTCATCGCAAATCTGTCCCTGACAGTCCTCCAGCCTTTCTTCCAGGGATCTCTTTCTTTCCATTTGTGTTCCCTTCTCCTTGCAGTCACTCTGAAAGCCTGCCCTCTCCTGATATTTATCTGGGACCAGATAAACATCCTACTGTGGGATGAGATAAACTTTCTCATCCCACAGTGACCATCCCCTGGAATATTATTGCTGTGACTTGGGGCTACAAAAAGACACACGACAAATATGGCAGCTCTTCTGAAAGGAGCAGTTTTTCTTTTTTTCTTTTCTTTTCTTCTTTCTTTCTTTCTTTTTTTTTCTTTCTTTCTTTCTTTCCCTTCTTCTTCTTCTTCTTCTTCTTCTTCTTCTTTTTCTTCTTCTTCTTCTTCTTCTTCTTCTTCTTCTTCTTCCTCTTCCTCTTCCTCTTCCTCTTCTTCCTCTTCTTCTTCTTCTTCTTCTTCTTCTTCTTCTTCTTCTTCTTCTTCTTCTTCTTCTTCTTCTTCTTCTTCTTCTTCTTCTTCTTCTTTCTTCTTCTCCTTCTCCTTCTCCTTCCTTCCTTTCTCTCTTTCTTTTCTTTTCTTTCTTCTCTGTCTTCTTTCTTTTTCTTTTTTAAAACAGGGTTTTGCTCTGTCTCCCAGCTGGAGTGCAGCAGCCATGGCTCACTGCAGCCTCAACCTCCTGGGCTCAAGTGATCCTCCTTCCTCAACCTCCCGAGTAGCTGGGACTACAGGCATGCACCATGATGCCTGCTAATTTTTGTATTTTTTTGTAGAGATTGTTGCAGGGGGGGTCTTATAATGTTGCCCAGGCTTGTCTCCAACTCCTGGGCTCAAGCATCTGCCCACCTCGGCCTCCAAAAGTGAGCCACCACGCCCAGTAAAACACTTAAAATGTCACTTTAGGTCCTGTGGGAAGAGCAGCGTGGAGGTGGGCTGAGGTTAGAAGGTGCAGAGCGTGGAAGAAGATTGTGAGCTGAGTATTGGACATCTGTTCTTGAATAGTCCCTGGGCCTGCCATAGGAAAGGAAGTTCTCCAGGGTAAGTGACTTGGACTTTTCCTTTTCCTCTAATAACATTTTTTCTTGGGCTGTGGCCGAACCTTAGGATTCGGTTCATCCCTTATTCAGACCAGGTTAGCTTTTCCCTGCTCTCACCTAGCCATCCCACCTAGGCACAGAAGACCTTGCTTTCATAACAGATAGCTTTCTCCCTGAGGGGGGAACTCTGCCAGCAGTTAAAGGAGTGATTCCTTTCCACTACATTCTTGCACAGTTCCCATGAATTTGAAGGTAAAACAAAAAACATGAAAGATACTTTGAGCTCATTGTGAGCAATGTTGAGTATTCACTCTCCTTTACCATCAGAATTCCCTTGGGAATGTTTGAAAAACAGTGCTTTAGGGCTTTAACAAAGTTAAACACTGATGGAGGGGGTTTAATGCACTTAAAATAAAATCCAAACTCCTCTTCAGGCACAGTAGTATCCGGCCCCTTGGTACCTCTCTGACCTCTTCCATCCAGTCTCTCCTTTGGTCCACTATGATCCAGCCAGTTTGAGTTTCTTGCAGTTCCTAGAATACTTAGAGCTCTTTCCAGCCCCAGGGCCTTTGCACTTGCTGTTCCCTCTGCCTGGGATGCTCCTCTGCATGTTCTGCCCTTGACTGGCTCTTGCTCTTCTTTCCCTCCAATGCCATCTCCTCAATGAAGTTTTTCCTGATTTCTCCTCCTGATGCACTCCCTACCCTTGTTCGTCTTTATCCCAACATCTCCTTTGCTTCCTTCATAGCACTTACCATAATCTAATACTTTTATGTGTCACATTTTAATATCTGTTTCCCCCACTGGACCAAAAGCTTCAGGAGGATAGGGACCAGTACTGTTTTGTTTTTCGGTGCATCACTGGGAAGTGGCACAGTGCTGGGCTTTTAGTAGGATCTCAATATGTAAATACTGAATGAATGATTGAATTGAGTATAATGCATGCCCCTCCAAGGGATTCTTGAAGATGTAAAATCTGCCTTATCGAGGAACGAAGTTATGATAGTAGAAAGATGGCATAGGGTTGATATTTTAGATCAGGGAGATCTAGTGTGATACTTCCAGTTTCTGCCATCTGCTCTGCTGACCCAGAAGGCTGACAGAGCTCTTTTTACAAGAGGTTAAAAAAAATTCTGGGCTGGGCACTGTGGCTCACATCTATAATCCCAGCACTTTGGGAGGCTAAGATGGATGGATTGCTTGAGGCTAGGAGTTCGAGACCAGCCTGGGCAACATGGCAAAACCCCATCTCTACTAAAAACAAAAAAAATTTAGCTGGGTGTGGTGGTGCATGCCTGTAGGTCCAGCTACTTGGGAGGCTGAGGAAGGAAGATCGCTTGAACCTGGGAGGGGGAGATTGCAGTGAGCCAAGATCGCACCACTGCATTCCAGCCTGGGTGATGGAGCGAGACTCTATCACCAAAAAAGAAAGAAAGAACTTCTGAAGACAAAAGATTAGCTTTTGAGGACCCTTAGTAAGGTTTGTTCAACCAGAGGCATTGCTTTTGAAGACATGGGCTAGTATTTATTTTGTTTCCAAAATTTTAGATTTGGAGCAGTAAAAAATGATCACACACTTCACGATATATCAGTCTTTCAGGGAAGGCATAGTCCTTAACACTTGTTGATGAGTTTTAAGTTGATTCTCCTTTAAACAGATTTTTTTTCCTTTAATCCACAGGTTACAGTTCTTATCCGCGTGAATACACATGGCTCTGTTACGAAAAAGTAAGATTTCAACTTTTGAAAATAATGATTTAAAAACATATTTGGGAGGATGGTTTTGAGGCTGGGGCTTGGCTCTTTTCTTCTTTCTTGGATTGTGTTTGATTTTCATGGATAGTTTTCCCACAGGCACTTTTTGGCATCATCATTTCCAGATGATTCCCATGGAGAGTTGTTCAGTATTTTAGTCAGAAGTGGACTTATCGGCTGGGCGCACTGGCTCACGCCTGTAATCCTAGCACTTTGGGAGGCTGAGGTGGGCGGGTCAGTTGAGCTCGGGAGTTCGAGACCAGCCTGGGTAACATGGAGAGACCCCATCTCTACAAAAAATACAAAAATTAGCCAGGCATGGTGGCGGACACCTGTAGTCTCAGCTACTCGGGAGGCTGAGGCAGGGGGATCACTTGAGCCTGGGAGGCAGAGGCTGCAGTGAGCTGAGATTGCACCACTGCATGCCAGCCTGGGAGACAGAGTGAGACCCTGTCTCAAACACACAAAAAAAAAAAAAAAAAAAGAAGAAGAAGTGGAAGTGAACTTACAGCAGGGATCATATATTTCTATAAAACTTGCAAAAATAATGCATTTTCTCGTTCGGAATAAATATTCATGTTCATAGCTAATTTAGCATTTGTAATTTGTAATTTTGCGTTCTTAGTCTTAAAGAGTCATCTCGAATCTTCATACCCATCAGAACCTGGATTTGCCTCTGATTTTAGATCCAGTAGTTTGTGAATTTGAGGAGAAACATAGTAACCTAATTCTGTGACCCTCAGGGTAGAGTTGCCAGATTCAGCAAACAAAGACTCAGAACAGGACAACCAGTTAAATTTGAACTTCAGATAAACAACAAATAATTTTTTAGTATAAGTATGTCCCAAATATTGCATGAGACATACTTGCCTGGGTAATTTTTGTATTTTTAGTAGAGATGGGTTTTCACCATGTTAGCCAGGCTAGTCTTGAACTCCTGACCTCAAGTGATCCACCCGCCTCAGCCTCCCAAAGTGCTGGGATTACAGGTGTGAGGCACTGCGCCCGGCCGTGGCAGGTGAATATTAATCGGGCCTGTTGATAAACTGTAGAATTTTGTCCATTTTCTGTCCATTTTCTGCTTCTCTGTAGTTTTGTTTTAAATGGAGTCTAGTATCTGATTGTCCCTGGCTGAATCTGATAATCCATTAAGGCAGGGAGGAACTGGGTGTCAGCAAAATAGAATCACAGCCTCAGGATGTAGCTTTGGAGGGCATCCACGAAGACTCTTTTACAAATGGGAAGACAAAGGCATAGAGGCCAAAAAATAGATGCATATGAAGTCAATAGATTAAGTCTCTTGATGCATAAAAATAATAAAAAATAATACAGGCCAGGTGCGGTGGCTCATGCCTGTATTCCCAGCACTTTGGGAGGCCGAGGCAGGTGGATTGCTTGAGTCCAGGAGTTCGAGACCAGCCTTAGCAACATGGTGAAACCCCGTTTCTACTAAAAAATACAAAAAATTAGCCAGGTGTGGTGATATGTGTCTATAGTCCCAGCTACTTCGGAGGCTGAGGTAGGAGAATCACCTGAGCCTGCAAGGTTGAGGTTACAGTGAGCTGAGATCACACTGCTGCACTCCAGCCAGGGCAACTGAGGTGAGACCCTGTCTCAAAAAAGAAAAAAAAAGATAAAATAATAATAACAATGATGCATAACCATTTGTAAAGTCTTTATTGGGCCTGCATTGCCTTGGTTAACTCTCAAAACAGTAGTGCGAGGTAATGCTTATTATTACAATCTTCATTCAGCAGATAAGCACACCAAGCTCAGAGAGGTTAAGATACCCCTCGGCCATACAGCTAGGAGGTGGTAGAAAAGAGATTTGAGTCTGACTTCAAATTCACACCCTCTTCCCTTCTACCAACTTTTCCCAAACTTTAGGTAGGTGTGCACTACACATGCCAACATGCCATCTTCTCAATTTTTCATCAGCTGTGTTCCTTCTGTCCTAAACATTTCTTAATATTTTCTTTAGGCCAGGCACAGTGGCTCATGCCTGTAATTCCAGCACTTTGGGAGACCAAGGTGGGAGGATCACTTGTGGTCAGAAGTTCAAGATCAGCCTGGCCAACATGGTGAAACCCTGTCTCTACTAAAAATACAAAAATTAGCCAGGCATGGTGGTGGGGGCCTGTAATCCCAGCTACTCGGGAGGCTGAGGCAGGAGAATCGCTTGAATCCAGGAGGCAGAGGTTGCAGTGAGCCAAGGCTGTGCCATTGCACTCCAGCCTGGACAACAAGAGTGAAACTCCATCTCAAAACCAATTTTGTTTTCTTTGACTAATTTTAAAAATTTATAAGTGTACTTCATAATAGAAAGTTTTTATCCTTACTGCAAATGAAAACAGAATGATTTCCTATCATTAAAAAAAAAAGGTAGCTTTAAACACATATACAATTAGGAGAATGTGATTCAACTCTGGGTAGCTTTTGTTGTGTTCCTGCACATAAAATCAGAAAGATTGACTTTCTCATATGCTGATTAAATATTAATGCTATGAACATGAACTTCCTCAGTCATTTCATGCACAACCAGTGCTATATGTTCCATACTCAAGAAAACACTGTTTTACACCACTCTACTTCTCAACAGATCTCAAGGGCCAACATCACTGGAACAAACAGAGCTGGAGGCTTGGAGGCATTGAGGTCTTCTGTTTACCAGGGCAAGAATTTCTTTCTTTCTTCCTTTCTTTCTTTCTCTCTTTATTTTTCTTTCTTTCTTTCTTTCTTTCTTTCTTTCTTTCTTTCTTTCTTTCTTTCTTTCTTTTCTTTCTCTTTCTTTCTTTCCTTCCTTCCTTCCTTCCTTCCTTCCTTCCTTCTTTCTTTCTTTCTTTCTTTCTTTCTTTCTTTCTTTCTTTCTTTCTTTCTTTCTTTCTTTCTTTCTCTCTCCCTTTCTTTCTTTCTTTCTTTTCTTTCTCTCTCTCTCTCTTTCTTTCTTTCTTTCTCTCCTTCTTTCTTTTTTGACAGAGTCTCCCTTTGTCACCCAGACTGGAGTGCAGTGGCATGATCTCGGCTCACTGCAACCTCTGCCTCCCAGGTTTAAGTGATTCTCTTGCCTCAACCTCCTGAATAGCTGGGACTACAGGCATGCGCAACACCTGGCTAATTTTTGTATTTTTAGTAGAGATGGGGTTTTGCTATGTTGGCCAGGCTGGTCTCAAACTCCTGGCCTCCAGTGATCCACCTGCCTTGGCCTCCCAAAGTGCTGGGATTACAGGTGTGAGCCACCACACCCGGCCTGCACATCATCCTTGACCAAGGGTTGAATTAACTGAAAAGCAGCTGTGTCATAATGGCTAAGAACATGTATTTATAATTACTACTGGCTCATAAGAAGAATCACATAAATTCAACAAAATAAAAGCCACATACGGCAGACCCACAGCTAGTATCATACTAAATGGGGAAAAACTGAAAGCCTTTCCTCTTACATCTGGAACACGACAAGGATGGCTGCGTTTCACCACTGTTATTCAACATAGTAGTGGAAGCCCTAGCTAGAGCAATCAGACAAGCAAAAAAAATAAAGGGCATCCAAATTGGAAAGGAAGAACTCAAATTATCCTGTTTGCAGATGATACGTTTTTGTTTTGTTTTGTTTTGGAAGGAAGGTCTTGCTCTATTGCCCAGTGGTGTGATCTTGGCTCACTGCAACCTCCACCTCCCAGGTTCAAGCAATTCTCATGCCTCAGCCTCCCAAATAGCTGGGATTACAGGCATGCACCATCACGCCCAGCTAATTTTTGTATAATTTAGTAGAGATAGGGTTTCACCATATTGCCCAGGCTGGCCTTGAACTCCTGGCCTCATGTGATCTGCCCACCTCAGCCTCCCAAAGTGCTGGGATTACAGGTGTGAGCCACTACAACTGGCCAATATAATCTTATATTTGGAAAATTCTAAAGACTCCAGCAAAAAACTATTAGAACTGATATACAAATTCAGTAAAGATGCAAGACCCCTGAGCAACAATAGTGTTCCAGGTTAATTCTTTCTGTTTGTTTGTTTTTGTATTTGAGACAGGGTCTGGCTCTGTCACCCAGGCTGGAGTAATTTTGGCTCACTGCAGCCTCCACCTCCCAGGCTCAAGCCATCCTCCTATCTCAGCCTCCTTAGTAGCTGAGACTACAGGTGCATGCCACCACGCCCAGCTAATTTGTGTGTGTGTGTGTGTGTGTGTGTGTGTGTGTGTGTGTGTGTTTGTTGTTGTTGAGACAGGGTCCCACTCTGTTGCCCAGGCTGGTCTCGAAACTCCTGAGCTCAGGTGATCCACCTGCCTTGGCCTCCCAAAGTACTGGGATTACAGGCATGAGCTACCACACCTGGCCAGGTTAATTCTTTATTCTATATGCTGTCTGCTTATAGAAAGGTCTCAGATACCACTCCTCTGTGTCATGGAAGGCACCTACTCGCACTACCATTCTAAACTTTGTCACGTGATTTCAGGTTCATAGGTTCAATGTTAATGTGTTTCCATTTCTATTTCAGTTAATCAGGTGCTGCTGTTCCTTCTGATCGTGACCCTCTGTGTGATTCTGTATAAGAAAGTTCATAAGGGGACTGTGCCCAAGAATGACGCAGGTGAGCAGACATGGAATTCATTGAGTTGGGATACCCAGGAATGTGGTTTGAATATGTTCCTCTAGGTCCTTTCAATAGCTGGGTTCAGGGACAAGTGACAGTTTGGTCAACTCCCAAGGACCTGCTAGTAGAATATCCGCCCTAGACCACCTTTTCAGTCGTGCCCTAGGATGGTCGGTGCTATTCAAACTTTAGCATGTGTGAGAGTCACATGGAGAGCTTGTTAAAACACAGCACTGGGCCCACCCGTGAGGTGTAGGATCAGTAGGTATGGTGTGGGGCCTCAAGACTTGCATTTCCGATAAGCTCCTGGTTGAGGCTGATGCTGTAGGTTCTTGGACCACAGGGTGAGTGCACTGCTCCACACTCCATCTCTTTGGAGCTTCTCAATGACTTTGCTTATGGAAACCACCCTCTTTCTCCTCTCCCTGCTGGTTCATTCCCATCAGTGCAAGTCAGCCTCATAACTCTCAACTTGAAAATGGCCCTTCATTGGCCCTGTGGTCTCTCCCAGCTGCACTGAGAACCATGTTTCCCTCCTCGGGGGTGAATTGCCTGAGATGGCACCTTCAAAACTCCAATGCACACACAAAGTCAACCTCCATAAAAATCAGGAAGCACTGTTTATTACATTTTTAATTAATTTACTTTTTTTTTTGAGACAGAATCTCACTCTGTTGCCCCAGCTCAAATACAGTGGCACAATAGCAGCTCCCTGCAGCCTCGACCTCCAGGGCTCAAGCAATCCTCCGGCCTCAGCACCCCAGGAAGTTGGAACTACAGGTGTGTGCCACCACGCCCAGCTAATTTTTTGTAGAAATGGGTTTTGCCATGCTGCTCAGGTTCATCTTGAACTCCTGGGCTCAAGCTGTCCTCCTACCTTGGCCTCCCAAAGTGCTGGGATTACAGGCATGAGCTCCATGCCCAGCTAATTTACTTTTTATATAAATCAAGCAAATACACACTTACGGGCTGGCGATGGTGGCTCATACTTGTAATCCAGCACTTTGGGAGGCTGAGGCGGGAGGATCACTTGAGTCCAGGTGTTTGAGACCAGCCCAGCCTAGGCAACAAAGCAAGACCCCATCTGCATGCACACAAAAAATTACCTGGGCATGGTGGGGCATGCCTATAGTCCCAGCTACTTGGGAGCTGGAATGAGAGGATCACTTGAGCCTAGGAGGTCTAAGCAGCAGTGAGCCCTGATAGTGCCACTGCACTCCAGCTTGGATGACAGAGTGAGACTCTGAATACAGTTATTTGGTGTGTTACATACATTTATTCCACAGTTTTGTTTTTTTTTTCAGTCAGACACTTAGGGACTGGAAACACAACAGTGAACAAAACAATATCCCTATTCCCAGGAAGCTGGCATTTCTTTCTGATTATATTTTGTAATTTAAAAATTCATTTAAAAATAATTAAAAACATGTATAATCTGATCTAAATGAACATGGAATCTGCAAAGAGAATGATTTTCATACAAAGACATATATACAAATGTTCTTAGGGTATAATTCATAGTAGCCCCAAACTGGAAACAATTCACATGTACATCAACTCGTGAGGGATACAAAAAATGTAATTTATCTCACACAATGAAATACTTTTCGACAGTAAAAAGGAACAAATGACTGATACAAGCTGCAATATGGATGAACCTGAAAAAAAACTATGCTAAATAAAAGAAGTCAGACCTGAAAGACCATATATTGTATGATTCCATCTATATGAAATTTCTAGAAAAGGAAAATCTATGGAGACACAGAGCAGATCAGTGGTTGCCTAGAGCTGGGAGTGGGAATGGACTGACTGCAGACCAGGCAGCTCAATGGAACTTTCTAAAATTGGATCTTGGTGATGGTTGTGCAATTCTATAAATTTACTAAACATCATTGTACTGTACGCTTACAATGGGTAAATTTTTAAAAATCTGTATTCGTTTGCTTGGGCTGCCATAACAAAATAGCACAGACTAGGTGGCTAGACCATAGAAATGTATTTTCTCTGGTTCTGGAGGCTGGAAGTCCAGGATCAAGGTGTGAGCAGGTTTTGTTTCTCCTGAGGCCTCTCTCCTTGGCATGCAGATGGCCGCCTTCTTGCTGTGTCCTCACGTGGCCTTTTCTCTGTGCTGCATTCCTGGCTGTGACCCTCTGTGTGATTCTCCTCTTTTCCTCCTTTTATTAGGATACCAGTCTTACTGGGATAAGGCCTACCAAATGGCTTCATTTTAACTTATTTGCCTTTTTAAAGGCAATTAAGTGCATGGACATCCTGAGATGCTGGAAGCTAAGACGTTAACAAACGGACTCTGGAGGACACAATTCAGTCCATAGCAGTATCTACACCTCAATAAACTGTTCTAAAAGAGAGAGAGAGAGAAGGAAGTCACATAAAGACAAATGTCATCTGAACTGACTCCACTCTTCATGCTTCAATCCCTGCTCATAAACCAACACATTCACTCAGCTAATCCCACCACAGACTCCCTTCTTCAGGAAAATAAGTGGATAGGTTTTAAAACAGCTGTTAAAACAGCTCCAAAGAAATGCACATCCTGACTGCCTAATCAGACCTATACAGAGAAACAAAGCATTTGGACCGCATGAATGGATCCATTATCACATGTTTATCCATTCAGTGTTAAAATTTTTTAAAATCGATGTTATAAAATACCATTCAAACGAATGTAGCATTGGCATGGAAGAATGCTTGTGGTATGTTAAATGGGAAAAGCAAGTTGCAGAAGAGACTGAAAAGTATGATTCCATTTTGGTTTTTAAATAATAAGTGTTTAAGGTATATATATATATATATATATATTTTTTTTTTTTTTTTTTTTGAGACAGAGTTTCGCTCTTGTTGCCCAGGCTGGAGTGCAATGGTGCCATCTCGGCTCACCACTACCTCTGCCTCTGGGTTCAAGTGATTCTCCTGCCTCAGCCTCCCGAGTGGCTGGGATTACAGGCATGCGCCACCATGCCTGGCTAATTTTGTATTTTTAGGAGAGATGGGGTTTCTCCATGTTGGTCAAGCTGGTCTCAAACGCCTGACCTCAGATGATCTGCCCACCTTAGTGTCCCAAAGTGCTGGGATTACAGATGTGAGCCACTGCGCCCGGCCCAGGTATATATTCTTTAGTATTACCATTAAGAAGGGTTTAAGGGGCACACACCACACTGGTTGTGTTATATATTGTTATAAAGCAGAGGTCTACTTTTGGAGTGGGAGTGAGAGGTCTGCAGAAAACAGTCACAATTTACCAAATACTCTTCTGTTTGGGCTGAAATTTTTTCAATAATTATGTATTATTTTTTATAATTTGAAAAACATTAATTCAAAGAACTAGTGTTCTAAGTTGATGTCCAGAGGCCCTGTGAAGTCCTACGTTCAAGTAAAACATGGCGGTATTCTCTGTAATATCCCCATTGTGACACTCCATGTAATCTCCCGATACTTCTCTTGTGACTAGTGTGCTGGTCACTCGCAGCTGTCCCACTTGGGGAGAGGTAAGCTGATACACTTGGCTAAAACAATCCTTATTTGAAATGGAATTCTGAGTCATGGCATTAGGAAAGCAGACATTTCCTTTCTTCTAGGAATAGGCGTGGCTTGATCAGAGCTGCTTATGGAATGGACGAAGGCAGTATCATTTCTGTTCCATTCTGCCAGCATTGTGATGTTTACTATTTTTGTTAGGCACCAAATAGTTTCCCATAGCCAACATTTTAATGCTTTGGCTCAGGCACCAGTTGGTACAATGAATCCAAATAATGGAGCAGATAATTCCTAAAGAAACTGCAAGGATGGAGCATTGATGAAGAAGGTACAGTTGATAAGCCTTTCTGCCACATTTCTCCAGTGTGCATTTGTCCTTCATTCTGTCCAGGGGGAACTTTTTGGCAGAGAGCAGTATTTTTGGCTTAAGTTAGTGCTCAGTTTCTCTACCTGGCAGAGGCCCCTAAGGAGTGTGGCAGTGTCATGTGTTGGCAGCAGAGCTGGACACTCAATGTTTGACCTTTTTCTGGAGTGTCCCCTCTTTTATGAGGACACTTTCCTTTTACCTTGTGCTTCCCACAGTCTGCTGAAGGCCTCCGTCTGACTCTGGCAGCCAGGCACAGCCCCAGCTTTTTTACCCTTCCCTCTTATTCCTCAAGGGCCCTGTTTTCTGAGACTCATTCATCAATTCCATTTAGTTCATTCCAGCAAACTTTCATTAAGCACTTCCAAAGTGCCAGACTCAGTGGGGATAATATAATGAGCTTACAGTCTAGTGGAGGAGACAGACACATAAATAGATTCTTCCAGGCATTGTGGCAAGTGCTCAAATAGAGATATCTAATATTCACCCATCTATTCAGATCGTATTGAAAATCTACTATGTGCCAGGCACTGGGACAGCTGCAGAGGATACAGAGATGAACAAAATACCTGCCCTCACAGAGCTCCTAGTGTAATAGGAGAAAGAGGAAAGACATGCAACCAAATAAATTCCAACGCAATTAATAAATTCAACCATAGGCAAGGCCACAGCATAGAGAAGGTGCGTGTTAATTTATGTGTAGGGAGGTATTAAAGGCTTCCCAGAGGATCTGATGTCAGTACTGCATTTGGAATGAATATGTAAGGGTTAGCCATGCAGAAAAGGATATTGAAATCATTCCAGGCATTGGGAAGGAACATCATGTGCAAAGGCACTGAGATAAGAGTAGTGTTCAGGGAACCACGAGGGCTTTGGTGTTGCTAAAATAGAAGGAGGTGAGGCTGGAGAAGTGAGCAGGGGCTGGATCATGAGGGGTCTTGTGTGCCAGGCAAAGAAATGTGGCTTTACCTTTTAGGAACCAATGAGGAACTTTCAGCAGCAAAGAAACGTCAAATTCTCATTTTTTGGCAGATCAGTTCACAGCCAGCAGGTAACATATCACATGATACCTCCATAAGATTACAACTTAGTCCAAAAGGAATAATCCTTAAGAAACTTTTTTTTTGGTTTGTTTATAAAAATAATTCATGGTTTGTATTAGTCCGTTTTCATGCTGCTGATAAAGACATACCTAAGACTGAGGAAAAAAAGAGGTTTAATTGGACTTACAGTTCCACATGGCTGGGGAGGCCTCAGAATCATGTGGGAGGTGAAAGGCACTTCTTACATGGCAGCAGCAAAAGAAAATGAGAGATACAAAAGTGAAAATCCTTGATAAAACCATCAGATCTCATGAGACTTATTCACTACCATGAGAACAGTATGGGAGAAACCATCCCCATGATTCACATCATCTCCCACTGGGTCCCTCCCACAACATGTGGGAAATATGGGAGTACAATTCAAGATGAGATTTGGGTGGGGACACAGAGCCAAACCATATCATTCTGCCCCTGGTCCCTCCAAATCTCATGTCCTCACATTTCAAAACCAATCATGCCTTCTCAACAGTCCCCCAAAGTCTTGACTCATTTCAGCATTAACTCAAAACTCCACAATCCAAAGTCCCATCTGAAACAAGGCAAGTTCCTTCTGCCTATGAGCCTGTAAAATCAAAAGCAAGCTAGTTACTTCCTCTTCCTAGATACAGTGGGGGTACAGGTATTTGGTAAATACAGCCATTCCAAATGGGAGAAATTGGCCAAAACAAAGGGGTTACCCCTGTGCTTGTCCAAAATCCAGCGGGGCAGTCAAATTTTAAAGCTCCAAAATGATCTCCTTTGACTCCAGGTCTCGCATCCAGGTCATGCTGATGCAAGACGTGGGTTCCCATGGTCTTGGGCAGCTCTACCCTGTGGCTTTGCAGGATACAGCCTCCCTCCCAGCTGCTTTCATGGGCTGGCATTGAGTGTCTGTAGCTTTTCCAGCAACGGTGCAAGCTGTCAGTGGATCTACCATTCTGGGGTCTGGAGGATGGTGGCCCTCTTCTCACAGCTCCACTAGGCAGTGCCCCAGTAGGGACTCTGCGTGGGGGCTCTGACCCCACATTTCCCTTCTGCACTGCCCTAGCAGAGGTCCTCCATGAGGCCCCCGCCCCTGCAGCAAACTTCTGCCTGGGCATCCAGACATTTCCATACATCTTCTGAAATGTAGGTGGAGGTTCCCAAACCCCAATTTTTTACTTCTGTGCACTCACAGGCTCAACACC
Source organism: Homo sapiens (assembly GCF_000001405.40). Lineage (NCBI taxonomy): Eukaryota > Metazoa > Chordata > Mammalia > Primates > Hominidae > Homo > Homo sapiens. Next base: position 104,008,881 of record NC_000012.12, on the reverse strand, counting down.
ACGTGGAAGCTGCCAAGGCTTGGGGCTTGCACCCTCTGAAGCCATGGCGCAAGCCCTATGTTGGCCCCTTTCAGCCATGGCTGGAGTGGCTGGGACACAGGGCACCACGTCCCTAGGCTGCATGCAGCACAGGACCCTGGGCCCAGACCACAAAACCATTTTCTCCTAGGCCTCCGGGCCTGTGATGGCAGGGGCAGCTGTGAAGCCCTCTGATATGCCCTGGAGACATTTTCCCCATTGTCTTGGGGATTAATGTTTGGCTCCTTGTTACTTATGCAAATTTCTGCAGCCAGCTTGAATTTTTCCTTAGAAAATGTTATTTTTTTTTTCTATCACATTGTCAGGCTGCAAATTTTCTGAACTCTTATGCTCTGCTTCCCTTATAAAACTGAATGCCTTTAACAGCACCCAAGCCACCTCTTGAATGCTTTGCTGCTTAGAAATTTCTTCTGCCAGATATCCTAAATTATCTCTCTCAAGTTCAAAGTTCCACAAATCCCTAGGGCAGGGCAAAATGCCCCTGGTCTTTTTGCTAAAACATAACAAAAGTCACCTTTGTTCCAGTTCCCAACAAGTTCCTCATCTACATCTGAGGCCACCTCACCCTGAACCTTATTGTCCATGTCTCTAACTGGCTTTTGGTCAAAGCCATTCAACAAGTCTCTAGGAAGTTCCAACCTTTCCTACATTTTCCTGTCTTCTTCTGACCCCTCCAAACTCTTCCAACCTCTGTTTGTCACCCAGTTCCAAAGTTGCTTCCATATTTGTTGGTATCTTTTCAACAACGTCCCACTCTACTGGTACCAATTTACTGTATTAGTCCGTTTTCATGCTGCTGATAAAGACATACCTGAGACTGGGAAGAAAAAGAGTTTTAATCGGACTTACAGTTCCACATGGCTGGAGAAGCCTCAGAATCATGGCAGGAGGCGAAAGGCACTTCTTACATGGCAGCAGCAAGAGAAAGTGAGAGATGCAAAAGCAGAAACCCCTGATAAAACTACCAGATCTCATGAGACTTATTCACTACCATGAGAACAGTATGGGGAAAACCACCCCCATGATTCAGATTATCTCCCACTGGGTCCCTCCCACAACATGTGGGAATTATGGGAGTATAATTCATGATGAGATTTTGGTGAGGACACAGAGCCATACCATATCATGGTTACTTTAGTCAATTTGGAAAGTATAAGAAATACAAATAAAATCAAAATCACTCCTAATTCCATAAATAGACATAGGTCCATTTGCAAATATGTATGTATCAAATAGTGATCAAATACTAGAGAGAATTTTGTATTCTTTTCCTCCTTAACAGTGTTTTATGAGCATTCTCTCATGTCAGTAAATATATTGTGAAAACAAAATTATTCTAGTGGTGGAAATTTCAGATGCAGTAGCAAGCTGGTAGAAAAGACATAGAAGGAGAAAGAGGAGGCCATTCAATGTGTCTTAAATTACACAAAATGCAGTACCTGGTAGTTAATTTCAAGAAATGCTTATTGAATGAAATATCAGCTAGAACTACCCTGGACCTCAGGGATAGAGGTTTTCCAAAAAGGATCTGGAAAGAGAAGGGGGAGGGGGAGAGAGCAGGTGGAGAGAGCGGGGGGAGAGAGAGAGAGAGAGAGAGAGAGAGAGAGAGCTTTAAGTATAAATCAGATGAGTACTTTATAGTGGATACTGAATACTCTGCTTATGGATCATTATTCTTCTCCATGGCTGAAAGTTGTATTGCGGTACTAAAGTATGATGTTATGGCTTTGGTATTTTATAGCATAGCCAGGCTCAAAAGAATAATTAATTATTTATCTTGTGCATTAGTCATGTTCTTTCATTTACCTCCTTCCTCTTGCTGTCAACGTTTGAGAAACTTGACTAGAATGGGGATAGGAGAGGGAAAATCACAACCAGTATCTTATAGCAGTGTAGGCAAAGTAAATATTCTGATTCAGGGAAGAGTTGAGGACTGTTGGACAAATGAGGCTTTTCAGTTCTTTGTATGTTTTTTAAGTGTGTGTGTGTTTTAGGCTAGCCAACTGGCTCCTGTAAGATAGCTCCAAAATAATAGATTTTGTGTTATGATCAAAAGGGCTCACAGCCTTATGTGCTAGAATCCAACACTATGACCCCAGATTTTGAGAAAAGCAAAGCTTTTTCTTGTAAATCGTCTAACAAGGACACAGGAGCCCAGCTCAAATCTGTCTCCCTGTGCTGGCTTTAAGGCAGTAATTTTATTAGAAAAGGCTCAGGGGTGGATTCTGGGATTAGTAGGTGATTGATGGAAGAGGAGAGGAGGTCTAAAAGGTCCTGAGGCATGCACAGTTATCTCTTCATGCCACCTCATGGGTCTCATGTGCAAATCTGGGAGGAGTTAGTTTGAAATACAGGGTGGAAATCCAAGCTGTGACATCAGCAAGCTTGTTCTGCACAAACTTCAGTTGACCAGATTGGTTCCAACTGATTTCAGCCAGTTTCTTTTATTTATTTATTTATCTATTTATTATACTTTAAGTTTTAGGGTACATGTGCACAATGTGCAGGTTTGTTACATATGTATACACGTGCCATGTTGGTGTGCTGTACACATTAACTCGTCATTTACATCAGGTATATCTCCTAATGCTATCCCTTCCCCCTCCCCCCACCCCACACCTGGTATGTGATGTTCCCCTTCCTGTGTCCAAGTGTTCTCATTGTTCAATTCCCACCTATGAATGAGAACATGCAGTGTTTGGTTTTTTATCCCTGCGATAGTTTGCTGAGAATGATGGTTTCCAGCTTCATCCATGTCCCTACAAAGGACATGAACTCATCCTTTTTTATGGCTGCATAGTGTTCCATGGTGTATATGTGCCACATTTTCTTAATCCAGTCTATCATTGATGGACATTTGGGTTGGTTCCAAGTCTTTGCTATTGTGATTAGTGCTGCAGTAAACATACGTGTGCATGTGTCTTTAAAGCAGCATGATTTATAATCCTCTGGGTATATACCCAGTAATGGGATGGCTGGGTCAAATGGTATTTCTAGTTCTAGATCCTTGAGGAATCACCACACTGTCTTCCACAATGGTTGAACCAGTTTACAGTTCCACCAACAGTGTAAAAGTGTTCCTATTTCTCCACATCCTCTCCAGGACCTGTTGTTTCCTGACCTTTTAATGATCACCATTCTAACTGGTGTGAGATGGTATCTCATTGTGGTTTTGATTTGCATTTCTCTGATGGCCAGTGATGGTGAGCATTTTTTCATGTGTCTGTTGGTTGCATAAATGTCTTCTTTTGAGAAGTGTCTGTTCATATCCTTCTCCCACTTGTTGATGGGGTTGTTTGTTTTTTTCTTGTAAATTTGTTTGAGTTCTTTGTCGATTCTGGCTATTAGCCCTTTGTCAGATGAGTAGATTGCAAAAATTTTCTCCCATTCTGTAGGTTGCCTGTTCACTCTGATGGTAGTTTCTTTTGCCGTGCAGAAGCTCTTTAGTTTAATTAGATCCCATTTGTCAATTTTGGCTTTTGTTGCCATTGCTTTTAGTGTATTAGACATGAAGTCCTTGCCCATGCCTATGTCCTGAATGGTATTGCCTAGGTTTTCTTCTAGGGTTTTTATGGTTTTAGGTCTAACATTTCAGTCTTTAATACATCTTGAATTAATTTTTGTATAAGGTGTAAGGAAGGGGTCCAGTTTTAGCTTTCTACATATGGCTAGCCAGTTTTCCCATCACCATTTATTAAATAGGGAGTCCTTTCCCTGTTTCTTGTTTTTGTCAGGTTTGTCAAAGATCAGATGGTTGTAGATGTGTGGTGTTATTTCTGGGGCCTCTGTTCTGTTCCATTGGTCTATATCTCTGTTTTGGTACCAGTACCATGCTATTTTGATTACTGTAGCCTTGTAGTATAGTTTGAAGTCAGGTAGCGTGATGCCTCCAGCTTTGTTCTTTTGGCTTAGGATTGACTTGGCGATGCGGGCTCTTTTTTGGTTCCATATGAACTTTAAAGTATTTTTTTCCAATTCTGTGAAGAAAGTCATTGGTAGCTTGATGGGGATGGCATTGAATCTATAAATTACCTTGGGCAGTGTGGCCATTTTCACGATATTGATTCTTCCTATCCATGAGCATGGAATGTTCTTCCATTTGTTTGTGTCCTCTTTTATTTCGATGAGGCAGTGGTTTGTAGTTCTCCTTGAAGAGATCCTTCACATCTCTCGTAAGTTGGATTCCTAGGTATTTTATTCTCTTTGAAGCAATTGTGAATGGGAGTTCACTCATGATTTGGCTCTCTGTTTGTCTGTTATTGGTGTATAAGAATGCTTGTGATTTTTGCACATTGATTTTATATCCTGAGACTTTGCTGAAGTTGCTTATCAGCTTGAGGAGATTATGGGCTGAGACGGTCGGGTTTTCTAAATATACAATCATGTCATCTGCAAACAGGGACAGTTTGACTTCCTCTTTTCCTAAATGAATACCCTTTATTTCTTTCTCCTGCCTGATTGCCCTGGCCAGAACTTCCAACACTGTGTTGAATAGGAGTGGTGAGAGAGGGCATCCCTGTCTTGTGCCAGTTTTCAAAGGGAATGCTTTCAGCTTTTGCCCATTCAGTATGATATTGGCTGTGGGTTTGTCATAAATAGGTCTTATTATTTTGAGATACGTCCCATCAATGCCTAATTTATTGAGAATTTTTAGCATGAAGGGCTGTCGAATTTTGTCAAAGGCCTTTTCTGCTTCTATTGATATAATCATGGGGTTTTTGTCTTTGGTTCTATTTATATGCTGGATTACATTTATTGATTTGTGTATGTTGAACCAGCCTTGCATCCCAGGGATGAAGCGCACTTGATTATGGTGAATAAGCTTTTTGATGTGCTGCTGGATTCAGTTTGCCAGTATTTTTTTGAGGATTTTTGCATCAGTGTTCATCAGGGATATAATCTCAGAAGCAGAAAGAGTTTCATCATTTCAGCATTTTATTCTTCTAATCTATCATCCTGCAAACTCGAGAATTTCTATTAGTCATTGGTTTCTTTAACTCTTTGGGGGTATGGTTTCAATAGCGACATAAACAAAATAGAAGTTTATTTCCTCTCTCAAGTATAAGTCTGATGTATCAGTTCCACAATTATCCAGATCAAGATTCCTTCTATATTATGGTTTTGGTGACCTCAACAAGTAGCTTCCATCTTGTGGTCTAAGCTGGCAACTCTAACTCCCACCATCATATCAACAGTCCAGCTAATGGGAAAGGGGAAAGGCAAGGGGGTGAGTGAGCATTCCTTTGAAGGGTAGACCCAGCAGTGGCACACATTACTTAAACCAACATCCCATTGGTCAGAACTTGATCATATAGAGCTGCACGGGAGTTGGTAAAATAGTCTTTGTGGTTGGCTATGTACCAGCTAAAATTCCAAAGTTCTTTTCTAAGGGAAGACAGAATGACTAGATATTGGAGAACAATCAGCAGTCTCTTCCACACTATGCCATCTTCCCCCAGGAGTATGGAAGATGCATTAAACTGGCTCTACTGTGAAATTCTTTCATGTTCCAAGACACCAGTTTTTATGTTTCCAGATGATGAATCCGAGACTCCTGAAGAACTGGAAGAAGAGATTCCTGTGGTGATTTGTGCTGCAGCAGGGAGGATGGGTGCCACTATGGCTGCCATCAATAGCATCTACAGCAACACTGACGCCAACATCTTGTTCTATGTAGTGGGACTCCGGAATACTCTGACTCGAATACGGTAAGTTATGTCTTACAGACTTTGGCACTTTCTGTTTCCTTCCCCTCTCTCCTTCCCTCCCTCCCTCCCTCCCTACCTCTTCTTCTTCTTTTCTTTCTTTCTTGCCTTCTCTCCCTTTCTCTCTTTCTCTCCCTCTCTCTTTCTGTCTCTCTCTCTCTCTCTGTCTTTCTCTCTTTCTCTCTTTCTTTCTGATAGGATCTTGCTCTGTTGCTCAGACTGGATTGTGCGGTGGCGCAATCACAGCTCACTGCAGCCTTGACCTCCCTGGCTCAAGCAATCCTTCTGTTTCCACCTCCCAAGTAGCTGAGACTACAAGTGCATGCTACCACACCCAGCTCATTTTCTAATTTTTTTGTGGAGAGCGAGTCTCTCTTTGTTGCTTAGGTTTGTCTTGAAATCCTGGGTTCAAGCAATCCTCCCTCCTCAGCCTCCCAAAATGCTGGGATTACAGGTGTGAGCCACCACACCTGGCCTCTACTTTCTTATATTTCCTTAAATAGATTTCCTTTCTTTTTGGATTAAGAAAAAATAAACAGAAAATTAAAATTTGAACATATTATAAAAATGAAAGATAATTGTAAAATCTTGGTTTGGAGAGTGTCTCTCTGAGCCCAGAAATCATCCAGAAAAATGGACAGATTTGACTGCATCACATTTAAAAACTTTACAATGATGAAAAATACAAGTGAAGCTATTCATACAATAGATTAGGACCAAGTATTTTTAACATGTATTATAGACAAAAAATTACCATCCAAAATATAGAATTGTTACAAAAATTTTAAAAACATGGTTAAAAAATGGGCATAGGATATAACCAGATAATTCACAGAGGAAAAAAATACAAATGGCCAATAAACATGAAAAGGTGTTGTAGGCTGGGTGAGGTGGCTCACTCCTATATTTCCAACACTTTGGGAAGCCAAGGAAAAAGGATGACTTGGGATCAGGCTCGAGACCAGCCTGGGCAACATAACAAGACCTCTGTCTCTACTAAAAATTTTAGAAATTAGCTGAGGGTGGTGATACATAGCGGGAGGCTGAGGTGGGAGGATCCCTTGAGCCCAGGAGTTTGAGGCTGCTGTAAGCTATGATCGCATCACTTAACTCCAGCCTGGGCAACAGAGTGAGACCTTGTTTCAGCTAAAAATAAATAAATAAGGCTGGGCGCAGTGGCTAACTCCTGTAATCCTACCTGAAGTCAAGAATTTGAGACCAGCCTGGTCAATATGGCGAAACCCCGTCTCTACTAAAGATACAAAAATTTGCTGAGCATGTTAGCACATTCCTGTAATCCTAGCTACTGGGGAGGCTGAGGCCAGAGAATGGCTTAAACCCAGGAGGTGGAGGTTGCAGTGAGCTGAGATCGTGCCACTGCGCTTCAGCCTGGGTGACAGAGTGAGACTGCATCTCCAAAAATAAAAAATAATAAATAAAAAATAAATAAATAAAGTTTTTCTGTGTTATTAATAGGAAAATGTGAATTGAAACATTTTTGCATTGTTGAAAATGAAAATAAAAATGAAAACATATATGTCACTTCAGTGACAATCTTCACTCATCAGGTTGGCAAAAATTAAACAGAACAACATTACCCAGTGCAGGAAAATGGGCATGCTTATTCCTTATTTATACAATGTGCATTTTCTAAGTTGGTAAGACATTTGGCAAGGTCAACATGGCAATATCTATCAAAAGGTTGTATGCATATATAATTTGATTCACATGCCTTTTCCTCTTCCAGGAATCTGTGCTACAAAAATTCTAGTACATATTACCAAAATACGTGTACAACAATGCTAGTTTCAGCATTATGTGAATTAGTGAAAACATTTCAAAGTGCTGAAATGTCCACCAATGGAAGAATATTTAAATGAACTGTGAAATATGATCCAGATGTTAACGAAAGAAGGCACTCTGTCTAAGCAGACATAGGAGATTCCCAAGGCATATTGTTAAGTGGAAAAAACTAGCTGCAGTATAACTCGTATAGTATGATCTACTTTAGGAAATTCAAAACCCCTAACTGTAAGTGTGTACATGTACATGTATGTGTTTCTGTGAAGAAAAAGAACTGGAAAGCTATCAGATTGTTAACACTATCTCTTGGGAGGACAGAGGAATCAGGGAGGGTGCTGATGAAAGGAAGTTCAGGGTGTTTCAGTATTATTTGATCATTCAAAAGGAGAATATATTTGCATACTGCTTTTATAATTAAATGTTTTTGTAGTGGTGCCATCAGGAGGTACTGAGATCTGTAAAGGTGTTTGCCTATAATCTAAATGGCCCTTGGCTGCCCTGGGTTTTGATGTCTTGTGTATGCTTTCTGGATTTTCTGTCTCATTTCTCACTCTCCTTATCATACTATTGCTCATCATTCACTTAGCCTGTTGTTAACAGCCCATTAACTATCCATGGGTATGAAAACTAGATAACCAAATCCAAAAGGATGGCATGTATAAGGTTTCTGGGCAAGGGTTTGTCCTTAACAAAAGGCATGAACCTCATGACTTTCTGACTTTGGCCAGGGGCTATTTCCCAGTTCTTGCTGTCCAGTCTACTCCCTGCCCCCTTTTACATACTTTAAAGTTTTTTTTTTCATTGAAGTAGAATCCCAAAACAGAAAATTGTATAAATCCAGTGTGCAGTTTACTGGATCATCACAAAGTAAACACACTCATGTAACATCCAGCATGTTCTCACTAACACTTAGTATAAAATCAATCTTTTTAAGTTTGCCATTTTGATTAGTGTCCAGTGGTATCTAGAAATTTGAAGTTTCATTATTTCTAATGTCATTGAACACTTTTCCCACACACTTTGTAACCATTTGGAAGTAAGTGTTCAAGTCTCTTGCCTATTTTGCTGTTAGTCTATCTTTTTTTAATTGATATGACCAATTATTTTTTCAGATTTTGCAGATCTAAATTTTGTTCACATTTAATTCTTTTGTTGATTTTTAGTCAACAACAAATACTACCCTAGGTGGCTTTAGTCATTCGACATTTTATTTTGAGATTATTTCTACCAAGAACCTCATTATGAATTGGATACAAGATAAAAATTCTGCAAGACCAAGAAAACAGAAGGGGAGAGGGAGGGGGAAGAGAAGAAGGGGAACGAAGACAGATGGGGAAGATCAAGGGACCAAATCAAAGAGACAAAGGTAAATTCAAATCAGCCTTGGAGTCAAAACAGCAGAGTAAAAATGACTTCGATCAAAGCTGAAGGTTCAGAATGTCCTGTTTCATAATATTTCAGAGCTGTTACCACGTGGCGAAGATAGTACCAGCAACCACAGATGCTGCTATATAAGAAAGAATACTTTTCATTCTTCCTGTTTCCTGGGGAAATTATTTGGATCTGGGGAGAGATTTGGTTATTACTATTTTGCTTCATTTCCTTTGCAGAAAGAGTTACGTGATTGAGGGGAAAAAAAGATTTAAAGTCAGACCAGATGGGGAGAAAAGTCAGAGGGATTTATTGGACTAAACTCTACTAAATTTACGCACATTTTAATTTTAACTTTCTAGGGAGGCAACAGATTGACCTTGGGGCAATAGGCAAATGGAGGAAAGAATTGAAGGGTATACTAGAGGTTTTTTTGGTCATCTTTTTAGAAAATGGATTGAACATTCCAAACTGAGAGAAATAAACTTTAAAATCGTGGAATTCAACCCGATGGTCCTCAAAGGGAAGATCAGACCAGACTCATCGAGGCCTGAATTGCTCCAGCCTGTAAGTAGGGACCACACAGGTGCTGGGGACAGTCCTTGGTGAGACCTTTGTTCAGTAAAGGAGTGCTAGTCACCGGGATGCATGTGGAATATTATTTTTGAAGCCATGTGGAGTTGATCTCCACCAAACTCCGCTTATGTATAATTTATAAGCCAGCTGCTACAGAAAGGATTTAAGATGGTTTATAGAAGCACAATGAAGTTATTAAAGAAGAAGTGAAGCATTAAAAAAATGTAGAATGCATTTATGGGTGTGAATATGTCTGTGGGGGTGGGAGCTGGAGGAGGGCCAGGTAGCTGAGGCCAGGAAAAAGAGTCCCAAACCCACCAGCTGTTGGGATATTTAACTGTGATTGTACGTTAAAGCTGCCTCGGAGTGTCCGACAGCTAAGAAAAAACAGTAGTATGATGGATTATATACTTCATAGTATTGACTAAGATAATATATTCAGGAGACACCATCTCTTTTCCTAGCATTGGAAATCTTAAGGTATTTTACTGCAAGAGTTCTTACAAAAGGGACCCTCTCCTGCATAAAAAGTGGTGTTTTTGGCTGGACGTGCTGGCTCGTGCTTGTAATCCCAGCACTTTGGGAGGCTGAGCGGGGAGGATTGCTTGAGCTCAGAAGTTTGAGACCAGCTTGGGCAACATATTGAGACCCTGTTTATACTTAAAAAAGTTTTATTTAGTGGCCAAGCGTGGTTGCTCATGCCTGTAATCCCAACACTTTGGGAGGCCGAGGCAGGCGGATCGTGAGGTCAGGAGTTCGAGACCAGCCTGGCCAACATAGTGAAACCCCATCTCTACTAAAAATACAAAAATTAGCTGGGCATGGTGGCAGGCACCTGTAGCCCCGGCTACTCGGGAGTCTGAGGCAGGATAATCGCTTGAACCCGGGAGGTGGAGGTTGCAGTGAGCCAAGATTGCACTATTGCACTCCAGCCTAGGCAACAGAGTGAGACTCCGTCTCAAAAAAAAAAATTTTTTTTTAATTAGCTAGGCATGGTGGCATACCCCTGTAGTCCTAGCTACCTACTCAGGAGGCTGAGGTGGGAGGATTGTTTGAGTCTGGGAGTTCGAGGCTGTAGTGAGCTGTGATCATGCCACTGCACTCCAGCCTGGGCAACAGAGAGAGACCCTGTCTCAAAAAAGAAAAAAAAAAAAAAGAGTGGTGTTTTTGATAGCAGTTCTACAGAAACTGCAGCCACCTTCTACATATGATTGTTACTTAAATTCATCCCTGAAAATTTACTTAATTCTGAGCCCTCTGTCTGTGATATGATCTTCCCCCAATTCCAGATGTTGTCAGAGTACAAGCCATGACTTCGGAGGAAGCAATGTTGTCAGTAATGAAACTTCGAAGTTCCTACCCACAGGTCATGCTGCTCCTTTTTCTGGTTCAAGGAGCTAAAAGGTTGAGCTTGCTGTTGGAATGACACACGTGTGTGTGTGTGTGTGTGTGTGTGTGTGTGTGTGTGTGTGTATTTAAGGCTGATTTAATTGACAATTATCAAAATTACTGAATACAGAGAAAGGCAGGCGATTTGTGCCCTAAAAGTGACTAACGAGCCTCTGTGACTCCCACTACAGCAGTTCGCAGAGATGAAAGTGGCAACAGCCTCGGCACTAGGGGGTTTGTATCTAGGAGAACGGCCGATCCGTCAGCGCTGGCTTCAGCCCCAGGCCTCAGATAAGTTGGGCACTGGGAAGCTCAGATGAGACATCTTGCTAGCTCCTGTTTTATTCCGCTCCAAACCTGGAGCTGAGCTGAGGCCATGGTCAAAGCCGACTCTCCAGTACCCCCAGAAGACACTAAGCCATATGCCTCTCCCCCACCATCATTTCTTTTGTCGTTTTAACAGCTGAACTTTGTTCGATTTTATCTCCCTCTACTTATCCACCAACACGAGAAAGTCATCTATTTGGACGATGATGTAATTGTACAAGGTACTCTCGCTAACTGCCAAGAACACTTGGAAAAGAAGCAGCTGATAAGTAGAATAACTGTCTCTCTTCATTTTTCAAATAACTAATTGTGCAGCAAGTTTTGACTGCTTATTTAAGTTGTGAGTACAGTATTGTTGTAAATGTGGAAGTATTTTGGAAACGGGTTGATACTTACTGAGACAATCCAGTTGACACTCTGATTGTCAAAACCAGCAATAAATAGCTTGGTAGCCTTTCCTTTCCCTGTATGCCTATAATGTACGGAAATAAAGTGTCACGGATGACATTCTTAGGAGTGAGCTAAGTTTTGGTGTTTAAATGTTGTGTTCTATCTCTTCCACTACAAACAGGATACGCATTGGTGTGGTATCTACTTAGCAACAGAAATAAAGAAATTAGATCAGTGCCAGTTTGAACTCATCATCCAGTGGCTTTCTAAATCTGTAGGCAAGACTCTTAATAAATAAATAGTCAAGCCACTTGAAATCAGGGATCCAATACTCTTCTCCCATAGCAAAATCAAGAGCTGTTTAAGCTCTAAGGCTCTATCTAGCCCAAAAACAAATGCTATAATGTTTTACTTGGTGGTGTTTCTAAATTCAGGTGATATCCAAGAACTGTATGACACCACCTTGGCCCTGGGCCACGCGGCGGCTTTCTCAGATGACTGCGATTTGCCCTCTGCTCAGGACATAAACAGACTCGTGGGACTTCAGGTGGGCATATGCTGTCTCAGAAATCCTCCCTTCACTCTACAACTCTGGCCCCTTCTCCCCCCTCTGCAAGTCAAAATGAGTGTAACCTCCACCTCAAAAACCTTATGGGCCAGTCTGGACTGCAGGGAGGTGGAACAGTACAGGGGTCTGGGACTTTGGTTCATATCTTAGCTCCATGCCTTACCAACTCTGGGGCAACTTTCTTTAGCCCTGCAAGGTCCCACCTTCCTTACCTGAAACATGGGAACAATCATGTCTACTTTGTTGTGTCTTTGTGAGCAGTAATGAAATAACATGGTGTCCAAGTGTCCAGCATGAAATAAAAGCTCCAGAAATGATCATTGTTACCTAGGTTGCTCATCACCATGCTCTCTGTCAGAGATGATGTTTTCTGTAAAAGAGACTTGCTGAACCATTGGTTCTATTTTCAGAGTTTTGACCATCACTTTTATCCCCCTTCCAGTAGAAGAAAATATTGATTTTGTTAAGGGTAAAGATCTCCTTACCCTGATGGAACTGAGGAAAGTTGAACCTACATGCAATGCTGAAACCGAAGGGGTAGCTTTGAAATATGAGGTGTTATTAAGAGTTAAATGCTGTTTTTCAAAAAAGCTTCTAGCAAATAATTTTATGTATGTGGCATTTTAAGGCACTTCAAGGCATAGGCTCTGGGACCAGATTCAATTTTGTCAAAATCTGGGCACTATCACTTGGTAGTTTTATGACCTCGGGCAAGTTACTTAGCCAGTTGTTTCTACCTCATTTGCCAAACAGAGGTAATAATAGTACTTCCTTTGTAGTTATCGTGAGAATTAAATTAGTTAACACATATAAAGCTATTACATGAGAGTAATGAGGTAGTACATGTAAAGTTCTTAGAAAAGGGCCTGGTGTATAGAAAGTACTCAAGTATTTCCATGACTCCTGTGTGAGGTTTGAGAGCATCACATTAAGGAATTATAGATGATAACAGTCTATATGGGTGAAAGAATGTGTATGTCCTGCCCTGTACAACATTCATTCAACAATGACTTATTGAGTGCTTACTCTGTGCCTGACACTGTTTTAGGTACTAGTAATATAGTGAGCAAAACGAAAACTCCTGCTTTTGTGTATTTCACATTCTAGTGGGAACAGACAGACAGTAAACAAGTAAAATATTTAACAGAGGATTGGGGTGGAGGCAGGGCTGTATTTTAAATACAGTAATCAGGGAAGGCTCCACTGAGATTGTGCTGTTTGAACCTAAACTTGAAAGAATTGAGGGAACCACCTGTGCAGATGGTTAGAGGGGAAACCCTCCAGGAAGCGGGAAGAACAAGTGTAAAGATCTTGAGGCAGGGGTGAGTCTGGTTCATTAAAGGTGGTCGCTGTTGCTGAGGGATCAAGAGGAGAATAACAGGAGTTGGAAAGGTATTGGAGGGTCAGATGATATAGGGTATGGCAGGCCATTTTAGGAAATCTGGCTGTTTCTGTGAATGAGATGGGAAGCTATTGGAGGAGCTTAGAGGAGATGAGTGACCTAGAGACAGAGTGGGGTGGAAAATAGTGGAAGCAAGGATACTGGTTAGGAGGAACTTGCAGAAATCCATTGAGTGGCAATTATGGCCTGAACAGGAAGGTAGCAGTGTGGTAGTAGTGGCAAGAGAAGTGGTTGGCTTCCAGCATTTTGAAGATGGGACCTACACCATTTGCTGAAATATTTGGATGAGAAGAGAGTGAGAAAAAAGGAGTCAAGGAGGACCTAATGACCCCAGGTTTTTTGCCCAAGTAACTAGAAGGATAGAGTTGCCACTGACTGAGGTGGGGCAGGTGCAGGGAAGCAGGTTTGGGATAGGATTGGGATCAATTTTGGGATGTAAGTTGGAGCTGCCTTTACTAAGCATCTGAAAGGAGACATTTGGATGGCAGATGTAGCAGGAGTTGGAAGTCCAGAGGAGAGGTCAGGGCTGTCAGATGGGTGGTATTTAGAGCCATGAGACTGGACAAGGCTGTTTATGGAGTTATTGCTAGAGAAAGGCACTAGTGCTGCACTCAGACTTAGGGCATTCAGCATTTAGAGGTTGGAGAAATGAGGGAAACCAGCAAAACAAAACAAAAACAACAAACTACCCAGTGGCCAGTGACACAGGAGGAAACCCAAAGATACTGCACAAGGGTTTCAAGAAAATGATCATTTTCCAGAAACAAAAGATTCGCTGGTCAAAAGCATGCACATCCTGTTCCCTTACAGAACACATATATGGGCTATCTGGACTACCGGAAGAAGGCCATCAAGGACCTTGGCATCAGCCCCAGCACCTGCTCTTTCAATCCTGGTGTGATTGTTGCCAACATGACAGAATGGAAGCACCAGCGCATCACCAAGCAATTGGAGAAATGGATGCAAAAGAATGTGGAGTACGTGAAGGCTTCTCTACCATTTTTTCCATGCTTGGAAACAAAATCATTCAATTAATTTTCCACACATAGTTCAAGGGTTAGAAATATTTCACAGTCATCTCAGGTCAGATTTTCTTACAGAGGCAATGTTAAGAAAGAAAAGGGGGCAGTCAATTAAAACCTTTCCTCAAAAGATATAAATCAGAGGAATCAAGATCCTGTGGAGCGAGGAGTCCCTGATTATACATTTTCCTAGTAAGCTGTTGAAAAATGTGACTTGAATCTTTTCCACCAAACAATCTTCATTTATCTTAGTTGAGTTTCCCCTCCTAACATAGATTTTTTTATTAAGGATTATTATATAAAGTCAATTTTGCTTTTTAAGGTTTATTTTTATAATTTATAATTTTTCGTTATCGGAGTTTTAAAATAGAGAAGATAAAAATAAGTCTAATACAAGCACTATTATCCCATCATTGTATTGCCTAGCAGTCTTGTGTATCTGGATATTTTAATACCATCATAACCTTGAATTTGCAAGTAAAGTTATTCTAAATAATGTAGGATTCGAATTTGATCTCCTGTGTCTACTATTTAAAACCCTGGGAGTTAAAATGGCAAAATATTAACACTGTTACTCTAGGTGATGTATATAGGAGTTCATGGTATTCTTACTATTTTGTGTATGTTTGACAATTTTCAAAATGAAAATTTGGGGGAGAATGAAAGGCCATAAGTCTTAGTACATAGTGAGATAATGTCTTACATCATTTACAATATCAGATTCGACTTTATCTGAGTTTGTGG
The DNA here is from genome assembly GCF_000001405.40 of Homo sapiens. NCBI lineage: Eukaryota > Metazoa > Chordata > Mammalia > Primates > Hominidae > Homo > Homo sapiens. The sequence continues at coordinate 103,993,545 of NC_000012.12, read as the reverse complement.
GGGCTCCAGGCCAAATGTTGTTTTTCTATTTCATTTCTTAGGGAAAACCTCTATAGCAGCTCCCTGGGAGGAGGGGTGGCCACCTCCCCAATGCTGATTGTGTTTCATGGGAAATATTCCACAATTAACCCCCTGTGGCACATAAGGCACCTGGGTAAGTATTTCAGAAAAACTGTTTAGAAAAACGCAAATGTCCATTTTATTTTTGTATTTTTGAGACAGAGTCTCGCTCTGCTGCCCAGGCTGGAGTGCAATGGCGTGATCTCGGCTCACTGGAACCTCCGCTTCCTGGGTTCAAGCAATTCACCTGCCTCAGCATCTCGAGTAGCTGGGATTACAGGCATGTGCCATCACGCCCAGCTAATTTCTGTATTTTTAGTACAGATGGGGTTTCACCATGTTGGCCAGGCTGGTCTCAAACTCCTGACCTTAGGTGATCCACCCATTTCGGCCTCCCAAAGTGCTAGGATTACGGCATAAGCCACCATGCCCGGCCGCAAATGTGCATTTTATAGACCCAGTGAGCACCATAGCGAGGAGAGGGTGCTACATACAGCACCAGGTTGTTCAATTGAAATCCTCCAGGTGACCTTGGACAAATGACTTGACCCTCAGTGCTCAGATTCAGCAAGTGCAGCTGATATTCTGAGCTACCTGAGGAGCGTGTTTCTGGAGATTTATGGAAAGCCATCAAATTCATGCTTAGCATATAGTATGTGCTTAGTAAACATGAACTATTATAAAGAGAACTTTCGGCCGGGCGTGGTGGCTCACGCTTGTAATCCCAGCACTTTGGGAGGCTGAGGAGGGTGGATAACCTGAGGTTAGGAGTTCAAGACCAACCTGACCAACGTGGTGAAACCCGTCTCTGCTAAAAATATAAAAATTCGCTGGGCATGGGGGCAGGCACCTGCAATCCCAGCTACTCGGGAGGCTGAGGCAGGAGAATCGCTTGGACCTGGAAGGCAGAGGTTGCAGTGAGCTACGATTGCGCCACTGCACTCCAGCCTGGGCGACAGGACCGAAACTCTATCTCAAAAAAAAAAAAAAAAAAGAGAGAGAGAGAGAGAGAACTTTCACTGTCAAAACTTCAAAACCTTATTGAACTGTCAAGCCACACTTTTATTTTCTCTTGCAGTAACTTACAGTGGACAAAACCAAATAAATTAGCATAATGGCTTAGGATGAATTCAGAAAGCTGCCATTAAAATTTATCCTTTAAAAAGCAGTTGACTCTGTACTCTGTGAGTTCTCTAAGTCTTTTACTCACTACACAAGTGTAGGGTTTAGAGTATGAACTGGAATCCCAACTATGATTTGGGGCAGGTTACGGAATACATGTAAATTGCTTAGCATAGAGCCTAGCATAGAGGACACATTCACATCCACTCTAACACATGGCCACAATCCCTGATCCAAAACCGCTGGGCCAGACATGTTTGGAAGTTTAGAAAGGGTTTGGATTTTAAAAAGGTAATGTGGTGCTGAGTGGGATCTAGGTTTTACTGCCAAAGAAGTTATTAAAAAACCTTTTGTTTTCAGACCTTTGGGGATTATCTTAGAATTGTAGGCAATGGATATGCACTTATATTTACCAAGTGTCCATTACATTGCCAAGAACTGGACTAGGTTCTGTTAAGGAAGGTGAATATTATTTCTAATTCTCACAACAACCCTGCAAGGTGTTATGTCCCATAATCTTTTTTTTTTTTTTTTTTTTTTAAAGGACGTAATTGTGGAGGCTGAGTTCCTGTATGCTCTCGATGATTCTGTGGGTTGCTTCTGCATCATTCCCAGAATCCTCTGATTTTCCTGAGCATGTATATGCACAAAAGAGTGCCACAGGGAAGTTAGTGTTGTGTCTGATTTGATTTATAGTCATGTTGGGTTCAACATTAGGTCAAATATCAACCTTTCCATGTGCAGATCCCATCAAAGTAGAAGGTCTATTTTTAAATATGTGTAGGAACAGTTATGCAGAGCTTAGATCAATAAGGTTACGGCATTTTATGATCTTGAGACAGACTCAGAATTACATTTTATGAAACATGCAACTTAGGCCAGGCATGATGGCTCATGCCTATAATCCCAGTACTTTGGGAGGTTGAAGCGGGTGGATCACTTGAGGTCAGGAGTTCAAGACCAGCCTGGCCAACATGGTGAAACCCCATCTCTACTAAAAATATGAAAAATTAGCTGGGCATGGTGGCACACACCTGTAATCCCAGTTATTCGGGAGGCTGATGCAGGAGAATAGCCTAAACCTGGGAGGCAGAGATTGAACTGAGCAGAAATCATGCCACTGCACTCCAGTCTGGGTGACAGAGCTAGACTCCATCTCAAAAGAAAAAAAAGAGAAATATCCACTTTACTGACAAGTAGGAAGGGACATACTCTTCCCAAAGGAAAGATGTCGTTTTTCTTTGTAGGACAGAGCTTCCATCTGTGCTGAAGGTTTTGGAATCAGGGATGGTGTGCAAAGTAAATCTACACAAAAATCATTTGAAAAATGAGGTTTCAGGATGTTCTGGAGGCAGAAGGGCAACATAACACTAATGGGCATTAAGTTTGGGTCTAAACAGGCAGGCTTAAGATTTTTTAAATTTACAAAATATATTTAGCTAAAAGCAATTTCATCACCCAAACTGCAAGCCCCTCTGAGGTAGTTCTGCATAGCCCTTCAGTTACGAAGCTGAGAGGTGAGGATGTCCTACTTAGTAGAGACTTTTCATGGGAAGGTGCCTCTTCCCAAATGAATATTTCCTTTGCATAGACTCTGATGATTGATAATTATTCCAGTTATGCTGCGATAGTTTCAAACAACTAGTTTCTCTTCTGCAGCTGCCGTCACAGCTATGTTTATTAGTAACAGAAGCCAGGTTGTGTTGTTGTTAACGTCATACAATAGAATAACATAACCCTAGCAAATCAACCCTCTCGTAATTCAATGGACTTTCAGCTGTTTAAAGAATATATATATCAAATTCCTTTTCATGGAAAGAAAGTCGAACACTATAGAGATTTTTAAAAAATTGTACATTCACGCCACCTTAATGTAGTTCTAGAATAGGTATTCTAAAGAGTATTCTAAGCAATGGCACTGTTAGGGTAAATGCATAGTCTCTCGAAGTCATGACTTATGAGGGGAGTAATGTTCAGGTGGAGATAGATAGCTGTTTGTTTAAAAAGTAGATCTTAGTCACATTTTATATTTAGACAAGACTGTTCAAAAGCAAATGTTGCCATTTTTCATTAAGGAGGTGAAATGCAGAGAAAAAAGAACCCCTATAAACTCTTGGGTGGGAGGGAAATTAATAGAACTTCTTGGGGGACAATGCGGCAATCTCTATCAAAATTGAAAAGGCACACAACCTTCAATCTAGCAATTCCACCTACAATATTTTATCCTACATATATATATATATATATATATATATATATATATATATATATATATATATATATATTTGTACACATACACTAGACATACATAGAGGGCTGCTCATTGCTGTGTTTATGCTAATAATAGGATAGAAACAATCTAAATGTCCTTAATAAGGAACTTGGTCAATAAATAGTATCATTCTATACAGTCACTAAAAATAATTTGGTAAATCCACATGTACTGCTGTGGAAAGTTTCCCAAGACAGTAATTTTAAAAGGCAATGTCCACATAAAGAAACAAAATAATTTTTTTTTAAAGGCAAGGTAGCAGTATGCTCTATTTTGTCTTCTGTCTTTAAATATACATATACATGCATACAGGTCAAACAATGCTATAACACTACTAGAAGGATTCACAAGAGACTAACAGTGGTTGATTTGGAGACCTGGGGTGGGTAGAAAATTCACTGTATAACCTTTTTATTTGTTTACCTTTTTTTAAACTATGAACTTGTATTCAATTTATAATACAAAAATGTTATTCTCTAACAAGCCTATTATTTTTTCTCTATACACAATGAAGGCTGGAATCCAGATGCCAGATATTCGGAGCATTTTCTGCAGGAAGCTAAATTACTCCACTGGAATGGAAGACATAAACCTTGGGACTTCCCTAGTGTTCACAACGACTTATGGGAAAGCTGGTTTGTTCCTGACCCTGCAGGGATATTTAAACTCAATCACCATAGCTGATATAACTCTACCCTTAAAATATTCCCTGTATAGAAATGTGGAATTGTCCCTTTGTAGCCAACTATAACATTGTTCTTTATGAATATTACCTTTGATACATATGATCCACAATATAAAAACCAAAAACTACTGTGTGCAAATTATACCTTGGACCATATAGGCATTGATTAACTTCTTTAAGTACATGTGATAACTATGGAAATCAAGATTATGTGACTGAAAAACATAAAGGAAGAGACCCATCTAGATAACAGCAATCAACCTGCTTAATTCTGAATGACAATTATATCCACAAATTTTTAAAACTTCTACATGTATTTTTCACATGAAGATCTCCTTAACAGGTTGCCAACCTTTTCTTTTATAAAACTATTACATTTAAAATATGGACGTCTGAAAAATAAAATATTCATCATTTTTATGATTTTTATCATGTTACTATTCTACATGTTAAATATAATAGAAGGTAAACTGACCTCAGGTTTAAAGGGGAAAGAATACCACTCAGTCTTGCTATAGAAAAAGCCCGTAAGTTAAGGATAACAATTCTTAATATCTTTTATTGTAAAAGCCATCAGACTTTCAAATGAATTTTAAAATCTTTCAATATTATTTAATGAAAAAGTCTCACACTGTCATGTATAGGATATATCAACATTTACTACTCATCTGTCATGTTAGGAAAAACATCATTATTACACGCTTGGAAAATCCTCAAACCCATCTCTAGTGGATGTCCGTCATAATTTAAAGGGTATTTTCCCCATTCAAATAAAACAATCTCTTGTAAAGCTACAATAGTTATATACCAAAGCAATACCTAGTTACATGCTTTACACAGTCCCGTGAAAAAATAATTTAATTGCTCCTAATCCCTGATGCAAGGCACTTCAAAGCACCCGCACAAAACGTCCATGTAAACAGCAGTACAGTACATCATTTAAATAACATAAATGACTTTTACACAGCTTGACCTAGGAAAAAATAAAATCCATCATAGCCACAGCTAAAAAGCATGTTAAGATTCACAATAAGAATTTGTTTCTCTTATTATAAAGAGAAGAGCAATCATATAACCTCCTGGGGGTGGGGGAGACCTCATAAATATTTTATATTGATTGACAAAACAGCATGCTCCCTGGGTACGTATGAAATCAGAATATTCAGGAGTAACTGAGAGGATGCAAATAACATTTCTTAGTACCCAGCTTTAATATCTACCAGACCTGGTAGTCTGGATTATTTGTAGCACCATGGAAAACTCATTAGAAAATCACAAAGGTATACACCTCAACCTTTCCATGAGGTTCATTTAATTTATAGTAACAAACAGCAATGATGCAGATAAAGAATCTTTAAAATTATTGGCTTACTGGATTTACCTAGCAAGAAAAATTCTATATTACTTATTTTAGTACATCTCATGTACATAAAGCACCAGTTTAAATGAGAGTATCAAATATCTCCAGCATCTTTTTGCTTAGCCTAGAAGTTCATTTCTTATCACTTTCCATGGCACACTCTTAAAGCCAAGGAAGATAAAACTAGAATGGTTATAAATATGAATGGAGAAATTCAGTTCCTTCCCTATCATATTTACATGTCTCAAGTAAAACACAGATGAGTGGCAAAAGGTCTACTGCATTCTCTGGAACCTGCCACCCCAGAGTAGTTAATTGGCTACTAGAGGATTAACACACAGGGCTGAGCAGGTCAAAGCCAGGGCTCTGTCAGGTAAGGGCCAGTTTTTACTACTGAGCAACTCACAAACACCACTGGTAAAGCAAAGAGGTCTGAGTGTGCATATAGCTCAGGGAACCCTGAGTTTACCCTTAGTTACCACTAAAAACTAACAAATGAGACTCCACTGAGGCTTAACTTCATATACAAAAATCAACACCTTTGCCTCTTTGACAGTGGTAATTATTAGCATGCCCTTCTTAGGTATAAAAGGGATAATGGTATATCTAGGTTTATGCAGTTAAGAATCAACTATAAATATTCAGACTTGTATTTTAAAATTACAGATTAAAAGTGACTCCCAAAAGAAAATCAATTTCTTCATAAATGAAATATAGTATATAAAAAGCTGGAATGATAATTAATTCAAATACAAAAGCTAGTATACAAAAACCCTACTTTTTCTTCCAAACTACTTAGGTTCATACGGTTCACACTACCACACAACTGTTCTACATTACAATTACACCACTAGAGTAAAATACTAATAAAACACTTCAGTTAGCAAACTGAGGTTCTACTTGTTGACAACTGCATTAAAACTGCAGCATTTAAGCAGAGCTGAGAAGCACCATTCTTAAGCATGGCTTTCTTCTTCCTGTTCTTGTGTTCCACAGTGATTACTAAAGGAAGGAATTTGGTCTGTAAATGACTGGGTCATCCACTGCCCATTAGGAATGCCACTGAAAGCTGATTCTCCTCTTAACTCCACGCTCTCAACTGCCAGAAAAGAAAAACAAAGTTAGTTTATGCCATTTAGAAATATTTGCTTTTTTTAAAGTAGAGACTGGGTCTTACTCTATCGCCCAGGCTGGAATGCAGTGGCATGATCACAGCTCTTTGCAGCCTCAAACTCCTGGGCTTGAGTGATCCTCCCATCCTAGCCTCTCAAAGCACTGGGATTACAGGTGTGAGCCACCGTATCAGCTTATTTGAAGTTTTTTTTTTTCTTTTTGAGACGGTGTCTCATTCTGTCACCCAGGCTGGAGTCCAGTGGTGTGATTTCGGCTCACTACAGCCTCTGCCTCCCGGGATCGAGGAGAGGCATATATATTATATATAATGATACTCCTGCCTCAGCCTCCCAAGTAGCTAGGATTATACCTGCCACCATGCTAATTTTTGTATATTTTAGTAGAGATGGGGTTTCACCATGTTGGCCAGGCTGGTCTCGAACTCCTGACCTCAAATGATCCACCCACCTCAGCCTCTCAAACTGCTGGGATTACAGGCGTGAACCACCATGCCCGGCCTGGAAGTTTTAAATGATCAAAGTAGGAGATTTTAACAGTCTAGTGAAGGAGAATTATTATTAAAATAGTTAAGCAAGCTTCCGGAATACAACTGTTAAGTTTCTGTTCTTCAGATACAGGACTCATTTGTTATTAAAGGAGGAAAATGCAACTAGGATGGCCTAGAGTTCATGACTTAAAGAAAATGCACTGTAGGCCGGGTGCGGTGGCTCATGCCTGTAATCCCAGCACTTTTGGAGGCCAAGGTGGGCAGATCACGAGGTCAGGAGATCGAGACCAACCTGGCTAACACGGTGAAACCCTGTCTCTATTAAAAATACAAAAAAAATTAGCCAGGCATCGTGGCGGATGCCTGTAGTCCCAGCTACTCGGGAGGCTGAGGCAGGAGAATGGTGTGAACCCAGGAGGGGGAGCTTGCAGTGAGCCAAGATCGAGCCACTGCACTCTAGCCTGGGTGACACAGCGAGAATCTGTCTCAAAAACAAACAAACAAAAAAGAAAATGTACTGTAAAAGTCTGTGTAATTCAACGTGAAATAACCATCAATTTTTCACTATTAGTCACTAAATAAAATTTCATATTATCATTCCCATTCTTCAATAATTTACTCTCCTTCTATTAAAATTTTCCCCCCAATCCTGACCAAACCGTCTTTGAAAGGAATACACATGTGGAGGGAACCATACTTAGCCCATTTGAAGAGAAGCCACAAGGTTCACTGCTGCATGGATTTTCTCCGTAAGCACCACCATATGCTGCCTCATAACCTGGATCATATTTTTCTTCCTTAACAGCCATCTTCTTTGCATCCTCTGTGAGGAAGGTAAAAAGGATTTAAATCTGATTTTGTACAACAATTTTAAAAGTAGCTTTATTCAGAAATCATGAACAATTCTTTTTCTTGAATATTCATATACACTGAGATACATCTCTATTAATCTTTTAAACTTATAGCATGTACTAAATAAACACATAAGAACTGTAAAAACCGCTTACATTCAACTTTACGTAGGGTACAATATTTCTTACATCCCTCTGCTCTGGCACTCTGCAGGTGAATTATCTGCAGAAGTGCCAGAGTAGAGGGAAGACCTTGGTAAAAGGAGATTTTAACAGTGACTAATATTCATTATCAGAGCACTCTGGCTGCGAATATAATTGTTTTCTTTTTTCCTGCTTTTAAATCCATAAGATACTTTCTGTAATGTGTGTGTGTGTGTGTGTGTGTGTGTGTGTGTGTGTGTGTGTATGTGTCTATATATAGACACACACATATGTATACGCACACAAGTGTATACACACATATATGTATATAGACATACATACTTATGTGTATATATGTATATATACACATGTATATATACACGTGTGCATATATGTGCACACATATGTATATGTGTATATGTATATATGTATATGTGTATATATATGTAAGTATATATGTGTATATATACACACACAAAATGAATAAAAGGAATGAGGACAGTAACATACCTTGGGCAAGCTGTAGGTCAAATGTATATTGCACCTCTTGAACGTCCATATTTCGTTCAATGCCTTTCAACTGATCTCTTAAGTCCTTCAGTTTTATGTAGTAATGAACTTTGTCTTGGGCTCGAGGAAACTGAGCACATCTTGCACTGGATGATGGCATAACATAGCAGAGCTAGAATCACAACATTTTATAATTTCAGAAATCTTATAATTCTATTGAATTCACTCATTGAGATTAGAATATTTGTCTTTATTTGGGTTAATAACTTGATACTTAACTACATATAAATATATGTAAAAATCAATAAAAGTAGTTGCTTTTAAGGTTGAATTTGTAATACTGACTTATTACCAAGTCAGGAAGTGAAAAATAATGAGCCTCCGCCTAATGAGCTGCCTCCTGGGTTCAAGCGATTCTTCTGCCTCAGCCTCCTACGTAGCTGGGATTACAGCGCATGCCACCATGCCTGGCTAATTTTTGTATTTTTTAGTGGAGATGGGGTTTCACCATGTTGGCCAGGCTGGTCTCGAACTCCTAACCTCAGGTGATCCGCCTGCCTCGGCCTCCCAAAGTGCTGGGATTATAGGCATGAGCCACCACGCCCGGCCTCCAAATGGCATGTAACAGAGAATGACACAGTACTCTACAGGAATTTCTCTACAATTCACTACAGGTAGTGAATTTGTACCATTTTAACCAAGCAGACAAAGGTGGGCCTTTATTTAAGCAAAAACCAATGCTATAATAAAACTCATCAATTGCATATTTATAAGAAATTATGAACAAAAACAATTTTAAAGGAGAAATTTAAATATATTTAGGTGGCAGAAACATTTTTAGGTTTCCACAAAAACCTGGCAGCAAATTAGCTTCTCCATCAGTTAAGATGTTGTATATACAACATGTAAATCTGTGCACTGTGTTGTTCTTTAAAAGTTGTAAATAAAACCTAAAACTAAGAAGCAAAATTGGAACCAAATGCCTGCAGAAGCTCTGTAGAGAGGACAATTTGAAAAACACTGTTATTTCATGATGACTTTGTGTATAAGACAACAGTATTGAATGCCAGTTAGGTTGGCTGGAGGCTTGTCTGGGTTGTATTATTTATATGGCTCTAAAATGAAGTTGAGCTAAGATATATAAATGGGGCAACTGGTTTTCCTAATCAGGATCATGTCTGTGTTTCCATGTTTGTTTCACAACAGTACGAGGGCTAAACCATTTGAATTTGACAACTACATGCCATTAAATGTATTCTGAATGTAGTATATGAGCCAGTTCCTCTCAATATTTTCACTGAATAACAACATCAAGACATTTAGCTGACAAATGTTTTTCTTTCTAATAAACCCTAATAGTATTTGAATTAATTTACAACTATTAGTTAAAGCTGATGTATAGGTATTATTCAACAAAATACAGTGTAATTGTTTTGCATGGTATAAATCACAATGGATAGGACAAATAAGGAAATTATCTAGAAAAAAATTCACATTTAGCTGATTTACAAATTCAATTTTAGGGACTTACAGTTTCTGTGTCTGGAATCTTATGGGGCTGAAGCCCAAATTCCAAGTTCTTAACCTTTACTCCAAAAACTTCTTTACTAAAAATTTCATAAATACCTAAAATGAAATACAAACATATTTACATTGCCCATAATGTTAGCAAAGAAAAAAAAAATTTAAAAGTAAATCTTACATTTTCCATTAAACACTGCTATTCGTGGCTGATATTTCTGTAATTTCTGTACTAGAATACGTCCTCCTTCACGAAATTCTTTACTAAAATTGAATTAAAAAGTAGTCAAAAATATAAATATGACAATATTTATAATATGCTAAATTCAGACAGCTTTCAATGAAAGAGCATATTGTACATTTGTTGAGCTCAGCTTGAACTAGATACATATGATGTTCCTAGAATATTTGGGGCACCAGCATACTCAAGGTTCCAACCCATAAAAGCAAATGCTGTGTACTTACCTGGAGAGATCTTTGCTGCCGGGCGTGGTCCTTTCCACCATGTTGGTAAATCCAATACCATACTTCCCTGGTAGAGTGTGATCATCCATATGGTTCAGCTGGACCTCACTGAGCCCTGACATAAACAAACACTTCCCTGTAAAATGAAAATTCAGTTATTTATTTTTTTTTAGACAGGGTCTCGCTCTGTCACCCAGGCTAGAGTGTAGTGGCACGATCATGGCTCAGTGCAGCCTCGACCACCGAGGCTCAAGCAATCCTCCCACTTCAGCCTCCTGAGTGGCTGGAACCCCAGATGCACACCACCACGCCCAGCTAATTTTTGTATTGTTTGTAGACAGGGTTTCACCATGTTGCCCAGGCTGGTCTTGAATTCCTGGGCTCAAGTGATCTTCCCACCTCAGCCTCCAAAATTGCTGGGATTACAGGTGTGAGCCACAGCGCTTGGATTTAATCATCATAATTATCTTGCAAGATACTATTATTATCTCCTTTTCACAGGGGGTTGAGGCAAATGCCTGCCCAAGAATATATAGCAACTCAGTTTAGGAAACTTTGAGACTATTTTGCTTTACAATTGGTGATACCACCACCTCACACGTAAACATACAGCACTAGACTAACAACATTCAAACACCTTGACAGTGAAGAAAGTCAAAAGTCCAAACTTCCCTTAAAAAGGAATTTTTTAAAATAATAGGGACAATATGTTATTATTAGTTCCAAAACCACATTACTATCAGTTGCCCTAAATGTTTTGAATGTTACTATTAGATAATCAATTTCCTGAGCGTATACTGCATACACTGATCTATTAGGCAGTATAAAATAAGATGATTTATATACAAGACAACTTATATAGAGAAGGCAATGCAACAGTAGTTACGCTTGTTTTTTGTTTGTTTTCTTGTTTGTTTTTGTGATACAGGGTCTAGTTCTGTCACCTAGGCTGGAGTGCAGTGGAGTAATTATGGCTAACTGCAGCCTCAACCTCTCAGGCTCAAGCAATTTTCCCAACCCAGCCTCCGTAGTAGCTGGAACTACAGGTGTGCACCACAGCACTCAGCTAATTTTTTATTTATTTTTTTGTAGAAATGAGATCTTGGTATGTTGTACAGGCTAGTCTCAAACTCCTGGCCTCAAGTGATCCTCCTGCTTTGGCCTCCCAAAGTGTTGGGATTACAGGTGTGAGCCACCAGATCCAGCCAACACTTGGTTTTAAAACTTACTCTAAAAATATGAGTCTTTACTACTATTTTATGCTCTGCTAGAAAATAATCACCAGAAATCTGGGAAAGTTAGTATTATGTCTGCACTGCCACAAAGATGTACTATACTATCGTTACTATGCCTATAGATAACAACTTTTAAAAAATCATTTTTAAAAAGTAATACAACTTGGCTGGGCGTTGTAGCTCACGCCTGTAATCCCAGCACTTTGGGAGGCTGAGGTGGGCAGATCACCTGAGGCCGGGAGTTCGAGACCAGCCTGACCAACATGGAGACACCCCGTCTCTACTAAAAATACAAAATTAACCAGGCGTGGTGGTACATGCCTGTAATCCCAGCTACTAGGGAGGCTGAGGCAGGAGAATCACTTGAACCTGGGAGGTGGAGATTGTGGTGAGCCGAGATCGCGCCATTGCACTCCAGTCTGCGCAAAAAGAGCGAAACTCCATCTCAAAAAAAAAAAAAAAAAAAAAAAAAAGTAGTACAACTCATTAGAAACAATTCAAACAAAAGAGAAAGTACTCTTATTCACATCCCTCCATTCTCATAGACTAAAATGTTAACAGTAACATATCATTTCAAACTCTCTTATTTTCACGTACAGACACACACACAGAACATGAAACACGAATGTGTATTTACAGTCTCTTTCTTTTTAAAAACACAATTGGTTTTTCTGAAAAAACCTGTTAACAAAGATACCTAATTTAAAAGTAAATTAATTTAAAAGGTAACCACTTACAAAAATGGTTTCCAGGTCCAGGGTAATGATGCCCTTTGTAAGCAGCCATTAGTCCCGGGTTTATGCCAATCTATAAAACAAAACAATTAGACATTTCATCTTAAAAAGCAGGACCTAAGCCTTAGCGTTTCTATGGAGGAGTGGTGGACAAAATTGAGTTGATTAAAATACAAATTTAATTCAGCATCATAAGCAATATCATTTATCAATTACTACTCTTGATCTGAACAAAGTATTTCATATATGGGAAAGAGATTTTCTTTATTTTAAAAGTTTTGCTGTTATTTTAAAAAACCAGTTTGACTCCTTTATGATCCCAGGCCTCGCACCCTCACCAACTGGGCTGCTTTGAGTCTGGAAAGACAGGTCCTGGAACAATCAATCTGAGCCCATGTCCAGCCACAATTCTGATTCTCAACTTTCAACAAGAAGCTCGCTCCACATCACCTACACAATTGTTCACATGCTGATGTTTCTTACAGTTACTGAGAAAAATAAGAGCTTAAAATTAGTGCTGCCATGTATCAGGTCTCCACAGGCATCATTCAGTTGAAGTGATTCACATGGATTCTCTCATTTACTTGCAACCCTATCGGGGGGTGGTATTATCACCCCTGGTTTATCAATGAGAAAACCGGTGTTTAGAAAGGTTAATAAGACTTATCCAAGATTATACTTGTGACAGGATTTGAACCCAGACAGTCTAAATTTGGAGCCCACCCTCTTAAACACTCTCATATAACACAACCTCATGAAGCTGACACCATTTACCACCAAAAGGATTCTTAGAAATGGTCCTTTTCAGCAAAATGCTATTTGCAAGGACAACTGTTAAGTAAAGCTGATCCCCCAATACTACTTATAAAATCCAACGAGGACAAAGATCTTACAATGACAATGTCCAGATTGAAGGTCAAAATATCGGGGAGAGTCTTGGTCAGAAGTTCAGCTTCTGAAACACCATTAAAACGGTCTACTTTTCTTTTTACTTTAAATGTGTCTGTAATTTTTTCTTGTTTTTCTTTTGATTTTGCAGACTTGCCAGATTTTTTTGACTCAACAGGTTTTTTGGGTTCCACTGGTTGTTTTGGTTCTGTTGTTCTGGGTTTTCTTTTTCTTCCTTTTGGAGCCTCTGAAATACAAATAATTTCCAGAAATGCAGAAAATCTTAACTTAGAAACTTTAGCAGCTTTCCCAGAAAAGTTACCCAACTAGCACCTTTTGTACCTGTCTCCCCAAAATTAAGCTCTTACAGTCCCAACATGAGTCTCCTCTGCAATATCTTCCCTTTCTTTCTCCCTAGAACTGGGTTCGTGCAACCCCCCATGCCACTCTCCTTCCCCTGCTAGCTGTTCGTGGGAAGAATAATCATAGACTATTATTTTCGACACAGTATTACTTGGCATCTTAACCTCCTCAAGGATACAAAGTATCTACATATCATTTTATATAAATTCTAAATGTAAATACATAAATAATTAAATAAGAACAGAAAAATAGAGAAACAGGAAGGAAGGGAAACATTTTAACTCAACTTCCCCAGTAGAAAACCACAAATGGGCCAGGTATGGTGGCTCATGTCTGTAATCCCAGCACTTTGGGAGGCCAAGGCAGGCAGATCACCTGACGTCAGGAGTTCAAGACCAGCCTGGCCAACATGGTGAAACCCCCGTCTTTACTAAAAATACAAAAATTAGCCAGGCATGGTGTCGTGCACCTGTAATTCCAACTACTCGGGAAGCTGAGGCAGGAGAATTGCTTGAACCCAAGAGGTGGAGGTTGCAGTGAGCTGAGATCATGCCTCTGCATTCCAGCCTGGGCAACAGAGCAAGACTCTGTCCAAAAAAAAAAAAGAAAGAAAAAAGAAAAACACAATGGCTTGTGGGCTTGTTTTAGAGATGAGGTGTATATTCTGTTCCATACATAGTTGAAGAGGGGAATTTAGGGGTGCCCAGGATGACATCTCTGGGCTGGCAGTATTTTTCAAAAGGCAAGAGGAGGGATCCAACCTCAGGACGTAAAGCAGTTTCTCAGCCTCCACACTATTGACATTTTAGGTTGCATAATTTTTTGTTGTGGGTGGCTGTACTGCACATTACAGAATGTTTAATAGCACCCCTGATCTCTACCCACTAGATGCCAGTAGTAACCTGCCAGTCTTGATCATCAAAAGTGTCTTCAGACAATGTCAAATGTCCCTTGGGAGGGCAAAATCACCCTTGATTGAAAACCACTGACCTATAGTTACCCAACAGGAAGCCCTGATTTTCTTACCCTTAATTATTTAACATTTCTCCTAACTACTCAGGCTTCTACCCTATTCTACTCCTCTTTGGCGTTTCCCCAATCAAGCCTCGCAGGATACAGGCAGTCAGTCCCTCCTCTCTTCTGCCTCACATTGTCTTAGCCACTCCCTATGCCAACAGATCCACCATCACTGGCATGTAGCTGGGGAAGTCCTAATGCGGAGGCAGAGTTATTAGATGTGTTCCTGCAATCATAAACCAAAACCCTGAGCACATTTCTCATAAAATACTGTTACACTGGAGAAAATCATTAACTTCTCTCCAACCACTCTCCCACCCCTGGAACCTATTATTTTCTTCTAATTCTCTGTCTTGGTGAGTGGCACCTCCTCCAACCAAATGCCAATGCCAGAAACCTGGTAGTTACTTCTGGACTCCCCTTTCTCCCCCACTATCCTGCCATGCTCCCCCCAAACACATGAAACCCATTAGCCATGGCTAGGTAATTCTACCTCCTAAGTGTTTCCTAATTCTTTCTCCACCCCTTCAGGTCCTCCTCAGTGCTCCCCTAGATTATTCAAACAGTGTCTCTAATCCATCTAATCCACTCCTTGACTCCAAGTTTTGTTTTTGTTTTTGTTTTTGTTTTTGTTTTTGAGACAGAGTCTCGCACTATTGCCCAGCTGGAGTGCAGTGGTGCAATCTTGGCTCACTGCAGCCTCTCAGCCTCCGCCTCCAGGATTCAAGCAATTCTCGTGCCTCAGCCTCCCCAGTAGCTGGAATCACAGGTGTGCGCCACCATGCCCGGCTAATTTGTGTGAGGCAGGGTTTTGCCATGTTCGCCAGGCTGGTCATGAACTCCTGACCTCAGGTGATCTACCCGCCTCAGCCTTCCAAAGTGCAGGGATTACAGGTATGAGCCACTGTGCCCGGCCTGCCTCCAAGTTCCGACTTGTTGTCTACCAACCAATCTATCTTCTCTAATATTTCCAGGCTAATTTGTAAAGCACCAGTCAAGTAAGTCATCCCTTGCTTACATTCTCTCAACAGCTCCCTATTGCCTTCATGATAGAATATAAATTCTTTGGGATTAAAAAACAAGTTTCAACTGTCCCCATCCAGCCTCACCTCTCACCATTTCCTTGTTATATCCCAGACTCCAAGGACACAGAATTGCTCTGTTTCTGGCCATGCCATGCTTGTGTGTGTCTGTACCCAGCCTGTATAGCTCCCTCAGCCTGGACATGTCCCTACTCTGATCTTTATCGGGATGAAGCCTCCACATTGTTGGAGTTTCAGAGCCCTGGTGTTATTTCTCTGCTCTGGGAAGCAGCCTCTGAGCCATCAGTCTGAGTTAGAAGCCAACCCCATAAGCTTTCAGGGCATTCATTCTATGCCCCTCTTCACTACAAACTGTGCTGAGCTGTAACGTGTATTTACTTATTACTTTTCTCTACTAGATTATGAGATATTTTTGGGCAGGACCCATGTTCTTTTATTCCCCAGAACCTATCAGTGCTTAGCACATACTAAGTACTTAAAAAGTGGATTTGACTTTTTAACACTAAAATAGAGCTAAAATTCACCATGAAACCCTTTCTCAAATAAGCTGGCTGATCCGATGTTGAACTTTCTAAGCTCTCATGGTGAAACTACCTTGCACTGGTTCCTGAGCAGGAGCTGGGGCTGGAACTTCTTCTGGCATTTGCTGTTCATTCACAACTGCCATATTAGGAGCTTCAGCCATCAGTTGTTGAAATGGAAACGTATAAAAAGCTTGAGCTTGCTGAAGGGAATAGCTGAAAGAATAATGAAGCATGAGATGTAATGATAAAATTACCCAAATGTAAATCCAAATGATCAGCTGTACAAAAATCTTCAGTACAGTATTAAGTATTTTGTAACCAGACTGAAGTATTTATTTAGAGTGGATTACAGAGGAGAGATCTAGTCCTGTATGTACATGTTCACCAACCTTTACTGAGTGCTTAATAACCAACCATTAACTCTTGCACTGTTTAAATGATAAGATGTGTCACTGATAAAACTGATCAGTCCTGTCAAGTCAGCCCATACTTTCTCTGAAATAAGATTTGAGGGAGTTTTCTAGTAGACAGACTTGAAAGGTCTATCAACCCATACAGGGTTAAGATGTCCCCAAATACAATTTGTGCCCCTACTTTCCTTCAGTATTTAATCACCTGAAGATCCCCTCCAATCTAATTAAGATTCTCTTTTAGTTTATTTTTATTTGCCTGTTTACTTATTTTTTCATTAGTTTGTGTGTGTGTGTGTGTGTGTGTGTGTGGGGAGACAGGGTCTCCCTCTGTCACCCAGGTTGGAGTGCAGTAGTGTGATCTTGGTTCACTGTTACTTCTGAGGTGGGAGATCTCAAGTGATCCTCCCACCTCAGCCTCCCAAGTAGCTGGGACTACAGGAGCGAGCCCCAATGCCTGGCTAATTTTTGTAATTTTTGTCTAGACAGGGTTTTGCCATGTTGGCCAGGCTGGTCTTGAACTTCTGAGCTCAAGAGATCTGCCCATCTCAGTTTCCCCAAGTGCTAGGATTACAGATGTGAGCCACTGCACCCAGGCCTATATTTGATTTTTATTGATGGTGGTATTTTTGTTTTGTTGGGGCTAGGGCTTTTTTTTTTTGCCACTGCTATGGTTTGAATGTGTCCCCCAAAGTTCACGTGTTGAAAACTAAATCCCCAATGCAAGTGTTGAGAGGTAGGACCTTTATGAGGTGACAAGGCCGGGCACAGTGGCTCACACCTGTAAACCCAGCACTTTGGGAGGCCGAGGAGGGTAGATCACCTGAGGTCAGGAGTTTATAACCAGCCTGACCAACATGGCAAAACCCCGCCTCTACTAAAAATATAAAAATTAGCCGGGCACAGTGGCATGCACCTGAAGTCCCAGATACTTGGGAGGCTGAGGCAGGAGAACTGTTTGAGCCTGGAAGGTGGAGGTTTAAGTGAGCTGAGATTGTACCACTGCACTCCAGCCTGGGTGACAGAGCAAGATTCTGTCTCAAAAGAAAAAAAAAATGGTGATTAGGTCAAGAGGAGGGCTCTGCCTTCAGGAGTGGGTTAATGCTATTATCACAGGAGAGGGTTCCTGATAACACGATGAGTGGATGAGTTCAACTCCCTTTCCTATCTCTCTGTCACAAGTGCTGCCTCACTGTGTGATTCCTTCTGCCATTTTATGACGCAGCAAGAAGCCCCTCATCAGATGTAGCCCCTCCATCTTGGACTTCCCAGGCTCCAGAAGTAGGAGCCAAAAAAACCTCTACTGTTTATTAATTGCCCAGTCTATGGCATTCTGAAACAGCAACACAAAATAGATTCAGTCACTAAAGAGAAACATGAAATGGATATTTTGTAAACATGTGTTGAATTTATGAAGGAAAAAACCTCTAAACCTCTCTTCTGAACACGATTTAAATTTTGTTCAAAGTATTCTGTTCAAAGGAAACAATGTGGGCTTTCAAAGAAAACAATTAAAAAAAATACTTCTCATGGCCTTAAACCACTATCTCATGGTGTTGCTGTTAGCATAAAACCAGAGAAGTAAACACATATTTGATGAAACTCAAGTTACAGCAAATGCCAAATAATGCCATTAAATAGGCAGGAGAAGAAAAACAGTAGAAAATAAAATGGAAAAGTTTGCTTTACTATTTGGAGAGGAAAGTCATGTTTTCTTTTTCTTTTTCTTTTTTTTTTTTTTTTTTTGAGACGGAGTCTCGCCCTGTCGCCCAGGCTGGAGTGTGGTGGCGCGATCTTGGCTCACTGCAAGCTCCGCCTCCCGGGTTCACGCCATTCTCCTGCCTCAGCCTCCCGAGTAGCTGGGACTACAGGCGCCCCCACCACCACACCCAGCTAATTTTTTTTTATATTTTTAGTAGAGACAGGGTTTCACCGTGTTAGCCAGGATGGTCTCAATCTCCTGACCTCGCGATCCACCCGCCTCAGCCTCCCAAAGTGCTGGGATTATAGGCATGAGCCACCGCGCCCAGCGAAAGTCATGTTTTCTACTGCAAGATACTATACTAATCAGTTTTCATTCTCTATGATATTCATTGAAAGAGAACAGGAAGCTCAGAAAGCAGATTAAAAAGGGAAATGAGGCCAGGCACGGTGGCTTATGTCTGTAATCCTAGTGCTTTGGGAGGGCAAGGCGGGAGGATCACTTGAGGCCAGGAATTCAAGAGTGGCCGGGGCAATATAGCAAGATCGCCACCTCCACAAAAAAATTTTAAAACATTAGCTGGGCATGGTGGTACATGCTGACAGCCCCAGCTGCTCAGGAGGGTGAGGCAGGAGGATTGCCTGAGTCTAGGAGTTCAAGGTTACAGTGAGCGATGATCACACTGCTGCACCCCAGCCTGGGGGACAGAACGAGACTCTGCCTCAATAACAACAACAACAACAACAAAAGAGGGCAAATGAGTACACTTTAAATGGATGAACTATGTAGTATGTAAATCATATCTCAATAAAATGGTTAACAGGAAAAAAAAAAGGCAAACTAAAGCATTTCCTGGATAAGCTTAAATGGCCTGGGGAAACAAAGGATAACAGACCACCCCCAGCGGCTGGGCTAAATGTTGGCAGCTCAAGATAAACAGAAGCCCAATCCCAATGGACAAACCACTGGAGAGGCATTTCCACTTCCAGCTATCTTTAAGGGTAGGTTGGTAAAGCAAAGATTAAGAATGAGTGAGAAAGAGATTAACCTGTATCATAAGAGTTTTATTTCTTTTATTGTTCACAAATTAAATAAAAATAAAGTTATGACTTAGTAAACTACAATACATTAACATGAGAAAATACTATGCAGCTAAAAAATTAAGTTTATTTATCTTATGTAAAAGAACAGGAAAGAGTTTATATATATTTTAAAACAGAAAAGAATACAAAATAGTATAACTAAGGCTACACATAAGGGAAAATATGTAGACAGGGACTAGAAGTTAAGATGTAGAACTATGCTTAGAAGCATACCTGGCACAAAGTAAAATGTCCTTTTTTTCCATAGTTTTATTTAATATTATTAGTAGCTCTATGCAATAAATTGTTAAAATATTGGTTGTTCAACATTCATGATTTAAATATTCTAATGATGAGTTGGATATGGCTAGGTTAGATCTGGAAGTCTTGAGCAGTGGTCCTATGGCAATTCTAACTAAAGAAACTGCAAGTTCTGACTGTGGTCAGCGGCAGCTTCCCGAGATTCTAATAGCACCTTGATTTAGCTTGAATATATAGAAACAAAGGCATATGGTGACAATAAATGAGCGAGCAAAAGAATGCATGAGATGTGGCTGGGTGCAGTGGCTCACGCCTGTAATCTCGGCGCTTTGGGAGGTCAAGGCGGGCGGATCACCTGAGGTCAGGAGTTCAAGACCAGCCCGACCAACATGCAGAAACCCTGTCTCTACTAAAAACACAAAATTAGCTGGGTGTGGTGGCGCATGCCTGTAATCCCAGCTAGTTCAGGATGCTGAGGTAGGAGAATCGCTTGAACCCAGGAGGTGGAGGTTGTGGTGAGCCGAGATGATGCCATTGCACTCCAGCCTGGACAACAAGAGCGAAACTCCGTCTCAAAAAAAAAAAAAAATGTATGAAACGTGTTTTTACTCTGTCACATGGTCAGGAAGGCAATCTACCTACCACTCTCCCATGTTTCTTACTACTACTCTCAGAATTTCACATGTCCCATTTTGAGCACTTCATGAAAATGCAAACTGAAAATACATAAATTAGGGAGACACCGTTCACATTACAACAGGATTCTTTACTTTAAAAAAATTTTTCAAAACTTTTAGTATAGTCGGAGGTCATTAATCATCTTCAGAAATTCTGGGGTTCAGAAGCTGAAAATCAAAATTCTAGAAATCACAGTTGGCTGAATAAAAAGTGAAAAATAAAGAGGAAAAATAATCTGAACTTTTATATTAGGTATATCAAGTTTGAAAGAAACCTAGAAACTTATCTATAATAATGAAATATCCCTTAATCTTTCTAAAAATGGACTGTGGCATTTTACAAAAAGTTAAATTAGAACAGGTAAAGGAAAATAAACCTATGGAAAATCAAATGTGTTAGTTCTGAGGAATACACTATCTTCGAGCATTAAACTTAGTTTGTTTACCTCAACAGCTGCCTAAAAGCCAGAATAAAAGATGGTGGATTACAACATTCTTATTCCTTGGCAGAAGCAAGCATTACATCTACACAAAAATCTTCATAAACTTGAATGCTAGTTAACTAAACAGTTCTGGATAACTGGCCGGAAACAGTGGCTCACGCCTGTAATCCCAGCACTTTGGGAGGCCGAGGGGGTTGGATCACGAGGTTAGGAGTTCGAGACCGGCCTGGCCAACATGGTGAAACCCCATCTCTACTAAAAATACAAAACTTAGTCAGGCGTCGTGGCATGCGCCTGTAATCCTAAATACAGGGAAGGCTGAGGCAGGAGAATTGCTTGAACTAGGGAGGCGGAGGCTGCAGTAAGCCAAGATCGTACCACTGTACTCCAGCCTGGGCGACAGAGCAAGACTCTGTCTAAAAAAAAAAGGGGGGTTCTGGATAATTTTATCTTCTATTATAATAACAACTAAATGTATAAGCAGCATAAACCTGTTTCAACCTCAGTGTGAGGATATTTCTTAAATACATTTGTGTATGCATAATGATCGTTGCTACTTTATAATCCAGAACTCTGCAATGTTTCTGAGCAATAACTCTATGAGAAGGACAGTAACAAAGAGCATTTAGTCATTTATCCTCTCGGGGTATCCATTCCCTCACCATGAAAATGAGGAATTAGATTCAGTGATTTCTACATATGTGGACAATGTATAGGAAATAGGACTAGATCTGTCTAGACTCAAAACAGACCCCAAAGACTTTCTACTTTGTATAACTTCCTGATGTTAAACTTACAAGCACGATTGATTTTATTTCTCTTCGTTCACTTTTCTTCCCCCATCATTTATCTTAGTCTCAAATATTCTTCACTACCTCTCACTCTCCCTCATTTTCCTGTTTACCCCTTTTTCTCTGCTAGCCTCCATTTGCACTTACCTTCTGTTGAACTGCAGCGCTCATAGATTGTTTTTCTGTTGTTTTTTGTTTGTTTGGTTTTTGAGACAGAGTCTCGCTCTGTCACCCAGGCTGGAGTGCAATGGCATGATCTCGGCTCACTGCAACCTCTGCCTCCTGGGTTCAAGTGATTCTCCTGCCTCAGCCTCCTGAGTAGCTGGGATTACAGGCACCTACACCGGGCTAATTTTTGTATTTTTAGTAGAGACAGGGTTTCACCATGTTGGTCAGGCTGGTGTCAAACTCCTGACCTCACGATCTGCCCGCCTTAGCTTCCCCAAAGTGCTGGGATTACAGGTGTGAGCCACTGTGTCCGGCTAGATTGTTTTCTTATAGCTGCCTGGAACTGATGAATTGTGTACAGTCATCCTTTAGTTACTAATCAATCTTTCTAAAAATGGACTGTGGTATGTACCTAGTTTTGCATACATGGGGGACTGGTTGTAGAACCCCTCACAGACACCAATATCTAAGGATGCTCAAGTCGCTTGATATAAAATGGCATAGTATTTGTATATAACCTATGCAGATCCTCCCATATACTTTAGATAATCTTTACATTATTTATAATACCTAATACAATGTAAATGCTATGTAAGTAGCTGTCATCCTGCATTCTTTTTATCTGTATCATTTTTTAATGTTGTTATTTGTCTTTTTTTTTCCCAAATAATTTCAATCCACAGTTGGTTGAATTCTTAGATGCAGAATCCATAGATATGGAAGGTCGACTATATTTTCTGATAGTCTTTCTCAAAACACACATACACACACTCCACGCATAGAGTTCATTAAGAAGTCCAGTTAATTCAGATTTGCTATTTTTTTATTTTTTTAATTATTTTTTTTTTAAGAGATGGGGTCTCACTCTGTCACCCATGCTGGAGTGCAGTGGCATGATCATAGTTGGCTGCAGCCTCCAACTCCTGGGCTCAAGTGATCCTCCTGCCTCAGCCTCCTGAGTAGCTAGGACTACAGGCACACACCACCATGCCTAGCTAGATTTGCTGTATTTCAAAAAACTAAATTTTTAAGGTTTTCTCTAAAATTAATGACTCCAACTTCTTTTATCTTCAATTATTTTACACTATTTTAGGGATTTAAGTTGCTTTTTTCTTTTTTAAGAGACAGGGTCTGGCTGCCACCCAGGCTGGAGTGCAGTGGTGCTATCATAGCTCACAGTAACCACACACACCTGGGCTCAGACAATCCTCTCACCTCAGTCTCCTGAGCAGCTGGGACTACAGGTACATGCATCTATGCCTGGCTAAATTTTAAATTTTTTGTAGAGATGGGGCTTCACTATGTTGCCCAGGCTAGTCTTGAACTTCTGGTCTCAAGTGATCCTCCCACCTTGGCCTCCCAAAGTGCTGGGATTACAGGTGTGAGCCACTGCACCCAGCCTAAGTTGCTATTTTCTAAATACATTTTATTATCTTCACTTAAAAAAAGCATATACCATACTGAATACTTACAAAATAATGAACAAGGCTAAATAATCCAAATGCTCAACTAAAGGGGTCTGGTTATGTAAATTATGATGCGATAGCACCATAACTATTATTCCATTTGGTATTGCTAGATGGAGGTCTGTGTATTCACCATATGTACAGTCTACTAGAAACTGTAAATATAAAGATTTAGAATAAGCCAGTCCTCATACAGTATTCCTCAAATAGTATAATTCCTCATGTAGTATGATTTCAAATTTCTTCATTTTTTGGTGCTCGGAATCAAACAAAACTCCAGATAAAGCCTCATCAGCCCGAAAATGAGCAGGGCTACCAACTTGCTCATTTTGGAGACAAACTGCAGAACCCATGACACTAGCTATACTGGCACCCACATTATACTGTTGATTCACACTGAGTTTCCCATCAACGAACACTGTCCTTGTATCACTTCTCCCTCATTCCACACTTTATCACTGATTTTTCTGCAGCTGAGTATAGGATTGTGCCTCTTCTTTGTAAAAGATGATTCACCATTCCAGTCAGTCAGGATTTATCTGGACTCTGATTAAATCAATCAGTTAATTCCACAAATTCCTCCCAGGCTTGGGTCACTCACAAATTTTATCACCATGCCATCAGCACCCTGACGTTAAGGTACTGAAAGGAACAAAGTTAGGGATAGAGATACATGGCATATAAGTACAGACCTCTCTTCAGTCTGCCTGATTCTTTCAGTAGTAAGTCAGGTTTTTATTTCACCTAACTGGATTGCCATCAGTCCATCTCCATCTTGCTCACTAAGAGAGGCAGTAAAGCACATTTGCTAGCTAGAGAAGCAGACTTTGAAGCTAGGTCATCTGGATTCAAATTTCAGCTCTCCCATTTACTAGCTCTGTGGGCAAGTTCCTTAATCTCTTTATGCCCATGCTTCCACATCTGTAAAATGGGAATAGTACCTAATAATTGGTTAGGAGCATTAAGCTAGTTGGCCTATGTAAAACATCCAAAACAGTACCTGGTATATAATAAATTTGCTATAATAATGACTACTGTAGGTACCTCCTGCCAGCATCCTTCTGATGCTGCCTGTCTAGTATAGGTCTTGCTTTCTTTCTGAACTGATACTGTAGTGTAGTGGTCACTAGTTATGCCACCATGCCCAGCTAATTTTGTATTTTTAGTAGAGACGGGGTTTCACCATATTGGCCAGGCTGGTCTTGAACTCCTGACTTCAGGTGATCCACTTGCCTTGGCCTCCCAAAGTGCTGGGATTACAGGCGTCAGCCACTGTGCCCGGTCAATTAGTTTCTTTTAAAAATGCTCAGTAACCATTGATTAAGTAAAAATTTTGTTCAGGATCAATGTCAACAGAGGACAGACTCCACCTCTGGAAGAACAGGAACCCACGTGTTTATTTCCAGGTCCCTTACATTTGCTACAAATCCTCTAACACTGCTTTAATCTGGCCTCTCCCTTGAAACACAACACACGCAGGCCAAGGCATATGATTCTGTTAGAACACCTGAAACTTCTCCTAAATGCCTTCACTGGTCTTGAGCTTTAAGTCTTACAGATATTCATTCTGCCATTTCCAGTCAGACAATCATTTTGCTAACATAGGAGATGTAAAATCCAAATCAGAACAAAGTACTTAGGTGTTCTGTTGTCTGCTGCCACCATGCCAGTAGACTGGGGAGAAAACCCAAATCTTTTTTATTCTTCTTGTTGTCAACATCTAACCAAAACAGTCCTTCCTGGTCTCCTTAACATTTCTATAAAGTCTACTCTCATGCAAGGGTTAATCTTTCCTGTTGGTATTCTTAGTGGTCCATGCTACTCTCTTCCAGTTACTTTTGATTTGGCATCCTATTTTCCATCTTCGGTAAATGTCTTTTTCACGCCTGAGGTCACGGGAAACTCCCCAGTACCCTTAGAAAATTCCTCCTTTATTCCTCTCTGGTTGATTGACTGTAAGCACTTTCTAAGACTCCTGAACTATTTTGCCATTGAAATAAAGTCTAGGCTGGGCGCTTTGGCTCATGCTTGTAATCCCAGCACTTTGGGAGGCCAAAGTGATCACTTGAAGCCAGGAGTTCAAGACCCGCCTGGCCAAAATGGTGAAACCTCGTCTCTGCTAAATATACAAAAAATTAGCTGGGCGTGGTGTTGGGTACCTGTAGTCCCAGATGCTTGGGAGGCTGAGGCATGAGAATCGCTTAAACTCGGGAAGCAGAGGTTGCAGTGAACGGTGATCGCACCACTGTACTCCATCTTGGGCAACAGAGTGAAACTCTGTCTCAAAAAAAAAAAAAAACAAAAAAAAAAGTCTGTATTCATGGAATTTGAATTTTCTTCTTTGAATATCTGAAATTAGTCTTCTAAAAAAGTCGGCTGGGCCCGGTGGCTCACATTTGTAATCCTAGCACTTTGGGAGGCCGAGGCAGGTGGATCACTTGAGGGCAAGAGTTCAAGACCAGCCTGGCCAACATGGTGAAACCCTGTCTCTACTAAAAATACAAAAATTAGCCAGGCCTGGTGGCAGGTGCCTGTAATCCCAGCTACTTGGGAGGCTGCAGCGGGAGAATCGCTTGAACCCGGGTGATGGAGGTTGCAGTGAGCCAAGATCCGCCACTGCACTCCAGCCTGGGCAACAGAGCAAGGCTCTGTCTCAAAAAAAAAAAAAAAAAAAGTAAATTTATTTTTTTTCACATCCCACATTACATTTCTTGATTAGCACAGTCAAGGGTGACAGAGAACTACTCTCTTAAGGATTACCTGGGGTCTGAGTCATTTCAGAAGATTACACAGAATTTTCCACAGTTCCTGAAGGTGAAAGCTTTTCAAGGCAAAATAAAATCTGGTCTATAGCCTTTTGGATGAAGTCAGGCCGACATATCACAGCTTTGAGCTAAACAGTGTATTGAAGTCCTACTATTTTGCTGTAAGACCCTGAATAAAGTCTTACAATGTGTAATTTATTCTTGGCCCAAGTTTCAATTCTGCTCTTAAGTGAGGTTATGAGAGAGAGATTTCCACAAATTCTGGTGAATTCTCTTATTTGTAAAGTTCTTCTGGGAAAGAAGTGGAGTAATTTATTCCAGGACTTGATCCACAAAGTCAAGATAAAGTCCACACTTTGTCTACATATATCTCTTTTCCTAAGCTCTAATTTATTTTGGTTAGTGTGCCCTTTCATGTAACACCAATTCTCGGCATGTCAGAATCAGATTCCAGACATGCCAACTTTACAGACATGAACAGGCCCATATAAGTCCCTTGTATTGCCTAAATTCAGCTCCCATTAGCCACTGAGAGTCAGGATAATTCTTCATTAGGCATAGGTTTTTTTCCTTTTAATTTCAATGTAAATCATCACTCTTTATCTTTTAAAAAACTGTCACCATATCCATTTTTTAAAAATTTAGTCTTCCGCCAGGAGTTCAAGTCCCTAAATCTCCTGCTTTTGCAAATTTTTCTCTTGACTCCCCCAAAGGACTTTTTAAAAACGGATTCTTAAGATCGTCCCCAAGGCCACTGGAAAACTCAAAGGTCATTTTTAGATTGACTACTCGAGAGTGTATACATATGCCCACAACAAAATTATCTAACCCGTGACCCTTAAAGTTGCTTTCAGTAGGCCTTTGGGGTGGGGGGAAGCCGCAACAAATCAACCAACTTTAAAATGAAAACTCCTGGAGCTGGAAATGTTCGACACTCATCTTTACAGCTCTCTGCGTGGTAATGGAGGGTGACGGAAAACCCTTCTAGCCAAGAATGGCATCCAGAAAGACACATTAACCAAAGACT
Organism: Homo sapiens; assembly: GCF_000001405.40. Classification (NCBI taxonomy): domain Eukaryota; kingdom Metazoa; phylum Chordata; class Mammalia; order Primates; family Hominidae; genus Homo; species Homo sapiens. Next base: position 103,966,338 of record NC_000012.12, on the reverse strand, counting down.
GCTGAATGCTTACTAATATATTTTATAGTCAACTGGTTATCGCGGGGAACCAAAGAAGGGTCCAGGTGCACCAGGTAACCCTCAGAGCAGCCCCGACCTCCACCACCACCGCCGCAGCCAGGGAAGGAAAGGCCGACCAGGCCACAGTGCGCACGCGCGGCCCCGGCCTTTGTATTCCGGCCGGGATTTAAAAGACCCCTGCGTGCGCGCGCGCGCGCCAGCCAGCCTGCCCAGCAGTGAGGGGCGCAAGGGAGGGGCGGCGCTGGCCCCGGTATTACCTGCCCGCGTTCTCCGCTTCCATTCCCCGAGGCCGCTGATGCGGGCGGCTCCACCTGCCGGGCACACGGGCAGCCGGTCTCTGTAGTACCGCGTGGTACTCACTGCGGTAAGACAACCCCAGAGACCTGGGCCCGATGGCTGGCAGTACCCAGACAGTGGCTGGACTCAAGCTCCTCCTCCAGGCTTCTACCGTCCCCCACGGACCCCCTTTCTGTGCTGCACTTCCGCCTCCTCGGAGCCAAATCCCACGCGTACTGGCCGTCACGTGATGTAGGACAGCCCAATCACGCTCACCCCCTTCTCGTTGGCGCCCCAGCTCCGCCGCTTGGCCTTTCGGGAAGGGTGGAGGACCAGAAGACGGGGACTAGGAGCGCTCTGCCGACGTCAGCTTTTGTCTCCAGTATTTTCGGGGGCTGGTGGACGCGTGGGCGATAGGGTGCTGTCCTTGGGGTGCTGTGTATATGGGATGATGACGCTTATCAGCATTATCTAGTCCTTTCCACCCCGAAATTCGCCCCGATTAAAGACTGTGTTGCATTATCAGGTAATGAGATGTGAGGGAGGGTCTTTGAAAGTGGAAAACCTGGGCGTCGAGGCCACTGTGCCATCTTGGGCCTCAGTTTCCTTATCTGTGAAATGAGGGTGAATGTAAAGCTGCTATGTAAAATGTAAAGCTCTACATAAACCACTCTCCGCATTACTTTGGATATATGAGAATATTAACGTTTGACGTCTACGAGACTAGATCCCATTCGAGCATCACCTCCCATAACCTTACAGACTAACCCCTCTTTTAAATCTCAGTGGTTCGTAATCTTACAGACTAACCCCTCTTTTATGTCTCAGTGGTTCTTGCAGCTGGCTTTTGTTTCATTAGTTCTCAATTTCTGTCACTGGTGTTTGTACTTTATTAAGGAACTCTTAATGGAATAGGCTTTTGGGTTTTTCTAGTTTGCAGGATGATGAAAAACATGGCTGCTGTATTTGTTGGCTTTCCTGAGTTTATTCATATAGTAACAGGTAACTCCAAACCTTCAGTGGTTTACAGCCACAGAAGTTTATTTCTCACTCACGTGATCTGTGAGCTGGGAGATGGCTGTGGCTCTGTGCTCCATGTATTTTCTTCATTCTAGGATCCAGGCTTTCGTGAGTAAATACAGAAAGATTTTTGTAATATATCAACTGTTTAAAGTTTGAGTGAAACGTTTAAAACAGTACAGAACTTTTATGAATACCCTGTCCATTAGTAGACACTACTCAGAACCTGGCACATGGTAAATATTCAATGAATATATGTTGAGTGAATGAAAAAAGCCCATCCTCTCTGATTTTGCCAATGGCTCAGGACCATCGTCTAGAAAAGTCTTACAGCAGGTGGCTTGCCTCAGTTATTTCAGGGCATCCAGAAAGACACATTAACCAAAGACTGCTGAATGCTTTGGGAGAGAATTCTGGTGACTGAAAATGTGTGTGAAGAGAGTAAACTTTTCTCAGGATGTCTGCACTCGGGGAATTACCCTTGGCAGCAAGGGCTTCTCTCACTGTGGGTTGCTGTGCTGGGTCCTGCCAGCTCCATTCATAACCTCAAGAGACCAGGGTCCTCTGCCCAATCTTGCATGGCAAAAGAAAGTTAACGTGAGGAGGCCGGGCGTGGTGGCTCATGCCTGTAATCCCAGCACTTTGGGAGGCCGAGGCGGGTGGATCACCTGAGGTCAGGAGTTGGAGACCCACCTGGCCAACATGTCGAAACCCCATCTCTGTCACCTGTAGTCCCAGCTACTCGGGAGGCTGAGGTGGGAGAATCGCTTGAACCAGGGAGGCAGAGGTTGCAGTGAGCTGAGATCGAACCACTGCCCTCCAGCCTGGGCTACAGAGTGAGACTCCGTCTCAAAAAAAAAAAAAAAAAAAAAAAAAAAAAAAAAAAAAAAGCTTATGGGAGGAGTTGTCGGTGAGGACACTGAACCTAAAAATGGTGAAGCAGTTGCAGCAAACTGGCTTTTATCCCATCAGTGTCTCTCTCTCAACATCCTGCATCTGAGTCTGGAAGACAAACTTTTTCTGCTTGTGAACCTGGCCCACCAGAGCTTTTAGCAATCTGGAAACAGAACTGGGAACTTCCTTGTAAACTTCCTGAAGATTGATAAATGACATCTATAAAAAAAAAAACAATTTGTCTTTGTTCATTGCTCTGGTGCTGGTTTATGTAGAAAATCCTGTGGAACCTACAAAAAACCTAGTACAGCTAATAGGTGAGATTCGCAAGGTTGCAAGATAAAATATCAATATAGGAAGATCAATTGTAATTTATGTACTAACAACAAACAATTAGAAAAAATACCATTCACAATAGCATCAAAAATATGAAATATTTAAGGATAGAGCTGACAAAAGACGCAAGATTTCTATCATAAAAAGTGAAAAGCATTGCTGGTAGAAATTGGGTAAGAACTAAATAAGTACACGGATATGTTGTATTCATGGATCAGAAGACCAAATATTGTGAAGATGTTTAAAGATTCAATATAATGCTAACCAAAATCCAGGTAAGCGTTTTTGGGTAGAAATTGACAAAATGATTCTAAAATTTATATGGAAATGCAAAGATCTAGAATAGCCAAAGCTGGGAGAGCTAATACTGCCTGACTTAAGAATTATTATAAGGCTACAGTAATCAAGACAGTGTTAGCCGGGCGCAGTGGCTCATGCCTGTAACCCCAGCACTTTGGGAGGCCGAGGCGGGCAGATCACCCAAGGCCAGAAGTTCGAGAACGGCCTGGCCAGCATGGTGAAACCCCGTCTCTGCTAAAAAACTACAAAAATTAGCCAGATGTGGTGGCACATGCCTGTAGTCCCAGCTACTCAGGAGGCTGGGATGGGAGAATCGCTTGAACCCAGGAGGTGGAGGTTGCAGTGAGCTGAGATCATGCCACTGCATTCTAGCCTGGGCAACAGAATGATTCCCTGTCTCAAAAAAAAAAAAAAAAAGTGTAGTATTAGCATCAAGAGAGAGAAATATATATCAGTGCAACAGAATAGAGTCCAGAAATAGACACATACATGGACAAGTGATGAACTGATTTTCAACTAAGCTTCAAAGGTAGTTCAGATATCTATATGCAAAAACAAAACAAAGTTGTATGCATGACACAGGGCAGGCAAGCCCTTAGCCCAGGAGTGTTCTTGGCTTCACCCAGGAAATAAATCAAGAGTGAGCTGAAAACAGTTTTATTCAGGCAGCAGTGTTACAACTCCAAGACTGCTCCTGCAGAGCAAGGCTGCCCCATAGGCAGTGTGCTCAGAGTAGCAGCTCAGACGCAGTTCTGCAGTCATATTTATACCCACTTCTAATTATATGCAAATCAAGGGGCTGAGTGTGCAGAAATTTCTAGAAAAAGGGAGGTAACTTTTGGGTCAGTGGGTCATTACCATGGAAAGGAGTGGTAGCATCTGGGTGTTGCCATGGCAAAGCTAAACTGACAGGGCACATTAGTTGGTGTGTTTTATGGAGAAGAGCTTCCACCTCTTCCCTGTTTTAGCTGGTCCTCAATCTGGTCCTGTGTCCAAGCTCCACCTTGGGAGTCAAGTCGCACCTCCTGCCTCACACCATATAAAAAAACAAAATGGATCATGGACTTAAATGTAAAACCCAAAGCTGTAAAATTTCTAGAAGAAAATATAGAAGACAATATTTATGACCCTGGGTTATATTTTTTAAATATAATACAAAAGGAAAAATTGATAAATTATACTTTATTAAAATTAAAAACTTCTCTTAAAAAATTAATGAAAAGCAATAAACTGGGAGAAAATATTTGCAGATCATATCTGATAAAGGACTTGTGTCCAGAACATATAAAAGAACACTCAAAACCCATAAGAAAACAACTCAGTTTTATAAATGAGCAAAAGATTTGAACAGATACATCACCAAAGAAAATAGAAGCACAAGAAAATATGGTCATTTGTCATATTCTGAGAAATGTCACTAGGTGATTTTTTCATTGTGACAATGTTACAGAGTGTACTTCCACAAATCTAGATGGTACAGCCTACTGTATACCTAGGCTATATTGTATGGCCTGTGGTTCCTAGGCTACAAACCTGTTCAGCATGTTACTATAGTGAATACTGTAGGCAATTGTAACACAATGGTAAGTATGTATCTAAACATAGGAAAGGTACAGTAAAAATACAGTATTAGGCCCAGCACGGTGGCTCACGCCTGTAATCCCAGCACTTTGGGAGGCCGAGGCATGTGGATCACCTGAGCTCAGGAGTTCAAGAACACCCTGGGCAACATGGTGAAACCCTATCTTTACTAAAATACAAAGAAAACTTAGCTGGGCGTAGTGGCGGGCACCTGTAGTCCCAGCTACTCGGGAGGCTGAGGCAGGAAAATCGCTTGAACCTGGCAAGCAGAGGTTGCAATGAGCCGAGATTGAGCCACTGCACTCTAGCCTGGGCAACAGAGCGAGACTCTGTCTCAAAACAACAACAACAACAACAACAACAACAACAACAAAACCAAACAGTATTAAAGATAAAAAATGTAGCAGGCACTTACCATGAATGGAGTTTGCAGAACTCCTTGTTGCTCTGGGTGAGTCAGTGAGTGCGAAGGTCTAGGACATTGCTGTACGCTACTGTAGACTTTATAAACACTGTACACCTAGGCTACACTAAGTTTATTAAAAAGTAATTTTCTTTGTTCAATAATATATTAACCTTAGCTTTCTGTAACTTTATAGACTTTTTAATTTTTTAAACTTTTGACCTTTTTGTAATAACACTTAGCTTAAAACACACATTGTACAGCTATAAACAATTTCTTATATCCTTATTCTATAAGCCTTTTTTCTGTTTTTAATTTTTTTTTTTTACTTTTAAAAATTTTGTGAAAAACTTAAGACACAAACACACACATTAGCCTAGGCCTACACAGGGTCAAGATCGTCAGTATCACTGTCTTCCACCTCCACATCCTGGAAGGTCTTCAAGGGCAATAACCCACAGGGAGTCGTCATCTCCTATGATAACAATGCTTTCTGGAGTACCTTGTGAAGGATCCGGCCGAGGCTGTTTTACAGTTAACTTTCCTTTTTTTTTTAAAAAAGAATAAAAGGAGTATACTGTAAGAACCATAAAAGTATAGTAAATAGATATATTAGTAACATTTTATTATCAAGTATTATGTAGTGTACATAATTGTATGTGGTATACTTTTAGATGACTGGCAGCATGGTGTGTTTACACCAGCATCACCACGGACACATGGTGTTTGACAGTTATGATGTCATTAGGCTATAGGATTTTTTCAGGTTCGTTGTAATCTTATGGGGCCACCTGTCGTGTATGTGGTCCATTGACTGAAATGTTGTTATGCAGCATATGACTGTATCAGCACATGAATGTCTGTGACCCATTTAAAATTTTTAATATGGTGTGGGGTATGTGTCCAAGGATTTTTATGTTTTTGTGTTTTTTTCCACATATAAAAATATCTGAATCATTAGTCATGAGGGAGATGTATATTAAAACCAAAATGAGGAACCATTACCCACATATTAGAATAGCTAAAATAAAAAAGCCTGACCAGAGCAAATGTTGGAGAGGATTTGAAGGAACTGGTTGGGGATGTCTCATATGTCTCATACACTGCTGATGGGAATGTAAAATGGTACAGATTGGCCGGGTGCGGTGGCTCATGCCTGTAATCTCAGCACTTTGGGAAGCTTAGGTGGATGGATCACATGAGGTCAGGAGTTCTGAGACCACCCTGGCCAACGTGGTGAAACCCCGTCTCTACTAAAAAAATATACAAATTAGCCAGGCGTGGTGGCGCCTGCCTGTAATTCAAGCTACTCGGGAGGCTGAGGCAGAAGAATTGCTTGAACTCAGGAGTCAAGGTCACGCCACTACACTCCATCCTGGGCGACAGAGCGAGACTGTTTCAGAATGAATGAATGAAAGAATAAATAAATAAATAGCCAGGCATGGTGACTCATGCCTATAATCCCAGCACTTTGGGAGGCCGAGGCAGGCGGATCACCTGTGGTCAGGAATTTGTGACCAGCCTGGACAACATGGTGAAACCCCATCTCTACTAAAAATACAAAAAAAATTAGCTGGGCATGGTGGCGTGTGCCTGTAATCTCAGCTACTTGGGAGGCGGAGGGTGCAGTGAGCCAAGATTGTGCCTCTGCACTCCAGCCTGGTGACAGAGCAAGACTCCATCTCAAAAAAAAAAAAAAAAAAAAAGTAAAAATAAATAATAAATTTGTATAGCTGCTTTGGAAATTCGTTTGGCAATTTCTTTTTTAAAAAAGTTAATTATTATTATTATTTTTTGAGACGGACTCTTGCTTTGTCACCCAGGCTGGAGTACAGTGGCACGATCTCAGCTCACTGCAACCTCCACCTCCTGGATTCAAGCAATTCTCCTGCCTCAGCCTCCCGAGTAGCTGGGACTACAGGCGCACACCACCACACCTGGCCAATTTTTGTATTTTAGTAGAGATGGGGTTTTACTGTGTTGCCCAGGCTGGTCTCAAACTCCTGAGCTCAGACAATCCGCCTGCCTCGGCCTCCCAAAATGCTAGGATTTTAGGCATGAGCCACTGCACCCGGCCTGGCAATTTCTTAAAAAGTTAAATATACACCTTCCATATGCTCTAGTAATTCCTCTAGAGATGTACCTAATAAAAATGGAAGCCCATGTTCTCAGAAAGACTTCTATACCAGTCTTTCTCATATATTTTACTGGTCATAGTAGCTTTATATCTATCAACCGATGTCAACCTAAAATAACCAAAAGGGTCAGAATCTAACTTAAAGAGGGTTTATTCAAGCACAAAGAGTAAGAATGGACCACCTGGAAACACCAGCTCCAAAGGAATGGAGTCAGCGTTCTGAAGTAAGAAAGTTAAGATTTCATTTGTATGGCAGAGACAGGAGTTTTTAGCAGGATTGCAACACTTTTCATACAAGATTGGCACAAAGTTACAGCAATTTGGTTGGTTATACGCAGTGTTTCTTTTTGGGAAGGTGCATTTAACACTTTTTACAGAGGGTGTAATACTCATGGGTTTTCTGTTATCTGGTCTCAGCAAAGCAGGACAATAAAGGGCAAATTAATCAAGGGTCATTAAGAAAGGAGGTTTTTGTCACTGGCATTTAATTTTCTCTAGTGATTGTATAGAACAAGAAAAAGTGAGTTAATATATAATCTGAGAACAGAAGTTGTAACCGTATGTGACTCAGATTAGTCACATCTCTCTCAAGGCTTACAGTGTTTTTTTTAGGTTCCAACATTTTTAAAATTTTATTTATTTACACACCAACAACTAGAAACAACCAAAATGTTCATCAATAAGTGAATAGATAAACCAATTGTAGTCTAAACCCACCTAGCAATAAGGAGTGAACTACTAAGACATGCAACAATGTGGATGAATCTCAAAATAACTGAGCTGCATGAAATAAGCAACACAAAAAATAGTACATACGGTATAATTCTATTTATGTAACATTCCAGAAAATGCAAACTAACTTATAGTGACAGAAAGCAGATCTGTGATTACCTAGGGAAATGAGGCCATGGAGGAGGGAGGGAGTAGAAAGAAGCACTAAGAAACTTTTGAGGGTCTTGGGTATGTTCATTATCTTGATTGTGGTAATGGTCTCACATATGTCAAACATCATATTGTATACTTTAAATATGTGCAGTTTATTGTATGTCAAATATACCTCCATAAGACTCTTTACAAATATGAGTATTATGATTTGTCATACATACAACTTTAATCCTTCAGAATTTAGCCTTGCACTAACTTTTTTTTTTTTTTGAGACGGAGTCTTGCTCTGTTGCCCAGGCTGGAGTGCAATGGCGCGATCTCAGCTCACTGCAACCTCCATCTCCTGGGTTCAAGCGATTCCCCTGCCTCAGCCTCCCGAGTAGCTGGGATTATAGTCATCTGCCACCACGCCCGGCTAAATTTTGTGTGTATATATATACATATATATTTAAAAATATATAAATATATATTAAAAATAAATATATATTATAAATATATAAATATATATTAAAAATATATAATATATATTAAAAATATATAATATAAAATATGTATAAAATATATATTTAAAAATATATATTATATATATATATTTTTAGTAGAGATGGAGTCTTGCCATCTTGCCATGTTGGCCAGGCTGGTCTCAAATTTCAGGCCTCAAGTGATCCGCCCGCCTTGGCCTCCCAAAGTGCTGGCTGGGATTACAGGCGTAAGCCACCGCCCCCGGCCCTTGCACTAACCTTTTACTTAAAAAACAACCAATAATCAAAACAATGGAAAAATTCCTGGATTAAGTTATGTCGATTTCAAATTTCCCCTTTCCCAGTAGCACCAGGTCATAAGGCCACAGCTGTCTGGATGTGGCTCTATTTCGGGTATCAAAAGACGCCAGACACAGGGACAGTGAGTGCCTTTAACTTCACTCTTAAGAGGTCACAGGAGGGTGACCTCCCATAAAAGCACGCAAATGCTCAATGTGTGACTCCACCCCTCCTAAAAAAGTGGTAAAGGCGTGGTTTCCTTTGTGTGCACGAAAGAACAAACGATGTAATAATAGTCCACGGCCTGGCCTTAGATTCCACATCTGCCAGGAAAATTTAACTATAGGGAGAGTGATGGAGGTGCTGGGAGCCTGGGGCTGAGAAAGTGTCGGAATTGGTTTAAAAAAAAAAAAAGTCACTGGCTTTCTCCCAGCGCCCCACCTCCTCTGCGTCACGTGCCTGCGCCGGCAGCGCTCCCACTTTCCTGTCCGGTGCGGCCCCGGGTCCCTGTATTTTGGGTCCGGCCTGCTCGCCGTCCGCTCCGTCCGCCCTTAGACCTGTTGCCCAGCATCCCTGCAGTTCGCGGTACAGTCTCTAGTAGAGCGCGTGTATAGAGGCAGAGAGGAGTGAAGTCCACAGTTCCTCTCCTCCAAGAGGTAGAAGGGGCGCGGGGAAACGACCTGGTATCGGTTTTCCGCTTGCTGATCAAGAGCTCCCTTTAATGCCGCACGCAGGCCGGCGCCCCTCACTGATAAACGATTGGGGCTGGGCCTCGGCCTGGAGGGCGTTCGTCCTCTCAGTGCCCTCAGCTCGTAAAGGAGGAAACCGAGGCGTGGGGTTGGGCGAGAACCCAGGGGTCCTCCTGCACCCCCGCCGCCGTGTGTCTCGTGTCCAGCGCTGGCTGGAGCGCCTCAGCCCTGGCGCGGTGTAGTCGTGAGCTGGAACTTCTGACACTGCCCCTTCCTTCCCCGTCCAGCCTGCCGACCATGCCCGCGGGCGTGCCCATGTCCACCTACCTGAAAATGTTCGCAGCCAGTCTCCTGGCCATGTGCGCAGGGGCAGAAGTGGTGCACAGGTACTACCGACCGGACCTGGTGAGTGCGGGAGGGCTACTATTTTATTTTTGAGCTAAATATACCTCATTTCTTTGTAAATTACCCAGCCTTAGGCATTCCTTTATAGCAATGCAGATGCTCCTGGACCACTCCATTCTCCTCGTGGCAGCAAAAGTGATCTTGAACGAAATTAGGATCACATTTGCCCTGGGCCCAAAACCTTTGGATGGCATCCCATTGCATCTAGGGCAATGCATGGCCTGTGAGGTCTTACACAGTCTGGCCGCTGCCTACCTGTGGCCTATCTGCCACCATTTTACCAGTTCTTTCCCCTGTTAACATTCACGCCTGCTTCCTTGCTGTTTCTCCAACTCATCAAACCTGTCCCCATTTCGAGGCCATTCTTTTCATTATCCTTGGCATGTCCTCCTCCCCCCACCACCCCCCCAACAACTTGGCTTGGTTTCCTTCTTCAAAACTTCAAGTCTTAGCACAAGTCTCTCCTCCAGCAATGAGGGTCCTTGGGTTAGCTCCCAAAGAATTCCTCCTCTGCGATTCCGTCTCATCTTTTGTTTCCATAGAGCACTTGTCTGCAGTTCTTTGTCTATTTATTTGTTCTTTGTCAGTTTGCTTCAGTAGAATGTAAGCTCCAGACTATGTCTGTCTGGTTCAGTCTTGTATCTCAACTGCTTGGAATGTAGCAGACACTCAATAAGTATTTGTTGAATGAAGGATGAGTGACTATAGGCATTCAAAGGAAGGAGAAATTTAAATTAATTTTAATAAGCATTCATTAGGAACTAGAATTAAAGGTTCTTTTCAGGAATTAGAGTCTTGGGGAGGTGGAGATGAGAAAGTATGGCACAAATAATTACAAGAATGTGCTGTTATGCTATAGGTGTGAATAGTGGTTTGGAGCACAATGTTGGGAGCAGTCATTTCTGTTTGGACTCTGCCTGGACAGGTAACACTTTCAGAGAGTCAACCATTAGTGTTTCTTTTTTTAGAAATTTTTATTGAAAAATAATTTTAAAAAAATTAGACAGGTCTCATTCTGTTGCCCAGGTTGGAGTGCAGTGGTGCAATCAGCTCACCGCAGCCTCACATTTCTGGGTTCAATCAGTCCTCCTGCCTCAGCCTCCTAAGTAGCTGAGATGACTGTGTACCATCACACCCAGCTAATTTTTAAATTTTTTGTAGAGACAAGGTCTCAAAATGTTGCTCAGGCTGGTCTCCAACTCCTGGCTTCAAGTAGTCCTCCCACCTTGGCCTCTGAAAGTGTTGGGATTACAGGTGTGAGCCACTGTGCCTGGCTCCATTTGTATTTGCACTTATGTTTTATTTTTATTTTTTGAGACACAGTCTCACTCTGTCACCCAGGCTGGAGTGCAGTGGCACAATCTGAGCTCACTGCAACCTCTGCCTTCCGGGTTCAAGCAAATCTCATGCTTCAGCCTCCTGAGTAGCTGGGATTACAGGCATACACCACCATGCGTGGCTAAGTTTTTCTATTTTTTAGTAGATATGGTGTTTCACTGTGTTGGCCAGGCTGGTCTTGAACTCCTGGCCTCAAGTGATCCGCCCGCCTCTGCCTCCCAAAGTGCTGGGGTTACAGGCATGAGCCACTGTGCCTGGCCCATTTGTATTTTTAACATCAGTTAATTGTCACTACAATTTTGAAGGTGTTATTTCTGTTTTCAGATGAGAAACAGGTTGAGAAGAGTGAAGTTGATTTCTCAAAGTCACATAGCTTAGTGAGACGATTTGAGGATCTGAAGCCCAAGCTTTCTGTTTGGTATGTCTCTTTTTTGCTCCTGTTCATAAAATAATCCAATACTCTTGTAAAACATTCAAATTGAGTTCAAGTATGTAGAGTAAAAAGTGAAAATCCCCCCTCTTATAACCTCCTTTCTCCTGTCTGCTCACGACACGTTAACTACTGTTTCTTGTTTGGTGAATATCCTTTACTACTTCTCACTGTTGTTGAATGTCCACTGATACGGGTTGGATATTTGTCTCCTCCAAATTTCACGCCGAAATGTGATCCCCAATGTTGGAAGTAGGACCTGGCGGGAGGTGTTTGGGTCATGGGGACGAATCCCTCATGAATGGCTTGGTGCCCTCCCTGTGGTGAAGAGTGAGTTCTCACTTTATTAGTTCATGAGAGCTGGTTGTTTAAAAGAACCTGGCTCTCTCTCTCACTCCCTCTCTTGCCTTGTGTTACACATGCTCCCACTTTGCCTTCTGCCATGAGTTAAAAGCTTTCTGAGGCCTCACCGGAAGCTGGACTGATGTTGGTGCCATGCTTGTACAGCCTGCAGAACCAAGAGCCAAATAAACTTCTTTATAAATTACCCAGCCTCAGGCAATGCAAAATGGACAAATACACCTGTGCATGCATGTGTACACACACAGTTTGTGGAGTGTTTTTCCTTCATGTGAATAGGAGTTCACGTACACATTTCTCTGCAACTTCCTTGTTTTGGTTAACATCTACATAAATAGACATTTGTGTATATTAAATCTTTTTAACTATTGCATAGTATTTCATAATATAGCTGTGACATATTATTTGATCAATCCCTTATTGACATTTAGGTAGTATGTAGTTTTTGTACAAACAATGCTGCAAGAGCTCTTTCTTACAACTTCAGAGTGCTTCTCTTTTAAAAAGGGTTCTATTGAGCAGCAAGAATACCTAGTGGAGACAAAGTGACAAGAACCTTCCACAGTAATGCAGTTTAGTCTATAGCTTGTGCAGGAATAGACATCAGGCAGGCCTTGCAAAAGAAGGAATGCCTGGGATTTGACCCTGGGAAGTTGACCTTTGATTCACCCATTTCATTATAATTGGGAATGTGCAAGGGTTGTTACAGCAGCTACCTGTACCTTGGGAGGAGATAGAATGAAGCCACAGCCTTTAGAAGGGCCATATTGAAGGGTCTAAACTCACCTCAGTTTGATTGGGTGGTGACATTGGCAATGGGGTATCTCTGTAGGAACTTGAAGGCCCAGGTGGCTGGCTGTGTGTTGAAAGCAGTGTGCTTTATTAACATTTATATGTTCTTTACCTATGTCTTTTGGTTTTGCTCCAGCAATTACTGTCACTGTTGTCAACCACTTTGTTCTTTGTAGCAAAACTGGATCACAAGTCTTTCGGTCGGAGAACTGGAAGGTCTGGGCAGAGTCGAGCAGAGGAGACCATGATGACTGCCTAGACTTGTGCTCAGTGCTGTGTTGGGGAGAACTGCTACAGGTGCTTTTAGTTGTCCAGCTCAGCTCATCTGAATAGCAAAGGAGATGACTCTGTTGTAGTTCAGGTTGAAAGCTAGGAGTCATCCTTAATTCCTCTCTCATACTGTACATATGAGCAGATCCCATTGGATTAACTTGAAAGGTACATCCAGATGCTGCCTGCTTCTCACCACCTCTTTTGCTACTACCCAGTTCAATCCACTGTCAGTCACTTTCACCTGTTATTGTAATAGCTTCCTGACCTGTCTTCTGCCTTCGACTCTTGCTCTCCTGTGGTCTATTCTCAGCAAAGCTACCATTATCATCTCTGTACACTTGAGTGAGGACATGCCACTCTTCTCAGAACTCTCCAGTGTCTTCCCATTTCAGAGTGAAAAACACTGGAGACTTTATCTCCCCACTCCCTTTTTCCTCTGCCCTTGTCTCCTCTTAACCTCTCTGTGAATACTTTGTACCAGCTATACTGACAACCTTGCTTCTTCTTGAACCTGAAGCCACACTCCTGCCTTAGGTCCTCTGCACTTGTGGTTCCATCTGCCTGAAATGCTCCTAGGTAACTGCATGGCTGCCTCCCTCATCCTCCTCCATGTCTTTGTTCAGCAGTCATCTTCTGAACACCAGTAAGCACACAGAAAGATGCTCAGCATCATTAGCCACCAGAGAAAGGCAAATCAAAACCACAGTGAAATACCACTTCATACCCACTACAATGGCTGTAGTAAAACAGAGAGTAACAAGTATTGTCAAGGATGTGGAGAAATTGAAAGCCTCACGCATTGTTGATGGGAATATAAAATAGTGCAGTGGCTTCAGAAAAGCCTGGTAGTTCCTCAAGCAGTTAAACAGTTTCCATATGACCCAGCAATGCCACTTTTAGGTTTATGCCCAATAGACATGAAAACACATATTCACACAAAAACTTGTATATGAATGTTCAGAGCAGTATTATTCATAATATCCAAAAGGTGGAAAATCCAAATGCCTATTAGCTGATGAATGGATAAATTGTATATCCATACAATGGAGCATTATTCAGTAATAAAAAATGAAATACTGATACAAGCTACAACATGGATGAACCTTGAAAACATTATTCTACCTGAAAGAACACAGAGGACCACATATTATATGATTCCATTTATAGAAAATATCCAGAATAGGCAAATCTATATAGACAAAAAGAAGACTAATAGTTATCTATGGCTATGTGGGGGAGGGTTGTATGGAAATGAAAGTGACTGCTAATAAGTATGGGGTTTCTTTTTGGGGTGATGAAAATTTTCTAAAATTTATTGTGGTGATAGATGCAGAACTCTGTGAATACCTTCCTGGAATGCAGGGATTTTGTATTTTTTTGCATACTGCTTTCTGCTTTGCATATAATAGGCACTTAATATTTTTGAATTAATAAATTAATTCCTAACGCCTATTTTCTATGCCAGGCACATGGTAGAGAGTCAGTAGATGGTGCAGGAATGAATTTCCAGATGTGGAAAGTTTTATTCAAAGCTGTGAACCTGTCAATTGATTCTGATGCCAGCTATCCTTTGTGAGTCCTGCAGTACGTAATGCTGAAGACCTTGCCAGGATGATAGACTCATATAAACACAGGGTTAGAAAGGGACTTAGATCAACCAGAGCTTCTCATAATAAAGAGTTATCATTGAGTAGCAAGCAAGGGAACTTTTTGTTATTTTTTACTCTTTAAAGTCTTCTAGGTTACATTGAATTACAGCCTTATTAAGGGTTAGACATTTATGTTTTTTGTTTTGTTTTTTTTGCAGACAATACCTGAAATTCCACCAAAGCGTGGAGAACTCAAAACGGAGCTTTTGGGACTGAAAGAAAGAAAACACAAACCTCAAGTTTCTCAACAGGAGGAACTTAAATAACTATGCCAAGAATTCTGTGAATAATATAAGTCTTAAATATGTATTTCTTAATTTATTGCATCAAACTACTTGTCCTTAAGCACTTAGTCTAATGCTAACTGCAAGAGGAGGTGCTCAGTGGATGTTTAGCCGATACGTTGAAATTTAATTACGGTTTGATTGATATTTCTTGAAAACTGCCAAAGCACATATCATCAAACCATTTCATGAATATGGTTTGGAAGATGTTTAGTCTTGAATATAACGCGAAATAGAATATTTGTAAGTCTACTATATGGGTTGTCTTTATTTCATATAAATTAAGAAATTATTTAAAACTATGAACTAGTTTCATTAATTGAATTTGCTAAGTGGAGTTATTTCTCATTGCTAAACTGTTTTTTTTCAAATTCTAGATCTCTGCTAACTTTAGTAAATGAACACTAAAGTGGTGAGCTTTGATAATGCATTTTGTGGATACAAAATCATCGCCTCATCACTTTCTAGAATGAAAGGCTGGGGGCATTGCTCACCTTTTGCGTGAAGAAAAGACCTGTCCCTTAGAGCCAGTTTTTGCTTAAGGGGAGGACAGACCGTCGTCACCCAGTGGACCACGTGAATGAATGGATGCAGTGCATGCTTTAGAAGCACCGCATACCTCCTTTTACAGGTACAGAGTAAGTGGTCTGGCTACTGAGGGAAAGAGTCATGATTTGAATCCGAGTCTTCTGTAAGACAATGACTTCATGAAGGTGAAAAATCAGTTTTATGGTTATTAAAGTAAAAATTTACCTTGGGTAAAAATGCCATCTTTATTTCATTAAGTACTGGTTCTAAGTGACTTCCAATAAGATACATTTTCTTCCTGTTTTGAAGTTGATCCCCATTGTGAAAAATATACATTGTAGTGGTCATGGAAATGCGCCATCCATACTCCCTAAGGCAGGCTTGTTGCCCTAGTATCAAGCATGCCAGCAGCTTTCAATGGTCAGCTTCTAGAAGGATTGCCTCGGCTATGGTGGCCTTGCTCAAAGCCATGCCTCCTGAAGGGGCCCAAATCCAGTGACTGTTGGAGGTGAGAATAGAAAGGCCTGGCCACTTCAGCACGTGAGTGGTGGGCAACTCTGCTGGGCCCACCACAACTCCCTATGGGGTTTAGGGACACTGTCTTTGGATCTGCATTGCAACTCAACTTATACCTCTGCTCAGTCCTGTTTCCTTTCTCAGGTGTTGATCGAAGGGTGTGCCTTCATAGACCCCCTGCTAAACTGCACCTCAGTGTTTCTTGGAGAACCAAATCTGTAACATATATGCATTAAAAATTAAAGGCAGTACTATATTATCCCCTAATAATGTTTTTTAACTTAAAAGGCCAAGATAGACCAGTTGCAACCTGTTTGGTAATTAAATTAGGCCAGTTAAACAGTTTTTATGCAAGACAGGTATGATTGAGCTGTTTATCAAAAACTGAAGGAGTATGATGCTTTCCTGCTAGGAACAGCAGAAATTTAGAAATTGTAGGATTCTGAGGAGCTAAAGTGTCAGATATCACTAATTCAATGTGATCTGATGGCTTTGATTTCTATGAGTATATCATAGCAGTATTAACAATGGTAATGCATAGTGGCCCCAAAATGGGAAACATTTCAAGTAGCAATTAATATAAGCCTGTATCATAAAAGGAAGCTATATATACCTTAATTATAGCATGTTTCTGTAACTGAGCTGCCATTCTACCACAAAGGGAAAAGCAGGGTGGTTTTCAGAAGACGTACGCTCAAGTAGGGAAGCTGGTAATGATTATTGCAAACTAATTCTAGAAAAATACCTTAAGGTAGGGAGGGGGTAGGGAAGCATCAACAGAAAAAGAAGTCCATAGAGAAGTACTAGATCATCAGAAAAACTGTAAAGTCTCTAATGAAACTTTGTAGCACATAAATTGTGTAAAATTTTCTAATACACACATGATCCTTAAATGTACAGTTAAGACATCTCTCTCTAGCCCACAGTAAAAACAACAAAAACTTAAGACTACCATTTCAGTTGGCTGTAACAGACTAGTGAAATTAAAAATTGTTTCATAAACAAGAGTACATTTCAAAATATAGGTCAATGTGGATTTTCACTCAGTGCCAATAGTTATCTCTGGTAGGATTATGGGTGATTTTTTTCAAAGATAGCTTTTTTTTTTTTTTAAGTTTAGATTTACAGAAAAACCACATCTAGTAGAGTTCCCATATACGCCACGCTGTTTCTATGAATGTTGTCATCTTAAGCTACCATGGTACGTCAGTTAAGAAACCAGTATTGGGGTCAGGCGTGGTGTTTCATGCCTGTAATCCCAACATTTTGGGAGGCCGAGGTGGGCAGATCATTTGAGGTCAAGTTCAAGACCAGCCTGGCCAACATGGTGAAACCCCATCTCTACTAAAAATAAATTAGCCAGGCGTGGTGGCGGGTGCCTATAATCCCAGCTACTCAGGAGGCTGAGGCAGGAGAATCGCTTGAATCCAGGTGGAGGTTGCAGTGAGCCAAGATCGTACCACTGCACTCCAGCCTAGGAGACAGTGACACCGTCTCAAAACAAAACCCAATATTGGTACAATACTCTCAACTGTACTCTAGACTCCGGACTTTAGATTTCACGTTTTTCCATTTAACATCCTTTTGTTTCCAGGGTACCACATTGCATTTATTAATAGTTGTCATGTATCTTTAGTCTTCTGCCGTCCATGGTTACTTCTCAGCCTGTTTTTCTGAGAAAAATTTTCTGGAAATTTTGAAGAATACTGTTCACATATTCTAAATATGTCTGTTTTTCTCATTAGATTGAGATTACAGGTTTTTGGAAACCACAGCAGTACAATTCACTTCACATCCTATCGGGGGTACACATCACTGGTGATATTAACATTGATCACTTGGTTAAGTCTGCCAGGTTTCTCCACTGCAAAGTTACTTTTTCCCTTTCCATACTCTGTTCTTTAGGAGTCACTTAATCTAGCCCACATTCAAAAAGGAGAAGATTAAGCTCCACCCTATGAAAGGGGGAATATCTACATATATTTGGAAATCTTTAAGGAAATTCTCTCTTCTCCCTGTGGAAGACTTTTTAAACTCTTTGGTTTTTCAACAGTCCCAAGCTCCTGAGTTCAAATAATCCTCCTGCCTCAGCTTCCTCAGGAGTTGGGACCACAGGTGTGTGTCACCATGACTGGCTCAACCTTTGATTTTTTAAAAAAATCTTTTCTTGGGAGGCGGAGGTGGGTGGATCACGAGGTCAGGAGTTCAAAGACCAGCCTGGCCAAGATGGTGAAACCCTGTCTCTACTAAAAATACAAAAAATTAGCCGGGTGTGGTGACGGGCACCTGTAATCCCAGCTACTCAGGAGGCTGAGGCAGAGAATTGCTTGAACCCGGAAGGCGGAGGTTGCAGTGAGCAGAGATTGCGCCACCACACTCCAGCCTGGGCAAAAGTGAGACTTGGTCTCAAAAAAAAAAAAGGTCATAAGCCTGAGTCACTTTTCTAAGAAAAAGAACCCAAGACACATGATTAAAAAAAAAAAAAATTCAGCCAAGTATTAGGTAGTTCTCTGCAAGACAGTCAAGACACTGAGTATTTGGGATCTTTTTTATTTTTATACACATGACAAGATTTTACATCAAGAATAGTCAGTTAAATAGTACAAATTTACATTCATGAGGAATGTTAAAAAAAATTCAACTAAAAAACCCACTTTTTCCTGTGACCCATAATCCCACATTTTACAGTGCAGGGGAGAAGGGGATTAGGGGGCATCCAAAACAAGTCTCTCCCAAAAAGAAATGATGTAAATTTCACATTCCCTCTCCACACAGGATCCAAATGGTGAGAGTATAATTTACAATTCATCTTTTTCAGCTGTAGATTCCTGTAAATAAATAAAAAAAACCCAGAAGGTATTAAAAGTTAGCAGAAAAAAAACCTAGCTCACAGGTTTGTGCATGAAATAAACAATTTAAATGCTCAGTCTGACTTCTGTAAGTTACACAGTCTTAACTTTGCCAGAACTAAAACTCTGTCCTAACTTTGCCAGAACTGAAAATGCAAGTCACATTCTTGATTTGCCATACCTTTGCTGTTTCTTCTTCTTCATCTGTTCCCACATCCATTTCTTCATCTTCGTCTTGCTCTGTGTCTTCTGTTGTGTCTTCTGCTGTCTCTTCAGGTTCTTCTTCGGGCTCTTCTTCCACCTAAACACAACATTTATGGGCCCATTAATGCCTTGGATTTATTTCCACTTTGCTCATTTATATGTATAAAATCATAATTAATGTCACTTCTGTTTATTCAGAACCACAGACTAAATCCTCTTAACTAGAATGAACAGCCAAGCTAACAAAAGGAGGCAGGCAAAAAGGAAAGAGGACGTAAAAGGAGGACTTAGTTTCTAGTGCAGTGCCTGACACTACAGGGATTCAAACATTCAATAAAATTCTTTCAAAAGGTAGAAATTAGGCAAATGTCGCAAAGCTACATCCCTCAATCATGAGAGGCCTATTCTGAAAGAACAGAAACAAAGAAAGCCAGCCAGCCTTTGCGGGAAGGTTGGGGATACAAACCTTTGCATCAGGGTCAATGTTCAAACTGAGGCGAAGCATTCTTTCTATTCTATCTCCATATGCTTTAGTGTCTGGTAAAAGATACCCTGACCGAAGCGTTGCTGTTTCAAACAAAACCACAGCAAGATCCAAAACTGTTTTATCATCTTCATCTTCCTGAAATGCAAGAAGATGCACTAGATTAATATTAAAAGATACAAAGTACTCAAATTAAAAGACAAGCAAGAGGACTGCTTTAATACTACCTTAATTCGTCGAAGCATGTCTCTGATCAGCGGGTGTCTGGGATTAATTTCAAATGTTTTCTTCTGACTCGCATAGTAACTGTTAAGAGATAAAAATGAACATTAACAAAACATATCCAATTTTAGGGTTCATACGTTTCCCTTATTCTTTCATAATTACACAGAACAACTCTTGGTAAAAAAAAAAAATCAAAATGTACTATTGACACTTGAACACCACAGGTTTGAACTTATATGCTATTTTTTTTCCAATAAATACAGTCCGCCCTCCGTATGTGCAGGTTCAGCAACCAAACTCAGATAGAAAATACCGTATTCTTGGGATGTGGAATCCACACACACAGAGCTCCCACTCTTCATATACACGGGTTCCACAGGGCAGACTGGGGGACTAGAATATTTGTGGATTTTGGCAGGGGTCCTAGAACCAATCTCCCTCATACACCTAAGGACGACTGTACTTTTCCAGTCTACTTTATCTGCAGAGTCAATCAACCTCGGATTGAAAATATTAGAAAGGGCAAAACAAGAAAAAAATAAAAAACCCAATACAGTATAATAGCTATTTACATAGCACTTAAATTGCATTAGGTATTAAAAGTAATCTATAGATTATTTAAAGTACATGGGAAGATGTGCATAGGTTATATGCAAATACGGCACGACTTTACCTAAGGGACTTGACTATGTGTGGATTTTGGTATCCATGGGATGTTCTGGAACCAACACCCCATGGACAAAAAGGGATGACTGCACTGTTTCCTTATTTAGTTTTTATAGAGACAGGGTATCACTATATTGCACAGGCTAGTCTTGAACTCTTGGCCTCAAGTGATCCTCTCACCTCAGCCTCCCAAAGTGTTGAGATTACACACGTGAGCCATGTGCCCAGCCTGTATTGCTCCCTTTTAACGGGGAGGTGGGGTGGGGAGCAAGTGGACACGGTTAGATGAAAAATGAAATGAAGGGAACTATTTTATTTACTGATGAGTCCCAAGTACCTGGAGCACTGCTGAACAGACGAACTGATTTAATGTCCTGTTTGTTCCCTCTTAGTTTATTCTTACTACCGTAATTGTAGCTCTGCCTCCCCAAGTTCAGAAAAATCTATGTAGCCTCTGGATTGTGCTCCAATAATAATACCTTCTCCACGATGCCTTCGCCAATGATTCCAAGAAAAATTAACTTTATCTGAGCTCAGTTCCAAATGCATTTTGAATATACCTTCAAAATCCTTAGCTTTTTACTGTTGGTTGTGATTATTCTCTCTTCTCTAGTTTAAAGCTCTGAGGACAGGGAGGAACCACATCCTTCCCTATCCTGGTGTACCCATTATCTATGTAGGGCTCGGATTATGACTTGCTTTTTTTCCTCTTTTTTAAATAAAAAAGAGACGGAGTCTGGCTATGTTACCCAGGCTAGAGCTAGAGTGCAATGCCATTACAGCACACTACAGCCTCGAACTCTTGGAATCAACTGATACTCCTGCATCAGCCTCCTGAGTGACAACAGGAGTGAGTCACCATGCCTGGCTTTGATTTGTCATTTTCACTAGTCTAAATGTTAGAAAAGACAGGAGTTATGTCTACCTGTGACCATCAGTGCATGGACATAGTAAGTCTTCATGTTTGTTGGATGCAAGGTAACTTCCTATTAATCATTTCCTGAAATTAATAGGTGGACATGTTTTAAATGGCCCTTGTACTATTGCAATGGGATATCAGATAAACAGAACACTATTCTCTGCATGAAATTTATAGTTAAAAGACATATATGGAATTTTAGAATTGTGACAACAATGGAGACTACATTTGTGAGAAAAGGCTTTAAGAATAATAATCCTGGCCAGGCGCAGTGGCCCACGCCTGTAATCCCAGCACTTTGGGAGGCCGCAGAGGGCGGATCATGAGGTCAGGAGTTCGAGACCAGCCTGGCCAACATGGTGAAACACCGTCTCTACTAAAAATACAAAAATTAGCGGGTGTGCTGACAGGTGCCTGTAATCCCAGCTACTCAGGAGGCTAAGACAGGAGAATTACTTGAACCCAGGAGGCGGAGGTTGCAGTGAGCAGAGATTGCGCCACTGTACTCCAGCCTGGGTGACAGAGCAAGACTCTGTCTCGGGGGAAAAAAAAAAAGAATCCTTAAGCTAGGCCTTGGGAAAAAAGGATGATGACTAGATAGCATATCAGAAACATACTCCAGGTGAAAGAAGAGAGAATAAAAGTAGGGGAGAAGTCATTTTCAAGATCATTGCTGTGACATTAAAACATAAACTTGAAATACTATATTTCTTGAAAATAAAGAGTACCAAAGACTCACTATACCTCCAGGTATAGGCCCTTGAGTTCAAATACTGTTAATTCACAGGTCCTGTACCGTCTACTTTATGAGACATTCTATCTGGATACCCATAATTTAATGCTTGGGGGTGTGGGGGACGTGATTTGAAATGGACTTAACTCACTTGAGGAATGTTGTCATTAACCTCGTGCAGCTATTACATTTAAAAATGTAAAATAAATTCAGATATTAGGCTAAGCATATAATCCAATGCAAAAGTAAAGACTATGCATAACACATTAAGAAAATTCCCATTTACATATCAAATACAATAAAATCAGAAAATCATGAGTCAAAGACCTTTTCTTTCTCAATCAAATGTAGGAGAAATCCCTTCGTAAACTTGTTGTCTACCTTATAGTAGACAGTGGTAGACATTTAAGGCAATTTTACTCTTTGTATTGAAGCTGGTATTATCTCCAAAACAAAGATTGGGTAAGGGGCAACGCCCTGGCAGGGACTTTCCCGAGGATGCTTACTTTGTAGAGATGTCCTTGCCCGTTTGGTACGCTTGTGCTTTCATGATTCTCTCCATGTTGCCAGACCATCCGTACTGGCTGGCCACCAAAGCACACGGAGATTCTGTCAGGCGCTGAGACACCACAGCCTTTTCAATCTTAGGGAAAGAAATCAAGTCATATAAATTAATATCAACAGGTAAGGTCATTGAGCAATTGTCTTTCAACTGTCTAAGACTTTATCACTTAAGATCATAAACACAGAAGCAGGTCATAAAAATAGCTTTTCTTAAGGTTTAGGAGAATTTGTAGGGGCACTTACTTGATAATCTGAATTTTCTAGTCAGAAGTTTAAATACCACCTTTTAAAAACATAAAATTTAATTTGTAACAAGTTATTAACAAAGCAGTATTGTCGAAAGTTTTAAGCTTTCTCCCAATAATTTAATTACATTAATTAAATTTTTACCATTCTAATGGTTACAAAGTAACCAGCTGCAGCTTAATTTGTTCACAAAATAACTTTCTCTTAAATGCTGATACTAATATTTCCACAATTTGTAATTTCCACAGTACCTTGTCCTTAAGGGCTTTATCTTTCATCCAATTCAGCAGAGGCTCAAATTCTTTCTCAACTGCTTCACGACTCTCCTTAGTTTTCTCACTTTCATCGAACTTCACTCCTTCCTTGGCAACATTCTGGAACCTCTTCCCATCAAATTCGGGAAGGGCCTGAATACAGTATTCATCCACAGGTTCTGTGAGGTAAATAACTTCATAGCCCTTTTTCAGAAGTCGCTCAACAAATGGAGAAGATTCAGCCTACAAAATTAAGAAGTCACAAAGTTTTCCAAGTCTGGCCCTGGTGTATTTGTTTATCCTAGCAGCTGCTATGTTTATACATTATTAAAAAC
The DNA here is from genome assembly GCF_000001405.40 of Homo sapiens. Classification (NCBI taxonomy): domain Eukaryota; kingdom Metazoa; phylum Chordata; class Mammalia; order Primates; family Hominidae; genus Homo; species Homo sapiens. The sequence continues at coordinate 103,942,981 of NC_000012.12, read as the reverse complement.
TCCATTTTACAGGTGAAGAATTAAGAGGTTCAGAGAATATAAATGACCTTCCTGTCAGTGACTGACCAGGCCTTATAACTACTCCAGTTACACAATTAAGTTTTCCTTTTCTCCCCCTCAAGAGTTGGCTATAAATCCCTAGCTACCTTCCAGAATGGCTGACAACACTTATGAGTTCATCTCACCTCTTTTCTGCTGGACCCAGCCATGAAGTAGATTTTGTCTTGTTTTTCCTTCATTCTTTCCACATACTGGTCTAGGCTAGTAATGTCAGTTGGATGATGAGAAGACTGGAACCTAAGAAGTTTAGCAAGACGTGTTCGATTCGAGTGGTCTTCAATCACACCAAGCTTGATGTTGGTACCAAATTCTTTCCAAAAAGTATCATTGTATTTATCATCAGCAATCTTCTTGATCATGTCCAGCGTTTTACGAACAAGCTTCTTCCTAATCACCTAAACACAATGAAAGAATAACTGATTAGAGAAGTTAATCTCCAACTTTTGAGAATGTAAGGTACCCAGGCAGGAGTGTGAAAAACACAAAGACGATATCGTTATTGCCATTTATTGAGGGGCAGGAAATGGTGAAGCACTCCAATTCATTCAGATTGGGCTGAAATTCAGCTGTCCGTGCAAATAGCCACAAGATTGCCTTAATGTTTATATTCTAACCTTAGGACTCAGTGATACTCTCTCTCTAGCATCTAAATGAAGTGAACAAATATGCTACTTTCAAATACTTTTAAATTCAAAAACTAAAGAGTCTTCTAATTATGGAAGTATTGGAGGGGAAAGGTTTAATGAAAGGCTTGATAAAAAGGTGGCTATGTGTCTAGATGACAAAATGTTAATCCTGGACCTGTACAATTCTTTAATTTTTTTCTAGATGTTTGAAACTTCATTATTAAATGTTGGGAGAAAAAGAATCAGATTCTTAGGATCTGATAACTCCAGAAAGAAAGGAAATTCATCTGAAGAATCATGGACCAGACCCAAAATCTGGTTTTACTCCACAAATGGAGCCTGTCCTCTGAACCCCAATCAAACAGCAAAGTGGAGAGTTTCTTCCCAGAGACACTTACCTTAAGCAGTTTATGTTGCTGAAGAGTCTCGCGGGAAACATTCAAGGGGAGATCATCTGAGTCCACCTTCAGATGGCAAAAGAAAGTTCAGTGAGCAATAAAACCACTGGAAGAAAGCAAAGCCAAACAAACACTCTACACTGCCAGACCCCCACAACAATCACCCCTTCTCCCAAACTTCAGATACTTACCACACCCTTGACAAAATTGAGGTATTTAGGCATCATATCATGGAAGTCGTCTGTGATGAATACACGGCGCACATAGAGCTAAAGAGACCAAAAAAAAGTCACTTTCTGGAAATTAAACTTTCAAATTTTAAACGCAGCATGTACTACTTAAAAACTCACCTTAATGTAATCGCTCTTTTTAGATCCATATTCGTCAAACAGACCACGTGGAGCAGATGTGGGTACAAATAAAATTGATTTGAAGGTAACTTCCCCTTCAGCAGTAAAGTGAATATAAGCCATGGGGTCATCACTTTCCTGTGGAAAGTTGGTATCTTAGTCATTCAAACGACACAGGAGAAAAGCAGTGCAAGAACTAAGCAATGTACTATGTGGTACATATTCAGTTTAGCAATTAACTAACAAAAAATTTTCCTTTACTGGCGGGAGGTGGGGAAGAGAAAGAAAAGGGTGGGGGGAAGAGAAAGAAAAGGGTGGAGTGAAGAAATATCTAGAATTGCAATTCTAATTCACTAGACATGGTTGTTTTGATGATGATTGTCAATAACATTATTTCCTAAACTCTCAGAAGGAAGGATGAGTTTATACTTCTTACGTATGAGAGAAGTGAATAGGAAAACCACCACCCTGCCTAAATGACAAAATTACATACAACACTTCAGTGTGCCCTTGAACTACAGTAAGTACTCAAGAACATGTTTCTTCCATGGAACTTAGCTCTAAGAGTGGCTACAAAGATGTATGTAAATACCTGTAAAACAAAGTTGGAAATTCTCTTGATCTGCATTATCTATTACTGTATATGGCTGTTAAGCACTGAAATGTAGCTAGTTCAAATTCAGATGTGCTATTAAAGTGTAAAATACATTTTGAAGGCACAGTACAAATTTTAAAAAGGATATAAAATGTCTCATTATTAGTTTTTATATTGATTATGTTGAAATAATACTATTTGGGGTATGCTGGGTTAAATAAATTATACTATTAACATTTCATGGTTCCTTTTTTTGTATGGCTTCTAAAAAATTTCAAATCATGTGTGGCTCACATTAATTATATTTCTAATACAGCTGCTTTATATGAAGTAAGTTTATAGACACTAGGACTTTAGAGTTTATGGAAATAAAAGTGAAGGCAGAACCAACAGTGTTTTAAGAGTTGAAATTTAAAGGATATGGAATAGAGAAAAGAACAAATACAGACACAGAATATTAAGTTTTATTTAGCTATGGTTAAGTCCACTAGAGCATTCTACTGCTTGTACTAAATGCTGCTGGGGAAACATTAACTTTAAACAAACTTTATCAATGCTAGTTTTGCATCCTTAAGAGTTACAAGAAGGGATCAATAAAAGAAGAAGAAAAAAAAAAACAGGCAAGGAAACATAAATTTAGTAATTATTCCCAGGCATAGGATCTCACAATAAGTGTTTGATGTCATAAGCAAGCTCTTTAAAGATTATATTAAAAGCCACTTAACAACATGATTTCATGTTTTACGGGTTTTGTGGTGGAAATCACACATCTACCTATGTAGGTGGTTCTTAATCTTTTTTTGTCACACAAAACCCTTGGCAAGCTGGTGAAGGCTACAGATGCCTTCTCAAAATAATTTTTTTAAAAAAATCACATATTACAAAATACACAGGAATAAAAAGGAAACCAATTGTGTTTAAACAGCCATAAAACTGTTTCAAACATTCTTGATTTTGTAGTTTCACTATTCACTAAGAGCTAGGACTAATTTTAATAACTGCTGCAATTTTGAAGTAGTGATGAGTATAATAATTCAACTTAAGTAAAAATGGTGTGTTCTGGAAACCAATTACTCTCAAAGACCATCTCTACTGAGGTGTCAATCTCAAAGGTTCATAAATGTGATTTTAATTGTGACTAGGTCAATAAACCAGAAGTAGACATATTATAGTTGGCCTAAAGGTCTTTTTTTGAATTTTCTCACTGGGAAAAAATGGGAATGGACCATCTCATATTCATGGTCACATACCATATACAATTAAACTAAGAGGGTGATATTTTGTCTATTCATTAATAACCAGAAACTAGGGAATTATAAATATTTACCTTTGAAAATGATTTGTAGAAAGCTTTGTATTCATCTTCTTCTACTTCTTTTGATGGTCTCTGCCATATTGGTTTGATATCATTCATAAGTTCCCAGTCCCAGACAGTTTTTTCAACCTGAAGTTATTATAGTATTTGATTAGTCTCTCTCAGCACTCACCAAGGTTATCCTAGCAGTAACCATGGCTTCAGTAGATTTCAAAAGACTATGTAAAGACCCAGAGGACTGGTGTGGTGGCTCACGCCTGTAATCCTAGCACTTTGGGAGGTTAGGGTAGGAGAACTGTTTGAGCCTAGGAGTTCAAGACCAGTCCAGGCAACATAGCAAGACCTCCAACTATACAAAAAATTTTTAAAACTTAGCCAGTCATGGTGGCGTGTGTCTGTGGTCCTAGCTACTTGGGAGGCTGAGGTGAAAGGACTGCTTAAGCCTAGGAGTTCAAGGATGAAGGGAGCTATGATCGTGCTACCACACTCCAGCCTGGGTGGCAGAGACTCTGTCTCCAAATTAAAGAAAAAAAAAAAAAGGGCACCAAAGGATACCTGTTATCTAGTAAGGTTTCTGCCAACTGTATCAAAAGCAAAGTATTTTTCTCAATATTTAATTCAAAAAGACAATTGTTAACTGATGAAAAGCCACTTAAGTTTTTCTTCATTGTTATTTTTTAACTAGCAAAAATGTTTCTTGAAAATATTTGTTTTGAGGTTAGAAGGAAATACATATTATATATTCCCATTTCATGACTTAAAGAAATCCAACATTTTACAAAAATATTTCTCAACCACCATGATCAATACTTCTTAGTCTGCTACCTAAGCAAGCCAGAGAACCATTTTTATGGTTAATCTCTGCATGATAAAAAGACAAAAGAGGACTCAGAAGGCTTTTTAAGATTTTAAAATTCCAAACATATAAGCCACCAGTCCTAGGCAATATATAAAAGTTAGAAAACTCTTCATAAAAATGACCTGGGTTTGATACTTAAAACTTTCTACAGGACAATGTATTCAACATACAAACAAAGGCCTTATTTTAAAAGCTGGCTCCATGGACTTAGCACCTGAACTGAAGCTGACTTCAAATCAGCCAGTGCATACTTAGGTTTTCCTGGTTTTGCCTATACATGTTAAACAATATCTTATGCAGGGAGATAAACCAGACTTACTTTTTTAGTCTTTGGTTTCTTTTCTTCTTCTTCTTCCTCTACTGCAGCTTCATCATCAGATTCTTCTTTCTCTTCTTTGGCTGCTTCTTCTTCCTCCATGGGCTCCTCAACAGTTTCAGTCTGTTGAAATAAGAGAATTATGGTTAAACTCATTTGTTTAACAATTCTGATTTTGTCTACAGAATATGATATAACATTACAGGTCAAAAAATAGGTTTTTGTAAGAAAACCCTGAGAGTATCCTTAACTAATAGACCACATTTTGCCTTCATTCTTTTTTTTTTTTTTTGAGACAGAGTCTTGCTTTGTCACCTAGGCTGGAGTGCAGTGGGGCGATCTTGGCTCACTGCAACCTCCGTCTCCCGGGTTCAAGCAATTCTCCTGCTTCAGCCTCCCGAGTAGCTGGGATTACAGGCGTGTGCTACCACACACCCAGCTAACATTTTTGTATTTTTAGTAGAGACAGGGTTTCGCCATGTTGGCCAGGCTGGTCTCGAACTCCTGACCTCAGGTGATCCACCTGTCTCGGCCTCCCAAAGTGCGGGGATTACAAGCATGAGCCACCGCGCCGGCCTGCCTTCATTCTTTTAGTGTTGAATATTTAAATACGTGCCAAGGTAATACATATAAGTTTTTAATCAATATAGATTTACCTTGCTGCTCCATACATAAATAGGAAAGTTTATGAACTGTGAATATTTTTTGACGAGATTTTTAATTGTATCCAATTCAAGGTAATCAGATGCTTCTTCTTTTAAGACAAGGCTGCAAGAAAAATTCGATGTTTAGAGACACCTAACATTTAGAAGATCTGATTATAAATTCATTTAAATACCATGGTAATAGCCAGCAGTTCAGTATAATCCAAGATGTCCTAATTATTCATGTTAACTCTCCATCACCAACAAGGGTTTGTGAGCTAAAATGTAACACATGTAGATACAGTAAAGAGAAGAATCTCCTCTACATTACCTCAAGTGGAGAATAACCTTAGTTTTAAGTAGAAAATTAAAATATTCCCAACCGTCTGAATAGATTGTTTTCATTTTTCAAGGTGAGAAAGCACTGAAATATTCTGGAGAGAAATGGAATCATGCACTCTCATAGCTCTTACTGTTATTCCAGAAACCTAATGATTATTGTAGATAACTATTCCTAATTAATGAAAACATTTTCCTTAAAAAAGCTAGAAAATTAATCTGGTTTATATTTATATCTGCACTATCCAAAATGGCAGCCACTGGGCACATGTGACTTATTTAAATAAAATGTACAGTTCAGTTCCAGTTATGCTGCCACATTCCAAGTACTCAACAGTCACATGTGGCTGGTGATCGCCAAAATGGAAAAGTGCAGATATAGAACATTTCTACTATTATATAAAATTCTACCGGGCAGTGCGGGGATTACAGGTGTGAGCCACTGTGCCCGGCCTAGAACCTACTCTTAAGCACAGTAGGTAGTCCATATCTTGATACTTGTGTTCCCAATTAAGTATGGGAAATGGTCTATCTATGGTTCCCTCCCTGTCTCAAAAGGCTCATTAGTTTAGTGGTACCTGGCCAATAAGTAGCCATGATATGACAAAGCCTAGTGAGTGACTAGGCCCCTGGTCTCAGAGCACATGTTCTAGTGATTTGGGGATTAAGAGTTCAGTTTTGGATGCAAGTAGAAGCTGCTGGTTAGATATCTTAGGTAGAAGCATTTAAAAGGCAATTAAACACATGAACACAGAGCCCAGTAGTGAGACCTAGACAAGGGGCTGGCAAGCTATAGCTGTACAGCTGGCACCCATTAGAAATTTTATTGGGACACTTTTTTTTTTTTTTTTTTTTTTGGACCTCTGTCACCCAGGCGTGATGATGGCTCACTGCAGCCTTGACCTGCCAGGCTCAAGCAATCCTCCTACCTCAGCCTCCTGAGTAGCTGGGACTACAGGCATGCACCACTGTGCCAAGCTAATTTTTTATTTTTTATTTTTGTGGAGATGGGATCCCATTATGTTGTCCAGGCTGACCTCAAACTCCTGGGTTCAAGTGATCCTCCCACCTCAGCCTCCCGAGGTGCTGGGATTATAGGGATGAGCCACCACACTTGGCTGGGACACATCCTTATGTATTGTCTATGCCTGCTTTCAAGCTAAACAGAGTTGGGACATGTGACAGACCATATAGCTCACAAGCTAAAAATATTTACTAGCTGGCTCTTTCTTTCTTGTTGTTTTCTTTTATCTTTTTTTCTACTAGCTGGCTCTTTTAAGAAAAAGTTTGCTAACTCCTGATCTAGGCTAAGAATATAAATTTGAGAACTAGAGATGGAACCTGAGGCCGTGGCAGTGGATAAGACTACATAAAGATCACATGGACAATGAGAAAAGGGCTGAAACTTAACTTGGAGAAAATGTATGTTAACATTTAAGAAGTGGGCAAAGGAAATTTTTAAAAAGATATGCATGGTCATGGAAACTAGGTCCTGGATAGGTGTTAGCAGCCATCGTTCCCTGCATGGAACTGTCCTGTTTAACCTCACTTATTCATACAAATGGCTGCCAATTAAGTGTTAAGCTTTGGGAATGGAGCTTCCAACAAAATGTTTGCCTTCATGGAGCTTATATCCAGATAATTTCACCTGCTTCTTAGCAACCTGACATTAACATCTCTTGGGACATCACTTTCTATCTTTCCTTGGGAATGATTGCCCTATCCTTCTCCAACATCTAGCCCAGTGCTTAAAAAGAGAGGGCACTGGGGCATAACTCTTAGTGATGCCTCCAAATGAAACCTGGAGACATCAATGTTAGTGACGAAGGCAGGGGAAGGTAAATTGGGAACACAAGTTAAAAAAGTACTAAAATGCAGTCATCTAATTAGTCTTCATTAAAAGAACATCTGCTGCAGTAAAAACAGGAAATGTTACTTTCTAGGATGAAGAAAGTTGGTCACAATGATAAGTATGTGCTTCTTTCCCTTAATGTTAAGAAAACTTAAAACTGAATTAAGAAAAAAAAATTGAAGCTGTGGGCACATTCTGTTACTCACTTAGCAGGAGTTGGCAAGCCAACTGACCTCTGAAATAGAATTTCCTCATCTCCAAGATGGTAAAATTTTAAAAAGGCAAAAAGCTGCCCTGTCTACGTCACAGTGCTATAAGCAACGAGAGCTACTGTAGGGCACTGGCTCTGTCTCACCCATACAAACAACAGTTACTGGCTTAAGAGGGATCTTAATTCAAATTTAAAAACTTGTAACTATCCTTAAATGACGTATTTTATTCCACAGCTTTCACAACTTTCATGAACTTTCTTTAAGCCCTTTATCTCTACAAGCCAGCCCCAGCCCTGGTTGCTACCACTCATCTTGAATATTTTCAAGAGGAATATTTCCCCCAAAGAGTCTCCCCTTGTCCACTCCTCACATCCTCCACACCACCTTGAGAATCTTAAAAAGTTCATCACATTCTGGCTGGGCACGGTAGCTCATGCTTGTAATCCCAGCACTTTGGGAGGCCGAGGTGGGTGGATCACGTGAGGTCGGGAGTTCGAGACCAGCCTGGCCAACATGGAGACACCCCATCTCTACTAAAAATACAAAATTAGCTGGGCGTGGTGGCACATGCCTGTAATCCCAGCTACTTGGGAGGCTGAGGCAGGAGAATTGCTTGAACCCAGGAAGCGGAGGTTGTGGTGAGCCAAGATTGTGCCATTGCACTCCAGCCTGGGCAACAAGAGTGAGACTCCGTCTCAAAATAAATAAATAAATAAAAGTTCATCACATTCTATCCATAACTGCCACCGAAAAGAACTCTGTTCATCTAGTGAGCATGCTATGCCTCCATGCCTTTATTCAGGATGCTCCACAGACAAATTACTCTTCTAACCTGGGAAACTGACCAAGCAGTGCCTCCTCTGTGGGTACCCAAGAAGCCTTCTCCCTTGGGGAAGCTGCTGCTATTTCCTACTTTATACCCTCCATGTACAACAGCAATCACAAACCTTTGTGCCTGGCCCTTTGCAGGTCCTCAAACATTTCTTCAAGTGACAACAGTTCTGTTTCCTCATTTTATAAGGCAGGAAAATTAAGGCCCAGAATAAGTCATTTGCTCAGAGAATAGAACTGGAGAGTCAAGATCCTCACCATGACTATTAATTCTTATAAGGAATTGGTCATACTCACGTAATTGTCGTTCCCCGTCCTAGAGTGTTTCCTCTTGGGTCAGCAATTACAGAAAATTCATTGGAGTCAGACTCCCAGATGTGCTGGGTATCGTTGTTGTGTTTTGAAGTGACAATAACCTTATCTGCTACAAGGAAGGCGGAATAGAAACCGACACCAAACTGGCCAATCAATTCAGAAGTTGACTGGCCATCTTCCTGTGCTTCAGTCATTTTGTTTAAAAACTCGCTTGTCCCAGATTTGGCTATGGTACCAAGGTTTTTAACCAACTCTTCTCTGGTCATTCCTACACCGGTGTCTGTGACATGCAGCAGGTTCTTCTCCTTATCACACTAAATGCAAGACAAGAACCAGATAGTTGTATTTAATATTTACATTATGCCAAACAAATATTGAGGAACTAACCAGCTTTGGGTCCCATCAATTCCAATACAGAAAACTAAACTGAGATATTTTCCTCCACATAGTTTTTTATGGCCTTTTCTGAAAGTGTACATCTTAAAGTAATTTATGTATTTGAGAAAGTATTAATATCAAATGGGCAGACTGGCCTAAATGTCAAAGGTTAGAGGCTGACCTAAATAAAACAAGTTACCTTTGAAGGAAAACAATTCAAGAAAAATAAAATTTTATGTCTTGCCTATTTCTTTACTAGAATACAAAACAACTTGAATGATTCCTCTATTTGGAATCTGTGATGGATCATTAATATTCTTCACTCAATATTCCTGGCTGTCTGCCTTCCAGAAACTTAGGAGTACTCTACTTTCCATTTAAGAATGGCTAAGGCCATGTGACTAGTTTTGGCCAATGAGTTATAAATGGCCAATGAGTTGTAAAGGAGAGCTCTGTTTTCAGGCTGAGCCTTTAATTATAATAGTATGAGACCCTCTAAGCTTGCTCTGCACCATGGCAACCGGCTACACACTCCAGGTGGCTGCCCACGCCTCTGTCCCAGCCTGAGGATGAGGCAGAGCAAAGACCACAGGCAGCCTGTGATCAATGATTTAAGCCAGGGGCTGGCAAACTTTTTCTGTAAAGGGCCACACAGTAAATATTTTAGGCTTTGGGAGATTTATGTTCTCTGTTAAAACAACTTGACTCTGCTGTTGAAGCACAGAAGCAGTCACAGATAATAAACAAATGGGCATGGCTGCATTCCAATAAAACTACTTAGAAAAACAAGTCAAGTTAGATTTGGCCATAGTTTGATGACTTTCAAGCCACTGAGACTTGGGGTTTTTTTGCCACTGCAAAATAATCTAGCCTATCTTGACTGATAGGGATCCTCTACCTTTAAGGATTCCTTTTCCTTTAAAAGAAAGAAAAACTGCCTTACACTTACCTTAATTTTGACTGTTAGTTCCTCATTTCCAGAAAGAGCATTTTCATCAGTCAGTGATATTAGCCTTATCTTATCTAAAGCATCAGAAGCATTTGAAATCAGTTCTCTCAGGAAAATCTAAATGGAAGCCAGAGGGAATACACTTAGACTATCCTCAAGATGCATTAAGATATTCGATTTTATGCCAAACCCATTTATTTCTTCTCTGTACCTTATAAAAGCACTCTTATTCACCTAACAGTGATCTTCAGGTATGCAATGCAAGAAGTTTAGTTTATGTGACTGCCCTTAGACTCACAACTATTATCAGGCCGTGAACCTATTTAGAGGTAAAGGAAAAGGAAAATGTCTGACACTCCCTTTCTTCCCAGATATCTGGTAGCAATTCTTGGACATATTAGGTATTTAAAGGTTGTTACCTACTTACTTGGATACTACATTACTTTTGCAGTAAATTAAGCAAATTTAAGTAAACAAGTATGCCACCATACAGAGATAAAATATTCTAACCACATGTTGCTTACCTCTTTATTTTTATACAATGAATTGATGATAAGTTTCATCATTCTGTTAACTTCGGCTTGGAAGGCAAACTTTTCCGACTTCTCTCTAAGTTCTCTTATTTGTGATGCATTTAATCCATCCAACTGAATAGCTTCTTCCTCTCTAAGGAAATCAGTTAGGTAAGCAAATATTGCATGGCATAGTTCCCTTCAAAACTAGAGGAATTATGATGAAAGCACAGGGGCCTCTGAATATTGTCTTGGGGGTTAAAATGGAAACCTTTATAAAATATAACTGATATACCGTCTCATTATGTTAGCACAGCAGTAGGCTACCTTTAACATTACACTGGAAATACTCGGTTCTTAAAATTGCCAGAAAAAAAAAAATCCCAACTTTCCTCTACTAAAAAGCAAAGTCATACTCATTTATGCTCCACAGTGAGGACTTCAAAACTGTCAATAAGTCCCAAGAGGCCAAATTTTAAAATATTGTTCAACTGACAGAAATCCCATTTTTAAACTTACTCGGTGTACACAGTTAATGAATACAAATCCAACTGAAAGTATCTTCTATAAAGTCTTACAAAGTTTATGGTGCTAGTATTCTGCAATATAGTTTTCAAAGGAATTCACTCAGTTTTCATCACTCCTAGGGACAAGTTAGGAGGTATGTATGCACACAACTCACCGGGTATTTAAATACAGGGTGTTAGACTTTATCTGGACCTTTGGAGAAGAGATACATAAGAAGTGACCGTAACTCACAAGGTTCACACGGCTTATCTGTATACGTAAGTTCAAATGAACACAAACCTCTGTACTACTTCATCATCCGTCCTTGATCCTTCTCTACTTTTACCCAGATCCTCTTCTACTGTACCATCCACATCAACTTCATCGTCAGCTCTGACCGACCCTGAAGATTTAACACGGGCAAACTCTTCAACATCACACTTCTCCAAGGAGGATGATCAAATAGGGAAGGGTAGGGGTTGCAAAATTCAGTTGGTAACTAAGGGAGGTGGGGATGAAAGAGTGCATTCCCTGGTTTAAATACCAAAGGTAAAGCCAAGACAGAACATCTATTTAAGTTCAGATGCTGAAGTCTCCAGTAGATCCTGAAATACGGAGGCAGTCACCACTTCTAAACAGTGTGTCTCCGATCATTTATAAATAACGTTAAGCAGACTGATACCAGGCCTCTTCTACACCCACACGTGTTGCGCGCAGGCCGAGCCAAGGCCTCCCAACTGATCAAGCCAAAACTTCGGCCTTCGTTAGCACAGGTCAGAATGCAAATAGGATTTATGCAACCTCTGGCGAGGGGAACTGAAATTGAGCCCAGAGGCATGAGAAGGGGGAGAAATGTTAAGAACCGAACTCCAGCAAAACTGAATCAAACACGCTGACACTGCCATTCCGCTGGCCCCAGGCCTCACGCTCCCGAGGCCAGCATCTAAGAAGGGACACGGGCTTGCGAGGAGTCGGAGTCTGGGGAATTAGGGGACGGGAAAGCTGGGATGGCCGAAGGTTGCGGTGGCCGAAAAAGTCCTCCGGGCGGGGAGGGGGGAGGGACTCGCACAGCTCCCGGGGGAGCCAGAGCCTCAGAGAGGCCCCACCCCGAGGTCGCTGAGACCTCCGGGCGAGATACTATTAGATCTGTAGGGCAGTTAGATGATGTTGCTCTCTTTTTTTATTTCCAGAGGAAGAAGAGAATAAACGTAATTCCCTTGCCCTCTTTCGAGGAATGGTGACGTCCCTTGGCCCACCGCAGGCCCCGGGATCCCCCCTCCCACGTTCAACGCCCCCAGGACCTTCGAGAAGCGGCCGCGTGTGTGGAGGGGGGACGTCTGCTCCTCCAGAATCACTCACCGAAGGTCAGCAGGACGCAGCAGAGGCCCAGCACCCACAGGGCCCTCATGGCGTGCGGCCGGTGAGTCTCAAGTCCCCTTCGATCGCAGGAGCCGCCTCCACCCCCCACCCCTGGGTTCGGATCCTCACACCTCCAGCCGCGCGGTCCGCCCACTACACCGCAAGCAGGTCGGGCCGCTTTTCACCCCCACTTCCCGCGGGCGGGGGACGGGAAACATGAACCCACCAATCGCGCCGCACCACGCACCCACGGCACCCAATGAGGATTCGTGAGGGGGGGCGGAAGTCCACCAATCGGAGCTGTCCAGGTGCGGTGACCGATGCCCGAAGCGTGGCTCCTTCCGATTGGTCAGGGTTTGCAGCTTTTCTCCAATCAAATGGCTCCGCGGGCCCCTCACACGTGGGACCGCCCCTTTGCCTGGGCGGCCTTGGCCTCTAAGGGAAAACGTCCAATGAATGTAAGCAGAGAACACATCCATCCTTTTAGAGAGGTCGCGGCGGAACTACTTCCGGATCCTAGAGAGCGTTTATTCCGTGACCGGGGAAACGGTAGCCATGGCAACGTGTTCTTCACCCTTTCCCATCTATGCCTGGGGTTTCGTTGGAAGTGATTCCAGCACGACTTTCGCGGCCAGCTTTCTCGTGTGGCGGCGCTTCTCGGAAAGAAGAAACACACGAGAGAGGTTGCAAATCCCCTAGAACCCTTTCAGATGGCGGGGGGGCGGGGGGGTGGCGGTGGTGAGAAACTACAGCTCCCGGCATGCAACGTCCTAGGGGTTCACTGCATTGAATGCTGGGGGTCGTAGTCTTTGGTCTCTGAGGACCAGCTGCGTAGTTTTGGCCCTTTCTTTCACGTTCCCCCAGCGTGTCTTTGCCAGAGCCCTGCCCTGCGTCTTAGATGTTACATCTCGTTCTGATTACAGTAGAGATATGTGCCTATTCCAGGAGTCTCCATTGTACACAGCTTTTAGAAGCGGGCCTAGAAAGCCTTCATGCCTCGGGCAAGGCCGCCCGGTTCTGGGGGGTCGGTCTGAGTCTGGGGGCTCCGCCTCCGGCTCAAGAGCACGAGTTTCCGAATCCGCCTACAAGTGCGTCACTTGGGCAGCCGGAGCGTTCACCTCCTCTGTGCCTTTCCGCGGCCGGAATCCCCAGGCCTTCCTTATCTGGTTTACAGAAGAACGTGGTTGGGACCTTCCCGACCACCTTAGGGAAATCGCGAGCAGCGCTGAGGCCTTCGACTCCCCAATAAAGTACAAAGGCGGCGGTGACCTGACGGTCGTAGAACCCTTTCTGTGAATCAGGTGGAGAGCGTGGTCGTAAAAGCGGGTCTAGCACAGAAAAGGAAAACCCTTAGTTTAACGAGTGCAGGAGGATGCACCTGCAGATATTTGAAAGCAAAACCTGTGGTGCTGCACATGAGAACGGGATTGCAGCTTTGTAACTTCATAGAAATACCCTGTCTGTGCTCAGAAGGACATATAAAACACCAGGTGTCTTTCCTGTGAGGGAAGTCCCTCATGCTAAACTTGTGCCTTTGGAAATATTTTCTACGTCTCTTTAACCTACTCTATACGTTACCCCCTCGCATACCCGCGCCCGTCTCTGACATAGACACCCCACTTCCTTATTGCTTCCTCCAACAAAATTGAACTTTGAATATCTTTTCAGATAATCGTCCGAATTCCTGAAGACAAGTTTTTTAGTGACAGTCTGTCACAGTCTTTTACAACTTCCCGTATTTAGTGTGCGGATCTTGGCTCTGTGGTTGGCGCTCACGTGTTGTGGTGGTGCCTTATTTACATCTGCCCAATTTACCTACATTTGTTATTAGTAAGCAAAGAGTAGCTTACAAAGAATGCTTTATGTATGCTTCTGTGCTTTCATCTTTTTTTAAAAGAGCATACTAGAGTGTGAATTACATTCAGAGATTTCAGTTGCATTTTTGTATATTTTAACTCCTTTATTTTTTGTTTTGAGAGAAAACTGAGTTTCTTCACTTTTTTTTCTGCATTTCACAGCTCAACTTCTTGACCTTTTCCTCCAATTCTGAATAAGTAAGCAACCAGTTCTGAAACTGCAAATGCCACCTTAACTAGTGAGTGGTGGGGAGTTGGTGCTGCACCTGGAGAGAACTGAGACAGAGACATATCCTTCAAAACAGAGCCACTGCTTGTGGGTAGACGTTTCTGCAGATGATGATGGGAATTCATGAGGCAGACAGAGCACAAGATGGTAGGCTGGCATAAGATGGCGGGCCGTTGTCTGATCAACTCTGTCCCTTGAAGATTGGCTCTCTGGGCTGGGAGCGGTGGCTCATGCCTGTAATCCCAGCACTTTGGGAGGCTGAGGTGGGCGGATCACCTGAGGTCAGGGGTTCAATACCAGCCTGGCCAACATGGCGAAACCCCGTCTCTACTAAAAACACAAAAATTAGCTGGGCGTGGTGCCGCATGCCGGTAATCCCAGCTACTCTGGAGGCTGAGGCTGGAGAATCGCTTGAACCCAGGAGGCGGCGGTTGCAGTGAGCCCAGATCACGCCACTGCACTCCAGCCTGGGTAACAAGAGCAAAAATTCCATCTCAAAAAAAAAAAAAAAAAGATTGGCTCTCCGGCTGAGTACCTTGTAAAGAGAATAGGCCGCTTAGTTAATTCCCAGCTTTGTTGTTTCTCGCTGTGGTCTCTTCACCTCTTCTGACTTTTGACCTAGTTCCCATCTTGGCCTAGCTCCTCCAGAACTAACACTCCAGATAGTTATTAAGTTTCCTGCCTTTGTATCGGATTCCCTTGTCCTAATTTTAGCTTTTCTCTATGTATTGCTGGAAACAGCTACTGTTGTTGTTGTTGTTGTTAAGCTTCTCCTTGAGCAAAGCTAACCCCACTAGATAGCACCCCACTTTGTAGTTAAACTCGGAAGGAAAAACCAATAGGTAAAGGAATGCAGTTAAGGGCACTGGATAGCTCTCTAGTAGGCAGGTGTAGTCCAGCAGTGGGGAGTCAGGGGGAAGGCAGACTGGGGAGACCAAGGCAAGAAAGCAATTGGCATCAGGGAACATTAAGGAATAGAGCCAAGCTCCAAGGTGAATTGGTTGGTTGGTTGATTGGTTTATTCATTAATTAACTCATCATTTCAGCAAATGTTGAGGGCCTAGTATGTGCCAGGAATTATGCTAGGTGCTAGAAATACAGGGGTGAGTAATATAGATATGGTTTCTGTTTATATAGAACTTGTGCAAATGTGTTTTTTTTAATTTTTAAATTTAAATTTTAAAAATATATTTTTTTGAGCCAGGGTCTTGCTCTGTTACCCAGGCTGGAATGCAGTGGCAGGATCATGGCTTACTGTAGGCCCGACCTTCTGGGCTCAAGCAGTCCTCCCATCTCAGCCTCTTGAGTAGCTGGACCGCAGGCATGTGCCACCAACATCTGGCTAACTTAAAACTTTTTTTTGTAGGCCTGGCACAGTGGCATGTAATCCCAGCACTTTGGGAGACCGAGGTGGGCTGATCACTTGAGGTCAGGAGTTTGAGACCAGCTTGGCCAACATGGTGAAACACCATCTCTACTTAAAAAATACAAAAGTTAGCCAGGTGTGGTGGTAAGCACCTGTAATTCCAGCTGCACAGGAGGCTGAGGCAGGAGAATCACTTGAACTCTGGAGGTGGAAGTTGCAGTGAACCGAGATCACACCACTGCACTCCAGCCTGGGTGACAGCGAGACTCGGTCTCAGAAAAAAAAAAAAGAAAAAAAAAAGGGATACTTTGAGCTTATTATGAACAAAGTTGAGGTTTTTTTCTTTTGTAAAGATGGGGTCTCCCTATGTTGTCCAGGCTGTTCTCAAACTCCTGGGCTCAAGCCTGCCTCCGCCTCCCAAAGTGCTGGGATGACAGGCGTGAGCCCCTGTGCCCAGCCTTGTGCAAATATTAACAATGGAGTTACAGCATAAGTGCAAGTATCTTATTTAAACTGAAGTAAAGATATAAAAGAATGTCTGCAAAGGAGTACCAGGGAACTTTTTGGGGTGACAGAAATGCTCTTGATCTTGATATCAGTAGTTGTTAAAACTCATCAAACTGTACACTTTAAAAGGTTAAATTTTATTATGTATACCTCAACTAAAGAAAACTAACAGCAACTATCATTCTAAACAACAAAACACTAAAAGCCATTTCACTAAAAATCAAGAACCAGACACAGATGCTTGCTGTGGTTAGTAATGTCCCACACAATTTAGGAGGATTTAACAAGACAAGGAAATCAAGTAATTGGCATAAATTTTAGAAAAGGTGGAGTCCTTTATTTTGAAATTCCTTCTTACTGATGACAATTGCATGTCCCAGAAATCCAGGAGACCCTAGGGTTTTTTGTTTTAAGTATAGAATGATTAATTCCAGTTCTAGTAGCGTATACTTAAGTTGCTGCAGTTAAAAAGCTTATAGTTGGATCTTGGAAGTGGGTGGGTGATCTGCCTCGAGTTGAGCCACTGCCCAGCCCCTTAAAAAAAAAGTATAGAATAATATGAGAATCTGGTAAATTATTGGCTATCAGATAAATATATAAAAATCACTAGTTTTGCTCTAATCTTTTAAAAAACACATCGAAGTGAAAATTTTAAAAAGTGTCACTCAGAGACAAAAACCATAAAATACTTAGAAATAAACTTAAGAAAGACATAGTTGCAACATGAAGAAAACTATAAAATATTGAGGAATATAAAACAAATGAAGAACTTGGGTCAGGTCCCATAACCCTTATATTATCTATTGTTGTATAACAAACTACCCCTAAATTTAGCAGCTTAAAATAGTAAACATTTATTCTCTCATACAGTATCTGTAGGTCAGGAATCCAGAAGCACCTAACTGGGTAGTTCTGGCTCGGGTCTCTCATGAGCTTGCAGTCAAGATGTTGGCTGAGGCTGAAATCATCTGGAGGCTCAAGAGGAGCTGGAGGATCTGCTTCCACGATGGCTCCTTCACATGGCTGTTGGCTGGGGCCTCAGTTCATCATCACATGGACCTCTCCATAGGGCTGCTTAAGTGTGCTCACAGCATGGCAGCTGGCCTCCCCTGGAGTGAGTGATCCAAGACAGAGAACAAAGCAGGAGGCACAATGACTCATAACCAACCTCAGAAATCACACACCATCATTTCGGAAACAACCCTACTCAATGAGATTATATGAGGCTGTAAATACCAGCAGCCAGAGAGCACTGGGGCCTGTTTGGAGGCTACTTATTATACCTTAGTTGCAAGGCAAGCTGGGAAAGGATTTACATGGCATTTTCAGCTTCTCTCATGGGAGGCTCAGAATCATAAGGTGGGGGTTTTCCTCATGTAACAATGAGATTCAGATGCTGCGAAGTGAAAAAGAATGATGTGTCCTCTACATATTTGAATATACAAACAGATCAGTGCAACCAGTCGGGCATGGTGGCTCAACACCTGTAATCCCAGCATTTTGGGAGGCTGAGGTGGGTGGATCACTTGAGGTTGGGAGTTCAAGACCAGTCTGGTCAGCGTGGTGAAACCCCATCTCTACTAAAAATACAAGAATTAGCCAGGCGTGGTGGTGTGCACCTGTAATTCCAGCTACTGGGGAGGCTGAGGCGGGAGAATCTCTTGAATCTGGGAGGTGGAGGTTGCGGTGAGTGGAGATTGTGCCACTGCACTCCAGCCTGGGCAACAGAGCAAGACTCCACTTCAAAAAAACGACAAAAGAAAAAAGAAAAAAGAAAAAAAAAATCAGTGCAACCAAATAATCCAAAAATAGATTGTTTCAATTTAAGATAAGACAAAAAGTGATATTTCAGTTCAGAGGGGAAAGGATAGTTAATATCATAAATGATACTAGCCTTGACTGGTTATCCATCTCAAGCAAAATAAAGTTAAACTCCTATCTTGCACCATATAAAAAATAAATTCTTGCTTATAAGAAACTAAGAGAGCCTGTGAGTATACAAGGCAGGGATGGGAGAGACTTTTTTAACCAAGAATGAGTATCCAGACAATTTAACAGCCTAGGGTGTTTCCCACGCCTCTTCCTCCTGGACAGGCTCTGAGCTCCAATTTTTGTCTGTCTAGCACTAGCAAGCACCATGTAGCCTCTGAGCTTTGCTGAGCTTCTCAGCATTGTGCCTTCTAAGAATATTGGTTCTGAGTGGCATAAGAATTAGCAAACACTTTAAGGGGGAAAGGCAACAGGAGAAGGTAGGGTTCACTTCTCAAAGCTTCCCTTCTCTCTGGAATCTTGCCTCTTGAAATCCTGGTTGCTGGGTATCTATCTGATGTCTTTAAATAGTTTCTCAGGTATCTCCTTCAGCTTCTCTAGTGGTTCTGCGGGGAGGGCCGTTCTGCTTGAAATTGTCTGTCGTAGTTGAATGTAGGCGTAGATGTAGATTTGCATAGTAGATGTTGAAGTCCTTGGTCCCATTGTCATGTTTCCAAAACACCAGATTTCACCTAAGATGTTAAGCAACCATAATTATTTTCTCATATTATCCTTTTGGTTGTTTCTCATCAAGCAATTTATATGATGTTCAATATTTCCAAACTATGGAACTTGTATTATTTTTGGCTATAGAGCAATAAGTGTGTTTCTAAATATTAGATGTAATTACAACTATATTTACATTATGTTCTCTTTTTGAAAAGTTTTAACTGCAATTTTGAGTTACTTGTGATCTTTTCCCCAGACCCTGTTACCCCAGCTCACACCATATTACCCTCCTTGAGAACTGACTTTGAATTTATAAAATGGTTACTTGCATCTGCTAATAAAAACCCCTGGGTACTCTGACTCTCTTACATACAATCAGAAAGTTTCAACCTGTCATAAATTAAATTCATTCATAGTCTTGTAGCTTACATTTCATTTCCTTAATAGGAAATAAACATCTCCCTAGAGTCTGCCTTACAAAAACAGATCAATTTAAAAATATGTATCCAGTTATCCCCTGTCAATTCTGGATCCTAGCAGAGCGCAAGAAGAACTGAATTTCAAACAGGGATTTGTTAAATTTAAAAATTTGGTAAATAAATTCAGTATTTTGAGTGATCAAATCAGCCATGTTGATAATAATTTATATTAAGGACTTACTGGAATTTTAGCACTGGAAGGAATCTTAGAAATTATGGAATTCCACAATTCCTGCTTTTGGTTTTAAATTATAAAACTAATAGAGTTTCATGATTAAAAATTAATTGGCACAGAAAAATACAAGTTCAAAGGTAAACATGGCTGGGCACGGTGGCTCACACCTGTAATCCCAGCACTTTGGGAGGCTGAGGCGGGTCACCTGAGGTCAGGAGTTTGAGACCGGCCTGGCCAACATGACGAAACCCTGTCTCTACTAAAAAAATAAAATAAAAAAATTTGCCAGCCGTGGTGGCGGGTGCCTGTAATCCCAGCTACCTGGGAGGCAGAGGCAGGAGAATTGCTTGAACTCAGGAGGCGGAGGTTGCAGTGAGCTGAGATTATACCATTGCACTCCAGCCTAAGCTACAGAGTGAGACTCCATCTCAAAAAAAACAAAAAAACAAAGGTAAACATTCCAGGCTTCCCCTACTCTACTGTTCTTAATCTCTAGAGGTTTCCTCTGATAAAGTTTTTTTATGTGTGCTTCCAGAAATTTTGTAGTGTGTATGTATATGTGTGTGTGTGTACATATATGTATGCGTAATAAAATTAGAAATCTTAAATAGATTAAATAGAACAATCCACACTAGGTTATTTCATTTAATAGATCTTAAATGTCTTACTCCTTTTTATCTGCCCTCCTATTTGATAGGCCTTTGGATGGTCTACAGTTTGTTGCTATTATAATCAAGGAATGTTTTTGCACAACTTTTTATATTTGTGCAAGTTTATCTGGAGAATAAATTGTTAGTTTTGGAACAGTTAGGTGAAAGAGTATGTGCATTCAAATTTTCATGGATATTTACCAATTTTCCTACAAAAAAGGCTATATCAATTTATGCTCCTGTCTCAAGCCTTCTCCACCTTTTTTTTAAAGCTTAGAAAATTTGAGTTCCAGAGAAATTAAATGCTGTCCGAGAGTTAGGTAATGGCAGAGCTAACAAACTCATATTTTTAAAATATCCTACATTGTTCTAGCTACTGCATACCTCTTAACCACTACTTGAACAGTTTGAGAGGGTTTTTTTCTTTTAAAGAAAATTTATTTAAACAAAATGTTTGTCGTAGAACATTTGGAAATTAAAGGAAAAAGTCAACCAGACGCGGTGGCTCACGCCTGTAATCCTGGCACTTTGGGAGGTTAAGGCAGGTGGATCACTTTGGGAGGCCAAGGTGGGTGGATCACTTGAGGTCAGGAGTTCGAGACCAGTCTGGCCAACATGGTGAAACCCCGTCTCTACTAAAATACAAAAATTAGCTGGGCATGGTGGCAGGTGCCAGTAATCCCGGCTACTTGGGAGACTGAGGCAGGAGAATCCCTTGAACAATGAGCTGAGATCATGCCACTGTACTCCAGCCTGGGTGACAGAGTGAGACTCCCTCTCAAAAAAAAAAAAAAGAAAACAATCAAGGAAAAAAATTAAAATAACCCATATGCTGTAATCAGATATATCACTATTAGCATCTTGATGTCTTTATTAATATTTAACACATTTTAAGTTAAAAATGGGATCACACAATAATACTGTTTTATAACTGTCTTTTTCACTGACCAATATATGATAAACATTTTCCACAAGATATCCAATTTATTATTGTTAGACCTTTAGTTTGTTAGCAGTTTTAAAACCATTGTAAATATCGCTGCAATGAAAATCCTTAGAGGTAAATGCTTATAGACAAATAGAATAACTTCCTAAAATTGGAATGCTTGCTAAAAATACATGATTTGTTTTACAAGGCTTTGGCTATACACTGACAGATTGCCCCTAGGAAAGTTGTACAAACTTGCATTCTCATCAATTTACATTTTAAGCATAAGAATTTTTTTTTTTTTTGAGGTTGGGTCTCACTCTGCTGCCCACGCTGGAGTGCAGTGGCATAATCTTGGCTCACTGCAGCCTCTGCCTCCTGGGTTCAAGCAGTTTTTCCATCTCAGCCTCCTGAGTAGCTGGGACTATAGGCACGCGCCACGAGGCCTGGCTAATCTTTCTATTCTTTGGTAGACACGGGGTTTCGCCTTGTTAGCCAGGATATAAGGAGCTTTTTAAAAAAGAAAAAATACAACTTGGGGCTGTCAGGGGTAAAATTACTAAAATGATACTAAAATGATTGTGGCGTGGGGGTGAGGTGGGATTTGAATATAGAAGTTTCTAAGCCTTAAAATGTTGTAAGAAATTCCTGAAAAAGGTCAGAGGCATTTTTGACCAGGTAATAGATTTTCTTATAACTTTTAGTTATAAAGAGCTACGATAAATACAGTGATATTACTGAGGCTGCTTCATCGCAAAATATGAATTCAGACATTTGCACCAGAAATAATATTAACAACAATAATAGGAATAGCAAACATTTATTGAGGACTTTGTGTAGATCTTGCAGATTCTAAAATGTATATTAGGCCGGGTGCAGTGGCTGACGCCTGTAATCTCAGCACTTTGAGAGGCCGAGGCGGGCAGATCACAAGGTCAGGAGTTCGAGAGCAGCCTGACCAACATGGTGAAACCCCATCTCTACTAAAAATACAAAAATTAGCCAGGTGTGCCAGGTGTGGTGGCGCGTGCCTGTAATCCCAGCTACTCAGGAGGCTGAGGCAGGAGAGTTACTTGAACCCAGGAGGCAGAGGTTGCAGTGAGCCAGGATCACGCCACTGCACTCCTGCCTGGGCGACAGAGCGAGACTGTCTCAAAAAATAAAAAAATTAAGTAAAATGTATATTAAACAGTGATAGCTTGATTGAGAAATCTGTCGGGAAGGATATTTCTTAATGAGAAGTCTACCTTCACAGTGTTAAAAAAAATTTTAAAGACAAAGGCTTATGAGGTGCTTATTATACAAGGCCTCATTTATTCCCATCTCACAGGTAAGGTCAGTATTCCGGATTTACAGCTGTAGAAACTGTGTCAGAGGCAGACCCTGCGGCAAGGTTTACATGACTCCGAAGTCCATGCTCAACCTCTGGGAGTGTACCCAACAAAGTAGGAGGTGCCACTGTGATGCCAGTTGCTGCTATCAGGTGGGCCAGGGTCAAAATATTAAATAACATTGACTCCCTCGTGCAAAAGTTGAACCCTTTCAATTCTGTTTCAGTCTTACTGATTATGAGAAGAGAAAGTCAGTTTGGTACAAGTCTGTCTAAGTACACGTTCATCTTTCCCTTTCTAATGAAAAGAACTGTGTCTAACTAGAATTTAATTACATTCTTTTCTTTTTAATGCATTTATTTATTTATTTATTTAGAGACAGGGCCTCGCTGTGTCACCCAGGCTAGAGCCCAGTGGTTCCATCATAACTCACTGCAGCCTGGACACCCCTGGGCTCAAGCAGTCCTCCCTCTTTGGCCTCCCGAAGTATTGGGATTACAGGCGTGAGCCATAACTCCTGGCCTTAATGCATTTATTTTTATAGCTACTGTCAATTTGTGCCATATAGGTGTTTTTTCCTCCACTTACAGTAATAATGAAATATTTCTAGTAATTTTTTTTTTTTTGAAACGGAGTCTTGCTCTGTTGCCCAGGCTGGAGTGCAGTGGCGTGATCTCAGCTCACTCTAACTTCTACCTCTCGGGTTCAAGCGATTCTCCTGCCTCAGCCTCCCAAGTAGCTGGGACTACAGGCATGTGCCACCATACCCGGCTAAGTTTTTTTGTATTTTTGCAGTGAATTGGTCTGAGCTTGGACCTTCGATCTGTATACTATGCTGTCTCCCATATTTAGCGGTGTTTTATTCACATTGCTATTATTATGGTCTATAACTACTTTTTTTCTTTTTTCACTTAAACATTTTCCTCTTGCTATATAGTTCTTGGATTTTTACAAATAATCAACTTTATTTTGATATAATTTACATTAAATAAAATGCACCCGTTTGAAGTGTTCAACTGATAAACTTTGATGAATATCTACACCTGTGTAACCACCACTATAATTAGGATATAGAACATTTCCATCATTCCAAAGAGTTTCCTTGTGCTCCTTTCCATTTATAGTATTTCCTCCCCAAACCTTCTCCAGCTAACAAATGAGCTGCCTTCTGTCATCATTTTTTTTTTACTTTCTCTTTGACCTATGAGTTATTTTTATATGCGTTATTATGTAATGTAATGTCACTCTCTATTCCTAATAGTAGTCCTTATTCTGCAGTCTGCTTTTTTTCTGAATAATAATATAGGCCCTTTAGTTTACTTTTAAATAGTGTTTGCATGGTATATCTTTTTCCAACCTTTTACTTTTATTTTGTCTATCTCTTTATATTTACAGTAGATTTCTTCTAGGCAGCATGTAGTGGGGTCTTTCTTTTTAAATCTTATCTCCTAATCTCTCCCTTTAAGGGAGGGATTTACATCTAGTTTAATTATTGATGTTATGGGATTTCAATCTGCCATCTTGCTATTTGTTTTTTATTTGTCCCATCTGGTTATTTTTCTCTTTCTCGGCATTCTTTTGCACTAATTGATTATTTTCAATGATTCCAATTGATCTCTCCTATTGACTTATTAGTTATGTTTCTTCTTAAAATTTGTATTAGTTGCTATAGAGTTTACAGTGTTTACCCCCCCTTTTTTTTTCCCCGAGATGGAGTCTTGCTCTGTTACCCAGGCTGGAGTGCAGTCGTGCCATCCTGGGTCACTGCAACCTCCACCTCCTGGGTTCAAGCAATTCTCCTGCCTCAGCCTCCCAAGTAGCTGGGATTGCAGGTGCGCACCACCACACGCAGCTAATTTTTGTATTTTTAGCAGAGACGGGGTTTCACCATGTTAGCCAGGCCTGTCTCAAACTTCTGACCTTGTGATCTGCCTGCCTCGACCTCCCAAAGTGCTGGGATTACAGGCGTGAGCTACTGCGCCTGGCCTCTGAAGAACTTCTTTTAACATTTCTTATTGCACAGGCCTTCTGGAAGTCAATTTACTCAGTTTTGTTTGTCTGAAAAAGTCTTCAGTTTTCCTTCATTTTTGTAGACATTTCACCTGATATATAATTCTGGGTTGACCATTTTTTTCTCCCAGTTGGTACTTGAAAGAATTCACTTGGCTGGTGCAGTGGCTCACAATTGTAATCTCAACACTTTGGAGACCAAGGTGGTAGGATTGCTTGAAGCCAAGAGTTTGAGACTAGCCTGGGCAACAAAGCGAGACCCTGTCTCTACAAAAAAAAAAAAACAAAAAACAAAAAACAGATTATAAAACAAAGAATTCACTCAATTATCTTCCTTGTTTCTCTGTGTGATGTGTCTACGTGTTTTATTATTATTTTTCTTTTTATCTTTTTTTTTTTTTTGTATTTATGCTGCTTGGGTTTAATCTGACTTTCTTGGATTTGTGGTTTGATGTCTTTCATTATTTTTGAACATTCAAGCCATTTCCCTCCCCGCCCAGCTATGTCTTCTGCCTCATTCCCTCTTTTCTCCTTCCAGTACTTCAATTATATCTATTTGGAGTAGATGAAGTTGTTCCCATAGTTCTTGGGAGTTTGGTGGTTGTTTTCCTCTCTCTTTCTTTTCCTCTTTGCATTTTAGTTTGGATTTCTGTTGTCCCATCTTCACGTTTTCTGATTCTTCTGCTGTGTTTAGTTTTCTAGAAAGCCTGATGAAGGAATTCATCTCTGATACCATGTTTTTTCTTTGTAATGTTTTCATTTGAGTCTTTCTCATAGTTTTCATCTGTTTGCTGAAACTTTACATCTATTTATGCATGTTTTACACATTTTCCACTAGCTTTTTTTTTTTCTTTCTTTTTTTTTGAGATGGAGTTTTGCTCTTGTTGCCCAGGCTGGAGTGCCATGGTGCGATCTTGGCTCACTACAGCCTCCACCTCCTGGGTTCAAGCAATTCTCCTGCCTCAACCTCCTAAGTAGCTGGGATTACAGGCACGCGCCACCTCCTCACCCAGCTAATTTTGTATTTTTAGTAGAGATGGGTTTCACCATGTTGGCCAGGCTGGTCTCAAACTCCTGGGATTATAGGTGTGAGCCACCTATGCCCGGCCCTCCACTAGCTTTTTTTAACCTATTATTCATAGCTATTTAAAACTTATCTGAAGTTTCCATTATTTGACTCATCTCTGAGTGTGGTTCTGTTTATATATCTATTGATAAAGGACTGGTAGTGAGTAAAATAGGAATGACCTTTGATCACAGGGGAATAGGAGAAGGTAGAATCTGCAAGGGCCAGTAATCTATCTTGAGCCTCCGACATGGCTGGTGAGGCGTCTATTTATAAAACCCTCCTAGTGTCTATTCTGCCATCTTTCAGAATTTTTTTTTTTAAATAGTGTGAGATTGTGGTTTAAATTACTCTTTTCTAAATTGCCACCTATTTATTACAGTACTGCTTATTGCATAGGTGTTTCCCACCCACCAATTTTATAGTGTCTGCATGACCTAGGGTCTTATCTTTATACTATGGTGGCATCATACTGTATGTGTTCTGGAGTAAGACTGACCCACGTTTAGATCCTGGCTCTCCACTTCCCAGCTAACTGACTTTGGATGTCCTGTTTATCCTGTCTGCACTTGTGTTTCTTCATTCGTAAAGTAGGGTGGTAATCCTAGCTATCATAGGATTGTCAGGACAATTCCATGCAAAGGGTTAACACTTTTTAAAAAGGTACTGCATTATTATATTGTTGTCAGGTGATCTTGATGAAAAATTGCTGTATAATGTGATATGTTTTTCTACAAGTGAAAGCAATAAACATAACCAAAGAAAAGCTACATTTGGCATGGAAATGAGTTGTATCAAGAAAAACCTCATAGAACTAGGTTGTTACCATAGTTTTTTTTTTCTGAGCTCTTGCAAGCATAGCTATGACATTGTCGGAGGGTGTATGTTTTTCCATTAGCTCAGTGGAATTTAATTCATGGAGGTGAGTGGAGTGTTGTATGAGCCTGCACAATATAAGACTAAAAAAATTCCCTGAACTCTCCCAGGTTCTTAGATCCAGACTTCCTTGCCTCTCAGCTGCCAGCTGCTTTCAGTCTACAGCCTTTGTTCCTCCTGTCCTGACTTCATCTTCATACCTGCTTTCATTCTTGCTTCTGGTCACAGTCATAGGTCTTCCTTGGCTTGTTCTGCTCTTAAAGACATTGAGTTCCTTTTCTGGGTTTGTTTTCTTTTTCACGCTATCAGCAAGTGCCCTTGCATAACGTCCAAAATCATAGGGGACAGAAGTAGCAGCTGGCCACAGGGACACTGAGAAGGTAGAATGGGAGGCTCGGGGAAAGATGGGGAGGCCTCTGGCCTGTGCCCACTTGCCTTCTGGTTCTCAGTTCTTCAGCAAAAGCTTTGGAAGAACAGGGGAGACATGCACTGCCTGTAATCCTAAAATGAATGTTTTTTTTCTTTTTCAGTCCTAACTTAAACTGGATTGTTTTTCAACTCTGATCTGTCCCCTGGTTGGCATCTCTCACCTTCCAATACCAATAAGAAACAATTTTCAAGAAAGATTTCCACCTGTTCATAGCAAACATAATTGGGAGGAAGATTAGAAGCAGTGGGGGTCGGTGGCTGTGCTAGGATGAAAATTGTGATATTTTATGCATAGTGTTGTCCCCAAGCAAAGAGAAATGAGCCAGAAGACAAATGAGAATGTAGAAAGGTATACCCAATTCCTTCAAAAGCCCCAGAAACCCATTCAGCCTTACATCTGCTCGACTCTGAATGATTTTCAAGAAGAGAGAGACTTTTTGGCAAACAACATCTTCCCTCAGCTTAATGAACTCTGCAATTCCTGGGGCACATATTTCAAAGCCGTGGACCTGAGTTGGTCAGCATTAAAGGCCCCGAAATCCTTACCCACCCACCTGTTTAGACAGTATTCTTGTCTTCGCTCCCAACGTCTGAAGCTCTGCCTTGACTATGTGAACAGCTGCTTTCCCTTTTTCATCTGCATGCTGGGTCAGACGTATGGAGACTTCCTCCCTGACTACTCACATTTCATGACCTCCAAAGTGACTCGCTTGTCAAGCTTATCCAAAGTAGAATAGAATCTCTATGTTGCTGCCAAAAACGGTTATCCTTGGGTTCTGGAGAACCCCAGCTGCAGTCTGACGGAGTTTGAGATAATCCAAGCAGCATTTCTGAATGAATCTCAATTTCAGTATTTTTACTTTAGGACTGGAACCACACTGCTGAAGGCTTTAGATGATGAGAAAAAGGGAGAGAGGCTGCCCTCAAGTTCTTCAACCAACGAAGAGGAAACATTGAGGATTGGAAAGCTTAAGGCCAAGATTATTAGTAAAGGGCTCCCTGTGAGATTTTATAGTGATCTCCACGAGTTGGGTGAGCTGGTTTTTAAGGACTGGTCAGTTGTGATAGAAAAACTTCATCCAGCCACTTTAATGATTGAAAATATAGGTTAGTAAATATAGAGATAACTAAGTCCATTATCAACATAAAGGTAATGTTTTTATAGGTCTTCCTTGTGAAAGGAATTTTTAAATGATTGCAAATGTTCCTTAAGCATTTAAAAATTATTATTGTGTTCTTGTGACATGTATTTTTCCACTTTGAAGATTTTTGCAACTGAAAATAAGAGCAAGTAATGAGTCAGTCATGGAAGATTGTTTAGGGGGTTAAGGAGCTCAGAGAAGACCCAAAATATCTGGCCGTTAAGTGAGTCTAGAGCAGTGGTTCTCAACCAGGGCCGATTTTGCTCCTTCAAGGGACATTTGGCCAAGTCTGAAAACATTTATGATTGTCATGATTTGGGGAGAGCTACTGGCATCAGCGATACTGACAAGCATCCTACAGTGCACAGGACAACCCCCATAATAAATAATTACCCAAAATTCAGAAATACTGAGCCAAGAGGAAGAGAATCAACTTTTATTAATTTTCTAGTGCTTTGGTTATGCTATTACATTTAATCTTCAAGGTTTAACCCTGCTAGGTAGGTATTATAATTCCGATTCTGTAAATGAGCAAATGAAAGCTGCTGTGTAGCAGTGAAATGACTTACCAATGTCACATAACTAGTGAGGGACAAATTCAGGATTTGAACTCAGGTCTCTCTGACTCTAAAATCTATGCCTGCTCTTTTTCACCTTTTTTTTTAAAAGTATGATTCATGGATTGGCAGCCTCAGCATCACCTAGTAGCTTGTTAGAAAGGTAGAATCTTGAGCTCCATTCCAGGTCAACTGAATTAAAATTTGCAGTTTAACAAGATGACTAGGGGCTTTACATGTATGTTAAAGTTTGAGAAGCATTGCCTGACATCATATTGCCTCTAAATGAAATGATTACCATTATTTTTGGAAATAATGTCCTGTGGACATGTACCAGATTAAAAAGGGAAGAGTCTGTCACCTAGACAGACTTCAGGAGGGATCTGTGATGATAATATGAAAGATAGACTATATGAAAATTATGTAAAATTGTATGAAAATATAATGTTTATATGCCTATGTGTGTCCTGGGGGTAGGAGGATGGCCTGTGTCTTTGATCAGATTCTCAAAAGGCTTAATGACCCCAAAAGATTATAAATTACTGATGAAAGGGCCCAATTAACATGGGGATGGAAAATGGTGGCAGGTGGTACATTCTCAAATGCTTTCAGGGACCAGGCACACAATAGTCCTTGTAATGTGATAGGGAGCAGATGGATCTGTACTGAACAGGAGAGTCATTTGAATTCAGTGTGGGTGGTGGTGGTGAAGACAAACCTCTGCAGGCTAGACAAAACTCTGCCTAGAAGCCAAATCATCTGGACCCTGGAAAAAGAACATTGTATCAGTTCCAACTCTTTTGGTTGCAGGTGACTCAAACTGATTTTAACGAAAAGGGAATTTATTAGCTTATATAACTAAAAAGGCCAGGATTAAGTCTGACTCAGCTCAGGCTTCATTCAGTTGCTCAAATGATGTTACCAGACCCTTGTCTCTGACTACTTCTCAGCCTGGCCCTGCTGTCCTGATGTTAGCTCAGCTCCTTAGCTTCTCTATCGTGAAGGAAGAGGAAGATGGGCCATAGCAGCTCCAGGTTCAAGTCCAGCAGAAATGGCTCAAAGTCCTAGCATTCCTAGCATTGAGTCTTTCTGGCTCTGATTAGCCTGACCTGGGCCATATGCTTGCATTTGATTCAATCACTGGGTGTCAAGGGAATGTGATGCTCTGATTGGCTAATTCCGGGTCACATGCCACTTCTGGAGCTGCAAGTGGAGTTAGACTCCTTGGAATAATATGAACTGAGAGTTGGGATGGGTGGCTCCACAATGATAATCCAGGGCTGTTACTGAAACTAGGGTAGGGTGGTTGGATGTTGAGCAGCTAAAAAGAACCCACATATTTATGACAGGCTTGGGGTTTTAGAATCTGACAGACAGGTCGTTGGATCTTGTATTTTTCAGCTCCTAGTTATGTGACCTTGAGTGCATTACTTAGTGTTGGTAAACCGTTGTTTTTTCTTCCGTAAAATTGGTTAACATTAACCACTTTGAGAGTAATTATGTAAACCACCAAAAACAACACCAGACACATATCAGGCACAGAGTTAATAACTAGTGAGAATGAATAAAAACAAATGGGTTCGATAAGAATATATACATTTGGTTAAAGTCAGAAATGTGGTTAATATTAATATTCTTTTACTAATCTTAACCTGAACTGCATCTATTGATTAATATTCACTAATGTGTTCAAGAATATAGCCTTTCTGTGTTTTGGGGTTAAGGTCATATTATTTCTCCATAGTATTCTCCTTAGCCTTTGATTTTGGATATTACTGAAAGGTTAGCTTGTTTTAGACTTTATTCTTGAATGTATATATGTGGTCTAAATGTCTGAATTAGAAGGCATGGAATGGATGGATTATTTAAAAAATAATCCTTCCTTGCTTTAGACGGAAGCCTTAAATTCTTTCTCTTTTGGATCTTCAATGCTCTTTAATCACCTAGGTAGCTCCAAAATCTCATAGTCCACAGTTAGGGTAGTGATAGGCCATTTGGGCAGCTGGTAGTTATTGTAAGACAATGTAGAACTATCAGTTTACACTCTTGACCCATAGAAGTAATTCTGAGGTCCTTGAAGATCCCTGAGACTATTGGATGAGGTTCAGGGTTCGTGCAAGAGGACTGTTAGACTGTGAGGTCATCCAGATTCTGTCTAAGATCTTGAAACTTGAAGCTGACCTTGGCCAGCTTGTGGATCCTCCAGGTCTATTCTGGTCCTGTCTGAGCCCTGGGGCAGCCCTGTTAACTATGAAGGTACAATGTGAGTATTTTGGGAACTTACCAGGCTAAACTATCTGGTGTTCCTTTTCCTGCATGTGTTGATAACAGCCTTTACTCCTAAACAAACAAACATAGGGAATATGGGTGTCTCCAGAGACAGGAGGGCATTTTGGGAGCCCAGAACACCCTGACTTTTATTAGGCAATGAATTTAGAATTGCAGTAAATTAAAACTGGAAGAAACTTTAGAAATTATCCATTGTCTGGCCCCTCCCCCTTATTTTATCAGAGAGTTTAAAAAACTTGCCCAATGGCAGAGCTGCAGCTGTACCCATGGTTGTTATCCTTATTAGGGCATTTGTCCTAAAAATATACCCCACTTGCTCAACCTCTGTCATAGATAGACACACATACATACCTCACAAGACTGGATTAGATAACTTCCTACTTCACTAACAGTTTGAAAAAATGACCTGCATTATATAGCAAACCTAATTTTTTTGCCCTTGTCATTCTGAGGTCATGAAATAACTTGGAATCGTAAGTAGGATTCTATGTACAAATAGCAGAAGAAAGGTTCAATTGTTTTCCTGTAGTTTTCTTTCATTAGTATATTGAATGGGCTGTGAAATCTGGAATATTTCACAAATAGAAGGTGATATAGATACAGAGAGATACCTTCCTGGGCATTTGTAATAACATGTAGAATCGAAAATGTGAAACTACTAATCTAAGTTATTAAAACTTATCTTTTTCACTATCAAGACTACAAGCACAGTTTTGAACGTTTCTATCACGAAGAGTTTACTGAGAAGTGCAAGCAAATGTGTGTTATTTCCAAGGAGTCAGATAGGACCTTTGAAATCTTGGAAAAATTTGCCTTAAAGGATGTGGAACTTGATTTTAACAATGTGGCAGCAGATTCCAGTTTAGATTCTGTCCCCAGGTAAGATGTCAAGAAATTCTAAGCTCAGGCAGAACAGCCTGACTTTGGTAAACGCAATCCCCCAAACTTGGAATGCCTTTTCCAACTTTCCCCATTCTATGCTCATCCCTTCAAGCAAGAGAGACCCCCTAAAAGCCAACCCGGGGTTAGAATTTTCTTATCAGATATCACTCTGCACTTGCAAAATTTTTCTGATGTTTCATGTAGTTTCCTCCAGTGTCCTCAAGAAGATTAGACACTTCCAGAGTGCAGGGAACCACCTTCTTTTTTCTCCCATACATCAAAGGTGGTCTAAGTAATTTTTGAGAATGATGGAGTGACTTTAAAGAGAAGAAATTAGGCCAGGTGTGGTGGCTCACACCTGTAATCCCAGCACTTTGGGAGGCGGAGGCAGGTGGATCACGAGGTCAGGAGATTGAGACCATCCTGGCTAACACGGTGAAACCCCGTCTCTACTAAAAATACACACAAAAAATTAGCTGGACGTGGTGGCGGGCGCCTGTAGTCCCAGCTACTTGGGAGGCTGAGGTGAGAGAATGGTGTGAACCCAGGAGGCGGAGCTTGCAGTGAGCCGAGATCATGCCACTGCACTCCAGCCTGGGTGACAGAGCGAGACTCCGTCTCAAAAAAAAAAAAAAATTAGATTAGGAAATATGAATAACGCATCTGCATAATATTATATAATTTACAAAGAGCTTCCACATGTATCATCAGCTCATTATTAATTACATTCAGATATTCAGCTAGCACTTATGAAAATGATATGGACCATATTATTTCTGTTTGTTTGTAAAGAATCAGGTTATCTTGAGCTGGGCACGGTGGTGTATGCCTGTAATCCCAGCTAATCAGGTGAGGCGGGAGGATCCCTTGTGCCCAAGAGTTTGAGCCCAGCCTGGGTAACATAGTGGGACTCCATCTCTAAAGAAAAAAACAGGTTATCTTACTCAACATATGCACTCCTTCATTGTTTTATCCAGTATACTCTACAATAAAACCTCCATATCTTTCTCACCCTGGGTGGTGAAATACTGTGTTCACCACCCACAGGCATTAGGAAGCTGAGGCCAGCAGTGAGAGAGCTGGGGTTACCCATGGTATCCCTCCCAGTCTCATCCTTGGAAGTGGGGAGGTTCTTAGGATAGCTTTATTTTTTCCATTCTCATTTTCCAGCTCTTAAACCTTGCATCTCATGTGTCCTGTGAAAGATTTGTGCTTTGAAATAAAACTGCAGTGCTGGGATGGCTAAGGGCTGTTTTTCACCGTTGCTGTCCCAGGTTCAGAACCTACTGGTTTAGTTCACTCAGGGACAGGGCTACCAACATTCTTGTGGTTCTGGGAACCCATGCCAAGAGGAAGACAATTTATTCAGTTAATACAGCATGGTGCTCAGTCAATATTTTCAGACTACAGGAGAAACATATAGGTCATGTGTTAAGAATATTAGATTTAAGTAGACAAATTCATAGAGACAGAAAGTTGTTTAGTGCCTATTGGGGGAAGAGGGTGGTGAAAGAAATGGAGAATGATTCTTAGTGGGTACAGTTTCTTTTTGGGGGTGCTGAAAAATGTTCTGGAATTAGATAGCAGTGATGCTTGTACAACCTTGTGAATATATTGAAAACCATGGAAGGGTAGACTTTAAAATGGTGAATTTTTTAGTATGTGAATTATTTCTCACTTAGGTTATAATTTTAAGTGTTTCAGAGTGGATGAGAAATGTAATAAATTTTATTGCAATTGAACAAGTCAAATTGTTGTGCTCAGTAAAAATATAACAAATAAGCCCTTTTATATTAGATACATGAAAACATTCAGGGCCTTGTTTGCTTTGCCATTTGGAAACAACGCTCTCTACCTTAAGTTCCTGAATAGTGTGTGTAGGTCAATAGAAAAGGAAAGTTCTTTTCAGGTTTCAAAGCATTGTCTTAATAACCAACTATATAGATCAATAGGATCCTTTTTTTTCTCATTTCGAAAGGAACCACAGATTACTTTGCAAAATGAAATGTTCTTTTTGTTCTTGAGAAGAAATTTAAGACCCTACCCCTGATTATGTGGATGTCTCTTATTGCAGCTTTCCTTCATTTATTTTACCTGCTAGATACAAGAACTGTTCTAGAGATGGGATATGGCAGTGAACAGAAGAAACAAATCTCTGCCTCTACAGAGCTTGCATTGTGGAGACAGGCATGATAACTATGTGAAATATGTAGTATTCGTGAGATGCCTTCAAGTGCTGTGGAGGAAAAGGAAACACTGGAAGGAATTAGGCCATCTGGTAGGGTGAGGGAAGCCCTCACTGAGACGGTGACATTGGGGTAACTACCAGAGATAGGTGAGGGAGCAAGCTATGTACATATGGATTGGAAGAGCATTCCAGACAGAGGTCATAGCAAATGTGGAGGCCTGGAGGCTGGAGAAATAGCAAAGAGGCCAGGCGGCTAGAAGAAAGTCAGCTGTAGGGTTGGTAGTAGGGGATGAGGTTGGAGATGCAATGGACAGTGGGGAGGATGTGGATCTTGTTTGGTCTTACAGGTCTTTGCAAGGACTTGGCTTTTACTGTACTACTTTTGAGCAGAGCAATAACCTGCTTACATGACTCCTTTTTTTGCGGGGAAGGGGGACAGGGTCTTGCTCTGTCTCTGAGTCCAGAGTGCAGTGGCACGATCCTAGCTCACTGCAGCCTCAAACTCCTGGGCTCAAGGGACCGTCCCACCTCAGACTCCCCAGCAGCTGGAACTACAGGTGCATGCCACCATGCCTGGCTAAATTTAAAAACAATATTTTTTTTGAGACAAAAGTTATGTTGCCCAGTCTGCTGTCAGACTCCTGGGATCAAGCAATCCTTCTGTCTTGGCCTCCCAAAGTGCTGGGATGACAGGCATGAGCTACCATGCCTGGCCTCTATGACATATTTTGATGGACTCACTCACACTGCTTGGTTGAGACTGAAAGAGAGCAAAAGTGGAAGTAGGGCACAAAATCAAACCTGACCATTCAGATTTGATGGTGAAATCATTTCAGCAATAAGGCATTGATTCCAAACTCATACTAATGGAGATGGAATTATTATTTTATTATTATTATCATTATTATTATTATTTGAGATGGAGTCTCGCTCTGTTGCCCAGGCTGGAGTGCAGTGGTGCAATCTTGGCTCACTGACAGCTCTGCCTCCCGGGTTTGTGCCATTCTCCTGCCTCAGCCTCCCGAGTAGCTGGGACTACAGGCGCCTGCCACCACGCCCAGCTAATTTTGTTTTTGTATTTTTAGTAGAGACGGGGTTTCACCAGGATGGTCTTGATCTCCTGACCTCGTGATCCACCCGCCTCAGCCTCCCAAAGCGCTGGGCTTACAGGCAGGAGCCACTATGCCCAGCCATGGAGATGGAATTCTTATGAAGCAACTTCTAATGACACTGTTTTAGGTTTTCTTTTTTAACGAATTTTCAGGCTGATTTTCTTCTTTGCTGAAACTGAATGTCAGGTTTACTTATTTCATTCACTCACTGAACAAGTTATGGTCAGGTGTTGTGCAAGTCACTAAATATTCAATGGTGAATAAGGTGAGCCTGGAAACTATCCTCCTCATGGAACTTAACATCAGTGAAAAGTCACTAGACACGTATTTATTGAATGATAACTGTGTAAGGTACAAGGCCAGAGTGAATTTCATGGACCTGAGAATACTTTGCATATTCAGAAGCTTTTCAGTGAAAAAGAAAGCCACAGAACAAGTTGTGTTATGCTCCTGGCAGTTCAAAGAAATCATATTCATGCAGTATTACCAGCTAACCCAGTAGAAGACTCTCAGTGAGTCACTAACAATGATAATAATTTAGTTGATTTCTAATTTGGTGGTCATCAGGATTGAAGGGAATTCTTGGCATATGAGTGCTTCCCTCCCCTCCTCTCCCCTCCCCTCCACTCCCTACTCTTCACCTCCTCTCCCCTGCCCTCCCCTCCCCTCCTCTTCCCCCTCCCCTCCTTTTCCCCTCCCTCCCCTTGCCCCTCCCCTCCCCCTCCCCTCCATCTGCTCCTCTCCCCCTTCCCCTCCCCTCTGTCTCCTTCCCTCTGTCTCCTCCCCTCCCCCTCCCCCTTCCTTCCTTCCTTCCTTCTTCTTTCCCTCCCTCCTTCCCTCCCTCCCTCCCTCTCTCTCTCTCTCTTTCTTTCTCTCTCCCTTTCTTTCCTTTCTTTCTTCTTCCTTCTTCCCTCCCTCCCTCCCTTCTTGTCTTCCTTCCTTCCTCCCTTCCAACAGAGTCTTGCTCTGTTGTCCAGGCTGGAGTACAGTGGCATGATCTTGGCTCACTGCAACCTCCATCTCCCGATTCAAGCAATTCTCCTGCCTCTGCCTCCCAAGTAGCTGGGATTACAGGCACACACCACCACACCCAGCTAATTTTTGTATTTTTAGTAGAGACGGGGTTTTACCATGTTGGCCAGGGTGGTCTCAAACTCCTGACTTCAACTGATCTGCCCACC
This sequence comes from Homo sapiens, assembly GCF_000001405.40. Classification (NCBI taxonomy): domain Eukaryota; kingdom Metazoa; phylum Chordata; class Mammalia; order Primates; family Hominidae; genus Homo; species Homo sapiens. The sequence goes on along the minus strand of NC_000012.12, from coordinate 103,906,833 downwards.
TAGGCCTCCCAAAGTGCCAGGATGACAGGCATGAGCCACTGCGCCTGGCAGTGCTTCAATTTCTGATGCTCTTCCAAGATGATGTTACACGTAGGACCAGCCTGGCATTGGTGGTGGTAACCCAAGGGAGGAGGAGCAAGCCAGATGCAAGGGCAGTGGACTAATGTGGTCGTTTCCCTCCCCAGGCCTTGGGACCTTTATGTAACCCTGGTTCTTACTGGACAGACCTAGGATTTGTCTAGCTGGAAGGGCCTTCCAAAGTTGCTGTCTTTACTCTTCTAGTTTTACACAGGACAAAGCTAAAGCCCAGAGGGTGAATGACTTCTTTGAAGCTGGCTGAGGCCAAAATTGAAACTAGAACTTTATCTTTTAGAAGGAAAATGTATGCAGGAAAATTTTCTTTTCCTTCCTTCCTTCCTCTCTCCCTTCTTCCCTTCCTTGGTAAATATTCTTTACATTTTATTACCCTTTTATTTTTCAGAATAAATCCTACTCCAACTTACAAGTCTATTTTGCTCTTGTCTAGAGAACACGGTTGTGGGAAGTCCACTCTGATTGCCAACTGGGTTAATTACTTCAAAAAGAAACATCCGAGCATGTTGTTGATTCCTCATTTTGTGGGCAGCACCTGTGAAAGCAGCTACATCATGTCTGTGATCCATTACTTCATCACAGAATTACAGTACAGAAACTACGGTAAGAGAGTCAGACTTACCATTCATTCAGGACATGTCAGGGCAGTTAGAAATGGGTGGCTCTCTCTTCTGCTCATGTGGCTGTTGTTCCTTTGCTCTGATCTAAACCCTGTATTGCCTCCCACATCTACCCACCACTTCCCTCACAGAGCTAGGCTTCCTTCCTCCTGCCTGTCTCCTTCCTTCCTGCTTGCCTTCCTTCCTTCCTCCTTCCTTCCTTCCTCCTTCCTTCCTTCCTCCCTTCCTTCCTGCTTGCCTGCCTTCCTTCCTTCCCTCCTTTCTTCCTTCCTTCCTCCCTTCCTTCCCTTCCTCCTTCCTTCCTTCTTTCTTTCCTCCCCTCGTTTCTTCCCTCCTTCCTTCTTTCCTTCCTTCCCTCCTTTCTTCCTTCCTTCCTCCCTTCCTTCCCTCCCTCCCTCCTTCCTTCCTTCTTTCCTTCCTCCCCTCCTTCCTTCCTTTCTTCTCCCTCCCTCCCTCCTTCCCTCCCTCCCTCCCTCCTTCCCTCCCTCCCCTCCTTCCTTCCTTTCTTCTCCCTCCCTCCTTCCTTCTTTCCTTCTTCCCCTCCTTCCTTCCTTTCTTCTCCCTCCCTCCTTCCTTCCCTCCCTCCTTCCCTCCCTCCCTCCTTCCCTCCCTCCCTCCTTCCCTCCCTCCCTCCTTCCCTCCCTCCCTCCTTCCTTCTTTCCTTCCTCCCCTCCTTCCTTCCTTTCTTCTCCCTCCCTCCTTCCTTCCCTCCCTCCTTCCCTCCCTCCCTCCTTCCCTCCCTCCCTCCTTCCCTCCCTCCCTCCTTCCTTCCCTCCCTCCTTCCTTCCTTCCCTCCCTCTGTCCCTTTCTTCTTCCCTCTCTCCTTCCCTTCCTTCTCCCCTTCCTCCCTTCCTCCCTCTCCCTCCCCCCCTTCTCCTCCATCCCCCTCCTCCTCTCTCTTTCTTTTTTATTTCTTTCACCAAACATTACTTGAGTACCTTTCTGTGCCAGGGCACTATTCTAGGCAGTGGAGATACAATAGTGAACAAAATGGACACCAGTTTTTACCTCATGGAGTTTTCATGTTATTAGGGGAGGGAGGAGGACAAAGAATTAACTGTCACTAAATAAGAGACTTTTTGATAATGGTGAGTTCTATGAAGAAACCCAAAGCAGAGAAAGAGGTAGGCAGGATGTGTAGGAACTCTTAGGATTTTAAATAGAGTATTCTGGGGAATCTCATTGAGGAAGGGACAATTAAATACATCACTGAAAGAGAGGAGGGAGGGAACCAGGCGGGTGTCTCGGGAACAGCACTGTTGGAGGAAGCAAGTGCCAGGCCCTGGGTGGGACATGCCTCTCTACTACTGCTGCCCTACTCAATTCAATAACCATGTATTGAGCAGGTTCATTCTCTCATTTACTCACTCATGCATTACAGAATATTTATCGGTTGCCTGTTCTGTGCTAGACACTCTTCCCAGTTCTGGGAATAGAAGAGTAAGTCAGGCAAATAAGGTCATAGCCCCCATAGATGTTATGTCCTAGTTGACAACAGTAGATAACAAATAAATAGGAAACATGTCAAATAATTATTAGTGCCATGCAGTGTGATGTGATAAGGTGCCAGGGTGGCTATTTGAGCAGTCAGGGACTATGTCTCTGTCTTAGGGCAACTCTAGCTGCCATATCAACTGAATCTCATTTCAGTGGCTTCTCAAAGGGAAGCTTATTTCTTACTCATATAAACAGTATAATATGGGGTCCCTAGTTAGGTAACAAGTCACTTTCCTCCATGTGGTGACTTGGAGACACAGGCTTTCTTTCCATATTAAGGCTATGTCATCCCCTGGGGCCTCAGAGCCCTCCACTTGTGTTAGGGGGAGGGGAAAGAGTGGAAAAACACATCTGTTCCTCAGAAGTCTCAGACTGGAAGGGATTCATAGCCACCTCCACACCCATTCTTTTGACAAGCACTTGGCCACACTGGGCCCACATGGCCACACTGGGAACTGAGCAGGGATAGAACAGTAACCCCACCCTGTGGAAGGGGGAGCATGGGCTTTTGTGGAACAGGTAGCCATCCTCTCTACTACTTTCTTTGTGGAGATCTCATGGACACGAAGGTAGGCAGCCATGTGGAAACCAGGAGAAAGAACATTCCAGGCAAAGAAAACAGCTCAGGTCATACAGCTCCTCAGCTGGAAAGCAAGTTGAATGACTTAGAGAGGGAAAGAGAACCGGTGTGGCTGGGCGGCGATGGACTCCAGGTGGGGCCACTCTGGGCTTTGCAGGCCATAACATTAGGTTTGGATTCTATTAAGTGCAGTGGGAGGCCAGTGGAGGGTTTTAAGCAGGGGAATGACATGATTCGATTAATATTTTTAAAAGACCAAAATCAATCTGGTGTGTGGAAAATGTGTGTAAGGAGACAAGCATGAGGCAGAGACAGGTGTTAGAGGCTACTGCAATAGTCCAAGCCAGAGATGACAGTGGCTCAGAGAGGACAATAGCAGTGGAGGTGGAGGGTTTTGGGTGGATTGAGGATTTGCTGATGAATTGAATGTGTGGTTTGGAGGAAAGGGAGGAATTGAGAACTCCTAGCTTTTGGCTTTAAGAAGCTACATGGGTGGCGAGGGCTGTTGACTGAGATGGGCCAGCGTTGGTGGGGCGGTGGAGGGGAAGCAGGTTTTGAGGGAAATGGAGTTCTGCTTTGGGCACGTGATATTTAAGTTGCCAGGTGTGGGCCAACGTGTAATCACAATCGTGTGGGACCTGTATTGTGCCTGACTGTGCTAGGAGCAGCTAGGGAGTCTGACCACTTGCGTTCAAACCTTGTCTCACTACCTATTAGCTGTGTGACCCTGGGTGAGTTATTTTAACCCTCTGTGGCTCAGTTTTCCTATTTGTAAAAAGTGGGTAATAATAATTATTTTTAAAATGTGCCTTACAGGTAGTTGACAAGATTAACTGAGATAAAGTATGAAAGACCAAGGCTCTTAGTAAGCATTGGCATAGAGTAAGCATTGATAAATCTTAGCTATTACTATTGTTAGGCGCCTGCTGTGTATTTCCATGTTTGTATGTGTCTGACTTTGCTTGCTTTTGGGAATTCATCTCTTGTCATGCAGGGACACGTACCCGTGTGTGCCTTTGGGCCCTAAGTGAGTATGTGGGTGCCCAGGGTGAATTTTGATGGGTGCATCTTATCTCTATAAAAGGGTACAGGGATTTGAGCTTCTTTCTGTGCATGTGGTGGGTGTCTGTGAGTAAACAGAGGGAAGAACACGTGTGGATGAGGTCTTTATGGTTGCATTTCTCAGGGCATATAAAATGGATAAAGTCAAAATCAGTAGAAGCAGGTGTGACTGTGTCTACACAGCAACTAATCCTATTCTGGCACATCCCAAAGGTGTTCAGTCTGGCCAGGCTGATGATGTAAACTCCGTGCTACACACTCAATTACGATTTTATTCCCAAAGTGAATTGTTATTTTAATGAACGTGTGTTTGGATGCAAAGAACTCCTAATAAAAACAGCTGCTGTCTTTCAAAAAAAACCAGATTTTTAAGCTGACAACAGTAGAATAAGTTCAGGAACAGCCTACGAATACTTGACACTTTCTAACCCTGAGAGAACACCCCTCCTCATTAACAAGAGGAAGGGCTGGTCCTGGACTTGGCCCACAATTCTGGCTCTGTCACTTATTAACTGTGTGATCTTGGGCAGTTTGCTTAAGCTCTCTGTTCCCCAATTTCTCATCTGTAAAATGAGAATGGGGTTCACAGTACTAACCTCATAAGGCTGTGTGAGAATTAAAACATAATACAAAATTTAAAAAAGCTGCGTTAAAAAAACCCAAAAAACATAATACAAAATACAAGTAAGGAATTTAAAGTAGTACATGGCACGCAGCTGCGATTATTGTTGTTGTTATTATTTATTATTGTTATTGTTATTATTCCTTTCTGAGCTAGAGAAAGAAGCAGGGTGTAGGGGCTGCTAGGGGAAACAAGACATTCTTGTTCATTAGCTGAGTAGGGAGAGGAAGGACTGCAAAAACAAGAGTTTGCAGCTGTCATCTCTGCAGCCCAGAAAGCCTGCAGGTGAGCGGAGAAGGCTGGCCCCAGAGTCATTTATTGTGGCTGCCTTTGCTGAGACCTGGTTTCACCTGGGTGAGGTGGATGTGGGCAGAGGAGGAAGAGCTGCTGCTGTGAACACAGCCAGCCTGAGAGGCCAGGTGCTCAGAGCAGATTCAGCCTCTTTGCAGAGAGCATTTTTCTGCACCCCACCTCAGCTGTCTGAAGCTGCAGATCCTGCGTGGGCTGTGAGCCAGGGACCCTTTCTATCTGGGGCACCTAATCACACCCAGTGACACTCATGTTTCTACTCTTCGGTCCTCAATCCCTGCTTGTCAGGATAAAGGGATCTTGTAGATGGGACCTGCCTGTAGCCAGCTCTACCGACTCCCACACCCTTTGCCTGCCTTGCAGGCAACTGGTGTCACAGAAGACATGCTTCACGGAAGGTCAGAGTAGTCACTGACTTTTTTCTTTCGTTTTTCTCTTTTGAGACAGGGTCTTCCTCTGTTATCCAGGCTAGAGTGCAGTGGTGTGATCACGGCTCACTACAGCCTTGACCTCCTGGGCTCAAGTGATCTTCCCACCTCAGCCCTCCTGGTAGCTGGAACCTCAGGAGTGTGCCACCATGCCTGGCTAATTTTTTAATTTTTTGTACAGACAGGGTCTTGAACTCCTGGGCTCAAGCAATCATCCAAACTCAGCTTCCCAAAGTGCTGTAATTACAGGCGTGTGCTACCATGCTCAGCATGGTCACTGATTTTCATATTTGCATGTTTCCTTACCATGTGACCACATGGAATCTGGGGGCAGGTTTGAATAAGTTCCATTTATTGAAGGCTTTCTATGTAGCGGCGCTAAGGGCTTTATCAGCATCTCATTTAATGCTCTTAATGGTCCACCCATAGAATTATCATCCCACATAGGAAGAATGGGGCTCAGAATGTCAGAGCCACACAGCTAAGCAAGGGCATAGCAGGGAGTGCAAACTCAGGTCTCTGTTGGGATCTAAGCCCCTAGTCCTCATCACTACACTGCCATCCTCCTTGAGCCAGCAAAGGAAAATTTCCCTCCTGTGGATGCTTTTTATCAGTCTCCTCTCCTAGCATCGGGAAAGTCTCTGCTCAAGTTGGTGATGTGGAATGGACAGAAATCCTTGGCAGAGCTTGCCAAGCTTTTCACCCTGGGCCCTGTTGACTTCCCAGCCTGATCTCTTTCCCTTTGCCCTACAGGTTTGATCTTGGAGCACTCCAGTCACTTCCATCCCTCCATGCCTTTGCCCATGCAGTTCTCTTCTCCTAAAATGCCCCTTCCCTTGTCTCAGGGCAGTGGAATCCTTCTCATCCTTTATGGCCCTATTCGAAGGTCACCCCCTCCATAAGAGGGACTGATGGGTACCTCTGTCCCTCAGCCCTAACTTTGACCACGTGGCACAGGACCCCCAGTCCCACTGCGTCTTAGTTTTCACAAGTGTCTCCCTCCAGACACTGTGAGCTTGCCTCCCTAGATCCCTCAGGTGAATTATAAATGGTCCTGTGATCTGTCTTATTGTTTGTCTCCCTGTGTAAGTTCTGTGAGTGCAGGGATCATATCTATTTTATTGGCCATTGTCATACCCAGTGCCTGACACAGACACAGAAGCTTCTCAATAAACCTATGTTGAATGATGAGAGATAACACTGCTAAAAAGTGGCTGTTTAAACACGTGAGCTATTACCATTTAAATGAGGTAATTGGCCATTGTCATTTAGTAGAGACAGATTGTTCTTGCCAAAATAAGGAGAAATGTTTAGAATCATTTTCCAATACTAGTAACACTGACTTTATTGTCAACATTATTTTCAGAAAAAATAATTATAGTCACCAAAAATGTGATTTTAAAACCACTCAACATATATATTTTCCTTCATATATAAAGATATATATCTATAAGCATCAGCCATGAGTATTTTTTTTTTTGCTTAGAATTAATTTTTGCTGATTATATTAGTGCTCTATGCTCTGTGACTGTCAGGCAGTATATACTTCCTGAGGTTCATTCACATTCACCTTGTCATTTACACTCTATGCCAACCGTGTGGAAGAGGCAGAGGATCCACACCTCTGTGGGCTCTGACAGGGGCTGCTTGTGAGCCATCTACACTAAGAAATGGGGGGCCGGGCGCGGTGGCTCACGCCTGTAATCCCAGCACTTTGGGAGGCCGAGGCGGGCGGATCACGAGGTCAGGAGATCGAGACCATCCCGGCTAAAACGGTGAAACCCCGTCTCTACTAAAAATACAAAAAATTAGCCGGGCGTAGTGGCGGGCGCCTGTAGTCCCAGCTACTTGGGAGGCTGAGGCAGGAGAATGGCGTGAACCCGGGAGGCGGAGCTTGCAGTGAGCCGAGATCCCGCCACTGCACTCCAGCCTGAGCGACAGAGCGAGACTCCGTCTCAAAAAAAAAAAAATAAAAAAAAAAAAAAAAAAAAAAAAGAAATGGGGGCCACACATGGCTTGAAAACAAATCATTAGAAAAAATAGTATTTTAAAAGCTCCTGATGATCTGTGTGTTCACATTCCCTTCACTTCTCTGGGCCTCAGTTTCCTCATCTACAAAATGAAGGGTCTGGACTAGCCTAGATGATTTCCAAGAACCCCTTCTGCTCTAAAATTCTGTCGTTTCAGTTCTGAAATCTCAACGATGCCCATAATTTTAAAGGTTTTTAAATAAAAACTCAAGGGATGAATCATCAGCTGAATTTCTTTCTCTTCCCTTTCTTGAAAATCATTTTTCATTGTTTGACATAAGCTCAATCTCTATCTTTTCTGACACCTTCACTTTCTTAATGTCCCACATTCATAAAAAAAGTTTCAAGTAATCGATTTTATGATCGCTTTGTGTTATAAAAATCTCTTTAAAAGTTAACACAACTCTACTATACTATAAAAAGATGAATATAGAGAAAGTAACTTATTATAAAACAATGTGTATTTGAACATGTAAATGCGCAGACTTGAATCAAAGACGTAGTGCCTCTGTATAGGAAATCACCATAAAAGCAATAAGTTTCAGTCTATAAATATAGGTTGATGTGGGTGTGTCATATTAAAGACTCAAATATTGGCCGGGCATGGTGGCTGACGTCTGTAATCCTAGCACTTTGGGAGGCCGAGGCAGGCAGGATCATCTGAGGTTGGGAGTTCGAGACCAGCTTGGCCAACATGGTGAAAATACGTCTCTACTAAAAATGCAAAAAATTAGCCAGGCTTGGTGGCGTGTGCCTGTAGTACCAGCTACTCGAGAGGCTGAGGCAGGAGAATCGCTTGAACCTGGGAGGCAGAGGTTGCAGTGAGCCAAGATCATGCCACTGTACTCCAGCCTGGGTGACAGAGTGAGACTCCATTTCAAAAAAAAAAAAAAAAAAAAAGAAAGAAAAAGGAAAAAAAAAGACCAAACATCATAGGCAATATTGCTATTGGGTGGTGATTTTCTGAAATGGTGACTAAATCTTGGTGTCATTTTAGACAAAACAATGTATAATCTTCCATCAATTTATGTGGTGTTACATTCTAGAAAATTCAGTGTGTTTTAAAACCATACAAAAAAATAGTTTGTGTTTATATGTAAAATGGAGTTGGTTTCTAGGTTAGGTCATTATCAATTTTTTTCTCCCCCTTACGTGATTGTCGAAATATCTGAACGTCAGGTAGACCTGGGGGCAAAGCTTCATTGGGTGTGGCTGTCCTGTGTTGTAGGATGTCTCAAAACCCTGGAACCTCTCCTGTTAAGAACTACTGCTCTAAGCAATGTCCTGTTTTTCAACTGTTCATGGTACCTTCCTATGTCCCAGCCTTTGGCTGTGCTGTCTTGATGATATGCCCTTCTCCTCGTCTCTGCCTATGTACCCTTAAAGGCTTATTTGAAGTGTCTTTCACACAGAGCTTTTCTTTATTGTGATGGTTCTTTATTGTGATGGTTCTACATCAAGCTTCAGCAGCCTCCAGACTCATATTCTGCCTTGAAATTTGGCTATTTGTATACAGAACCAATTTCCACTTCCTTTAGGTGGTTGACTTCATATATGAATCATTTTATCTCCTCTCGGCATCTAGCATGGAACCGTCACATAATAGGCAACTGATAAATATTTGCTAAACATAATTACTCTCAACGACTCTAACAAAATCTTAATGCATCTGAGAGACCTAATCCATTAAAGGTTCTACATGTGACTGTATTTTCCAGACCTCAATGTGCTTAAATTTCTGTGGAAAATATTGCTTGTGAAAAATAAAAGCAAGACGGAATTTGCAGTAAAATGTTCTTAGGGTATTAGGTAGTTGATGACAACTTGGGGTTGCTGCTAGGTCACTTTATCACAGTCTGAAAGTCAATCATCTCTAATGACTTCCTTTGCCTTTTGGGGGTTCATAGCTTAGTTCTTTCTAAGAATGTATACTTTCCAGAATCCAAAGTCTAGGGCCCAATAGTGTGGCTAGAGTTTAGGATTATTTCTGTTAAGTTGAAGATGGGCTAGGGCCAAGGAAACGAGACAGTGGGTGGGAGCTTCTATATTTGAGCATTACTGGAAGAGCCCAGGGTGGTGGCTGTGACCCTAAGCACGCACCCAATGTTAAGGAGTGTCAGAAACTTCACAGATCACAGGGCTTCTCTTCGTATCCAACTCTTTGTAACATGACCTGTTTTTGCATTCTGGAAGATGAGAGTAATGTTTTGGATCACACAAAAATTTTTTTATATCAAATCCTGAAAATGTATTGGAGACAATCTGGTGGTAAACATCGCTATTATCTCTTCTGGGCTGAATATTTTGAAGATGGTAATCACATGTATACATATGTGTGTTAGACGTACAGCTGTGAGTAGCACTCATTTTTCCCAACCTCTTCTGCTTCCCCAGCCCATAAACATGTTTTAGCAATGACGGAATCATTTCTACCTAATTTGAACAAATTTCTATGCTGTAGGTACTCAGCTTGAAACAGATATTCTCAACGAAGACTCAGATGGCTTGGTCTTCTCATTTCTTGTGGAAGTATTCATTGCTTCCATCAGTTTAAAGCCATGCATACTTGTACTAGATGGAATTGAAGAACTGATTGGCATTTATGGGATTTCAGGTCAGAAGGTAATGTCTTTTTAAAATAACCCCTATTTTATCACAACTTTATAAAAATAAAACAATTTAAAAAAAGAAATAAAAAGAATAAAAACTTCATTATTTAGGATGTATTATATATAACACCTTTCCATTGTATCACACATCTCTGGTTTTAGCCAACACTGCTTTTAGTTACTGCTTTATATTTTAATTAATTAAGAGACAGGGTCTTGCTGTGTTGCCCAAGCTGGAGTGCAGTGGGATGATCATAGCTCACTGTAACCTCCAACTCCTGGGCTCAAGCCATCCTCTTGCCTCAGCTTCCAGACTGCAGGTGCACACCACCATGCCTGGCTAATTTTTTCAACTTTTTGTAGAGATGAGGTTTTGCTATGTTGCCCAGTCTGATCCTGAACTCCTGGGCTCAAGCAAGCTTCCCAGCCTGCCTTCCAAAGTGCTGGGATTACAGGTGTGAGCCGCCGCACCCAGCCCTGCTCTATATTTTATTGAACAAATACTTCTATAATGTATTTACAATGGGCCAGGCACCATTTTAGGAACTTTAAGAACATTAATGCATTTGGCTGGGCATGGTGGGTCACGCCCGTAATCCCAGCACTTTGGGAGGCCGAGGAGGGCGGATCACCTGAGGTCAGGAGTTCAAGACCAGCCTGGCCAACATAGTGAAACCCCATCTCTACTAAAAATACAAAAATTAGCCGGGCTTGGTGGCAGGCGCCTGTAATCCCAGCTACTTGGGAGGCTGAGGCAGGAGAATTGCTTGAACCCGAGAGGCAGAGGTTGCAGTGAGCCAAGGTTGTACCATTGCACTCCAGTCTGGGCAACAGGAGTGAAACTCCATCTCCAAAAAAACAAAAACAAAAACAAAAAAGAATATTAATGCATTTAATTCGCACAACAACCATATGAGGAAGAGACTGTGCTCATCTTCCCCATTTACACAAGGCGAACTGAGCACAGAGATGGTAGGTGGCTTGTCTAAGGTCCTAAGATGGTTAAGTGGTGGACTCAGAATTCAGACATGGGCATTCTGGTTCCAGCCACTGGGGCCTTTCCCCATGCACATATCTGCCCCCTATTTTATACTTTGATCAGTCTTACTGTTTTTTGTGTTTTATAGTTTGGCCTACCTCATCTTCACTGGTTTTACACATACAAAATCACATTCATGAGTTGTCATCTTCAGTTTTTCTCCTGTTTGAAATAATATTGGATCAGTGGAACCTCTACTAATACTTGGCACTAGTTATTACTTTGGGAAGCAGCTTCTTTAAAACTTAAAACTCTATGTAATCAATCAGTTATGTGAATAAGATCTGTTTCTCATAGAAAATATGATAAAAAAGAAGAAAATAGGAAATTAAATACACTCATAGTCTCACCACTGGTAACTATTTTGCTGCTGTATACCCTTTTTCCTATGGATATCTATATCTATATATATATATATACATATACATATACATATTTATGTAAAGAAGTTACACACCACATTGTTTCCTAACCTGCTTTTTAATTTAATATATCATAATGCTGGGGTCGGTAGCTCATGCCTGTAATCCCAGCACTTTAGGAGGCCAAGGCAGGCAGATCACTTGAGGCCAGGATTTTGAAACTAGCCTGACCAACATGGTGAAACCCCATCTCTACTAAAAAAAAAAATACAAAAAATTAGCTAGGCATGGTGGTGCACAACTGTAATCTCAGCTACTTGGGAGGCTGAGACAGGAGAATTGCTTTAACTCAGGAGGTGGAGGTTGCAGTGAGCTGAGATGACACCACGGCACTCCAGCCTAGGTGACAGAGTGAGACTCCATCTCAAAAAAAAATTGTATATATACCATGAGCACTTACTATAGGCAAAGCACTATTAGCAAGGACAGACAGACATAATCCCTGCAAAGAAATGGAGCTTTCATTCTAGTGGGGAATGGCAGACATTAATGAAGTCATATCACTCAAATAAATATAAAATTGCAACTGTGACATGTGCTGCTACAGATTGGTATGTAGTATTGTGACAGCCTCTCATGAAGGGATGGCTTTCTAGAAGAATGGCCTGAGGCAGAGCTCTTTAGAAGGAGGAAGGATGGCCAGACAGTTACCTGAAGCAGTTTAGGGCAGCGATTAGGAGCCTGCCTCTGGTGCCAGACCCTTGGTTTGAATCCCAGCTCTGCCACTTAAGCTAGCAGAATGAATTAGATAAGGCATGTAGCTCCTCTATCCTTGAGTTTCTTTCTCTGCCTTTCTAGAGTGTTGTCATGAGGATAGAATGAGTTCATGTATTAAAATTATGCCCAGGATTTAATTTATAGAGGTATGGTCGGGCGACCACATGGAGAGCCCGGTACCACTGAAAGATGAAGTCATTACTTATGTTTCCTGAGAGAAGGGGACACGCTGTGCAGGGACCCAGGGAAAGGGTGGTCAGGAGGCAGAGGACAGGAGCAAGGGGAAACTGAAGCCAGAGCCTTTACTGGGGTTTCTATAGGCATGGCAAGGCAGGGCAGGGTAAACAGTTTAGGATTGGCTAATTTGAATTTTTTTTTTTGAGACAGCATCTTGCTCTGTAGTTAAGGCTGGAGTGCAGTGGCGCAATCATGGCAATCATAGCCTTTACCTCCCGGGTTCAGGCCATCCTCCCACCTCAGCCTCCTAAGTAGCTGGGACTGCAGGCTGTGGGTATGAGCCATCATGCCCAGCTAACTAAAAAAAAATGTTTTTGTGGAGATGAGTTCTCCGTATGTTGCCCAGGCTTAATTTGAATAATTCTGATGGGCTTTGGGCACAGAGGCTGCCTCTAGTTGTCTGGTATTTGGCCCTGGGTTGATTTAGGGCAGGGTTGTTGTGTGAGTTAGATCTGCACGCTAAAGGCAGATTCCAGGCAGGCTGTCCACCACCTCCAGTAGTTAGCTAGCCTTGGGAAGGGCTGGGTCTGTAAGGTCCTGAGGAATGTTAAATCATCCTAAGATGCAGAAATTAAAAACCATAATTAATACAGTTAGTACCTACAGACACATTCAACACAGTGCCTGGCTCAGAGTGAGTATGTGATGGTTGGTGTTATTAGGCAAAGAGGTATTGTGGGAAAGGCTATTAAAGGAATTGAGAAAAGATTGATCTTATTAAGTATTTATTTTGTTCCAAAATAAAATGATTTAACTCATGATAGTATTGCTGCACAAAGTGACAACTTCTCAGCATAAAATAACATCCTCTTTTTCAACTGAATGGTTCCAATTGCACTCTCCAGTTTCCTCTGGTTATTCCTGTAGGTCATTCTTCAGAATTACGTGATTTTATTAAATTACTTGCTCCTAGGAACCTCCTCTTTTTAGAGTTTGCATTTGCACAATCAAATTCATAACTGACACATGAGTCAAATACGGTTCTATTGAGTGTGACCTGATATTTTCTTAGCACCATAATGCCTACAATTCAAGTTACTATTAATAACCTTCAATCCAACCCTTATTCTCTACTTACTCCCCATATTGTACCTACTCTAAGTTGAAAAACCATCAACAAAGTAATTTTAAAGTCTTTAATGTTTTCAAATGTCTTTGATTCTCTCCATCAGGTGAAAGATTTTTCCTGGCTGCCACACTCACTCTCCCCTCATTGCAAATTTATCATGAGCACTGTCTCTTCCAGCCTGTCCTACAAGTCGTTGTGTGCCCGCCCGGATGTGAGGACAGTGGAACTCATTAGCACAGGAGATGAAGAAACAAAATTAAACATCTTTAGAAAGCATCTCTCCATTCCCATGATGGACCCCTTCGAACAGAGCACACAGGCGTTGAGGAAAAAACCAGACCTGAGTCCTTTAAAACTCACAATCCTAGCCAATGAATTGAAAGAATATAGAATCAACCACAATGAGTTTCAGTGTATGAAGGAGTACTTGGAGGCTGTCTCTGTTCAGGAGCTCTGGGAATTGGTTCTCAAACGCTGGATTGAAGACTACAGTTGGACGTTTCAACCCAAAAGGGCAAATTCAGACACTGTGGCTTCAGGAGAAGGTAGGCCTTGGCCACTGTTGACAGTTTAGTGGGAGTCCACAGGGAGAAAGATGAGTGGTAGATTCCTGCACAGGGAAGGGGGCTCTAGGGACAGGGTTGTCAGGGAAAACACAGGATGCCCAGTGAAATTTTTCTTTTTTTTGAGGCAGAGTCTCATCTGTCGCCCAGGGTGGAGTGCAGTGGCACGATCTTGGTTCTCTGCAATCTCCGCCTCCTGGGTTCAAGAGATTCTCCTGTCCCAGCCTCCTGAGTAGCTGGGATTACAGGCACCCGCCACCACATCCAGCTAAGTTTTTGTATTTTTAGTAGAGACAGAGTTTCACCATGTTAGCCAGTCTGGTCTCATACTCCTGACCTCGGGTGATCCACCCACCTCGCCCTCCCAAAGTGCTGGGATTACAGGCATGAGCCACCATGCCCAGCCTGCCCAATGAAATTTGAATTTCAGATAAGCAACAAATGATCTTTAGTGGAAATATGTCTGAGATATTGCATGGGACATACCTATGCTAACAATTATTTGAATTAGAGATAAATAATAATTATCAGTATAAGAATGTCCCAAATATTACACAGGACATACTCAACACTAAAAATTAATTTATTGTTTATCTGAAATTTATATTTTACTGAGCATCCTGTATTTTTATTTGCTAAATTTGGCTCCTCTAAAGGACTCTGTGTGTTGGCTGTAAGTAGAACTGTATTAGACATAAATTTCAGTCACATTTTTCAAGAATCTAAGAAATGGAGCTTTCTTATTTCTATAAGTCAATGTATCTCTCTTCTGAGCCCACAGGCCTGCTGATGGCAGACACCTCATCAAGTCATTTCAGGTTAATTCCATCAATATGGTTTGTTTTCAGTGAGCTCAGGATTTTCTCAGTCAGGCAAGGATTTGTGGCCTTCCCATATCTCCTTTGGGTTGATCTGAGATCCAAGGGCCTGGGTGCTGGGTGGCCTTGGTTGTTCTCTGTCCCTGCCGTCTTCCACCTAGGTGGCCATGGTCTCCATGGTCCACAGATGTTGACTTATCTGCACTTCTGGCTTCCTCTAGGACACCTGTGTGCCCATCTGTTCTAGGTTGCTGGATCTATGTGGCTCCCGTCTGATGGGGGCCACATCCTAACAGAGGGTCCTCTCTCCTCAGCCAACTTCTGTGCTCTGCTTGAGTCTTGTTCTCCTCTCTGATTCTCTCCTGTACTTTCTCAGTTCCACAAATGCTTTTCCTCCTGAGTGGGGGAAAAATCCTCTTTAGATCACCCTGAACTTATCTGAGTTTATTGTTTGTCATAAAAAAAATTTATTCCATGTGTTAGTCAAGAGTTTTTTTTTTGTTTGTCTGTTTTGTTTTAAGCTAGGGTCTCACTATGTTGCCTAGGCTGGCCTCCAACTTAAGGGATCCTCCTGTCTCAGCCTCCTGAGTAGCTGAGATTACAGGTGTGCCACCACCTCACCTGGCTGCAGGAATGTGTTTTATGATATTCAACAATCAGGCTTTTGAGAGTCAAAATTTGTTCCCTCAAGCCATTGTTCCTACCATGAACTTCAAAAGTCTATTTTGAAACTTGAGTTTTTCTCTGTTTTTCTCTGCTATAACAGTCTTCTCTTAAGGGCAGTGAATTTAAAATGGAGCAGGGATGGGGAAGTGGGGGTGAGAAGCAGAAAATACTTGGAATGAAAGACACAGCTGGGCACAGTGGTTCATGCCTGTAATTCCAACACTTTGGGATTCTGAAGTGGGTTGATCACTTGAGGTCAGGAGTTTGAGACCAGTTTAGGCAACATGGCAAAACCCTGTCTCTACTGAAAATACAAAAATTAGCTGAGTGTGGTGGCACGTGCCTGTAATCTCAGTTACCTGGGAGGCTGAGGCAGGAGAATCACTTTAACCCGGGAGGTGGAGGTGGTAGTAAGCCAAGATAGTGCCACTGCACTCCAGCCTGGGCCACAGAGTGAGACTCCTTCTTAAAAAAAAAAAAAAAAGAAAGAAAGAAAGACACATTGATTGGTGCAACATATCGTCCTGCCCTGTTTTTTTGTTCTACAGTTTGCATTTCTGTAAAGAAAATTGACTTCAAATTTACTGCGCCCTGCTGCACCTACAAGGAGGTGGAAACTAGTTCTCTGTGCCCTTAGAAGAGTCACTCAGGCAAAGTGGCCTGTGGCTGTGTTGCCCTCCATCTCCAGGTTTGTGCAGGAAAGCCCAGGTCTCCTCCCCACCAAAGACTGCTCCACCCCCCAGCTCTGCCCAGCCACTGCCACTGAGGCCCAGGGAGCTCAGCCACAGGTGCAGGAAGAGCTTGGTTAAGCTGAGGCCAGCTGGGTGCAGTGGCTCACACCTCTAATTCCAGCATTTTGGGAGGCCGTGGTGGGTGGACCACTTGAGCCCAGGAGTTTGAGACCAGCCTGGGCAACATGGTGAAACCCTGTCTCTACAAAATATACAAAATACCAGTCAGATGTAGTGGCATGCACCTATAGTCCCAGCTACTAGGGAGGCTGAGGTGGGAGGATTGCCTGAGACCAGGAGGTCGAGGTTGCAGTGAACTGTAATTGTGCCACTGCACTCTAGCCTGGGTGACAGAGTGAGACCCTGTCTAAAAAAAAAAAAAAAATGCTAAGGCCAACATCAGGGAAGCTTGGCTGACTGGGGTTGCACAGCTCTGCCTTTGCTTCAAGATTGCAGGTAATTTGGGCTCATTCCCTAGTCCTAGCATAGGAGATAAAGTCAGAGTGGTAGACTGTGTGTTACCATTTCTCTGAATGGTCTGAAGGATCTCTTTGTAGTCGGCTGATCATAAAGCCAGAAGGAGGTCCAGCTATGGTGGAAAAATCTAAGGGTAAGGTGGGTAATGAAGAGCTGGCTTAAGTGGTGTCTGTGACTGTGCGACAGGAGAACAATCATACAGAAAAACCACTCACAGCCATAAATGCAAATTAGGTGTTGGAAAACCTTAATAAAGACTGCTAGGCAGAAATGCTTGGTGTAATCATCAGCAAGCTTTCCAGTGTGTAACCAGAGCTCTGGATGTGTTCGTTGTGACTGTGGATGATAGCTTAATGGTTAACAGTATGTATGGGCTCTGGAGCCAGGCTATCTGGGTTCAAATCCCAGTTCTGCATTTATTTCTGTGTGACCTTGGGTAAGTTATTTCACTTCTCTGTGCTCCGTTTCCTCATTTGACAAGGGCTATAATAGTATTTCCTATAGGATGATTGAAAAAGAAGGTTGTTGAATCATATAAAACATTTAGAAAGATACCTGGCTCATGTTAGCTCTGATTCTTGTCATCATCATGTTGCCTGTGCAGGACTGGACAGCTGGGTGGCCGACGCTCTGTGCTTACTGTGCCTGTCGCATGGTGGCTTGGCTGAGGATGAGCTACTCCAGCTTTTGGACATGCTGGGCTACAGGAATCATTACAAAGTGACCGCCTTGCACTGGGCTGCCTTCCGCAACGCCACCAAACAGTGGGTCCAGGAGAAGCCCAATGGCCTCCTGTATTTCTGGCACCAGTCCCTGTGAAGTGCAGTGGAGCACAAGCTTCTTGGTAAGTAAGGCTTGAGTCTGTGGAAATACCTGCTGGTTAAGGGGTTAAGGGAAAGCAGGAGCCACATACAAGGGAAGCCTTGTAGTTGGGATTTTTCCCATAGAAACAAATCCACAGACATATATAAAAATGGTTATATGTTAGGGTTTGTACTTGATTATGAGTAACTGAGACCTGACTTCAATGGCTGGGGTTTGTTCTCGCCTATAATAGACTTCTGGGAACAGGCAGTCCCGAGCTGCTCTGTTGGCTCCACAGAGTCACCTGGGTCCCAGCTCCTTCTGTGTCCCTGATTCACTACACTGCGTGCATTCTCAAGGCCACTTCATCGGATGGCTGCTGGAGCTCCAGCCATCAGGAAGGAGAAAGGGAGGAAGAAGGGCTCCCCACTTTCTTTTAAGGAGCTTTTCTGGAATTTCCATACCAACATTTCCACTTAAGAGTCTTTGACTCAGAACTTCATTAGTTGGCTACAGCTAGATATGAGGGAAGCTGGGGATGGAGGTTTCGACTTGGTGCATTGCTACCCCAAACCAAGGTGGTGTTCTGACACTAACAAAGAAGAGGTAAATAGATTCTGTCTCTGCTCCAATTGTTTGCTTTTTTTTTTTTTTTTTGAGTCTCGCTCTTGTTTCCCAAGCTGGAGTACAATGTTGTGATCTCGGCTCACTGCAACCTCCGCCTCCTGGGTTCAAACAGTTCTCCCGCTTCAGCTTCCCCAGTAGCTGGGATTACAGGCACCCACCACAATGCCTGGCTAACTTTTGTATTTTTTTAGTAGAGACTGGGTTTCACCATGTTGGCCAGGCTGGTCTTGAACTCCTGACCTCAGGTGATCTGCCCGCCTCAGCCTCTCAACTCTTCTCTAATTCTGAAATCAAATTCGTATCCCCTACTGAAAAGGACTGCAGGGCTGCACCTAGGAAACTTTGGCAGTCACAGACACCTGACCTAGGAGCAGAGCACTGTTTGTCAGTTACTTGCATAGAGCGCTTCAGGTCTGAGGACTTGAAAAGTCTTTAAATCACAGTCACCGGAAAGATTCCAAGCTCTGCAAATTTCCTTTTAACTTTACTATGTTCTTTTTTACTTTCCTTTTTAACAAGATAAATCCTTTATACTGTTTCCCTCCTACATTGTAATCATTCCCACTGTCTCAAGTTATGTGATGTGGAGGAGAGAGAAGGCCTAAGAATGAGGATGCTCTTAGATTTATGTATGGTCCTCTGTTCACTTGCTGTGTGATGGTTTGCAATGCATTCAATTTCTCCATTTCCCTGAGAGCATTAATACCCTTGGTCGTGCAGGGACTAAAGTGTCATGGTGTGGCTGTTAAAATTCTGGGTGTGTATTGCACCCCATTTGCTGCACTGTCTACCCACACATAAAGCACTGCTGACAGTATTCACTACTGTCAGGAAAAAAAAATGTCATGCTGCAGAATCAAGCTGTGAGTAGCATCAGGAATTGTAATAGCAGTAATTCACCTCCATGTGGCCTGGGCAGGAGAAATAAGCCCATCCTCCAAGGATGGGAAAGATCCAAAAGCCAGAGCTGTAGTACTTGAATCCACTATGTTGGATTTTTTTTTTCCTTTTTGTTGTTGTTGTAAAGGGCTCTCTTTCTTGACTCTTGTCCAAATGTCATATCAATCATTTTGAGGTAAGCTGGTCTCTCTTAGTCACATACATCTGCATGCATCTTGCCTGTGAAATTAATGCCCTATCTAGCATTATATTCAATTTGTAACCTAAATTACTCCTACCATAAATTGGCTAACCTAGAGAGACCCTTTGACCTCTAGGCTGTGATGGAGCAACCTCTTTTCTCTTCTGTTACTAAAACTGAGGATCGTTTGGTCTTATATACTTTGTATGTTGCACACATGTGTGTGCATACACATATGCATGCATATTAGTGTGGCTTCAAAGGAATAGGGCAAAGGAGAGCTGTAAAGCTGAGAAATGCTCCTCTGTTGCCTATAGGCCATTACGTCTTGTTAATACTGATCATGATAGCCACATTTGTTTTTAGTTACAAAATTTAATTGTAAGGATCAAGCAGTGGTTATTTGTCAAACCAATCCACATTGCCAGCTTTGAAGTGTTCAGATGCAAATCTTTTCTTTTTTTTTTTTTTGAGACAGAGTTTCACTTTTGTCACCCAGGCTGGAGTGCAATGGCGCGATCTCGGCTCACCGCAACCTCCGCCTCCTGGGTTCAAGTGATTCTCCTGCCTTAGCCTCCTGAGTAGCTGGGATTACAGGCATGTACCACCACTCCTGGCTAATTTTGTATTTTTAGTAGAGATGGAGTTTCTCCATGTTGGTCAGGCTGGTCTCGAACTCCTGACCTCAGGTAATCCACCTGCCTTGGCCTCCCAAAGTGTTAGGATTACAGGCATGAGCCACCTCGCCCGGCTGCAAATGTTTAAATAAATGTGATAAATACCAGTCATGTTTTCCTAACATTGTTCAGGATCTACCTGAACTTGATTCTGGACATAGTTCAGTACAAAAGCTTAGGAGAAAGATAGTGTAATCACCAATAATTAAATTAAAGACAGCCACATTTTTTTTTTCAGTGCTTTCACTGTGCCAGGCACTTATATATTATTTTACTTATTTCTCATGCAACCAGAACATTCTCAGACTAGGCTAGGTCATTTCCCACCAGCACCCTGGAAAGTCCTCACCTGCCTCAGATGTTCCTGAGTCCATGGCAGTGTCACCTGTGCTCACTCATCTGTTTGTTGGCTGTAGTCACCAGAGAGTCTCTTCTGGTTTCTGCTTAGCAATGTAGGTGCCTCACGACTGTCCCTGCTTGTGTTTTTCACTATGAGAAAACCAGACTTCATGCTAGGGGTCCCTCCCTCTCCTTTGGTCTTAAAGCAGCCAGATCTTGAGGTGCTGGGGTGGTGCTGGGTTAGTGCTGGTTTCCATCAGAAGTAGGGGCGGGCATCTCCTGGGAGATCTGAGCACACTGCATGCCCTTCTCCGGCAAACCCCACCCTTCTCAGGCTCTCAGGGAGCCCTTCCTGGAAAGAGCCTCTTTCATTTCTTCTTGTAATGCTGCACCCTGTAAGAGTTCCCAAAAAACCCCAGTCTATGGAGCCCATTTTTTCCACCTCTGTTGAGTAGAAGGAGTTTATATAGCATAGTGGTTAAAACTGGGATCCCAATGCCGGACTCAGGATGAGCCCTGGATTTCCCACTTGCTAGTTAATGACCTTGGCCACATTATTTTACCACTTTGTGTCCCAGATGCCTCATTAATAAAATAAAGTACCACCTTCATACAGTTCTTACTTGTGAGCATTCAGTAATGTAAGTTCTGTAAAGCACTTAGCATAGTGCCTGGCGCATAGTAAAGTCTCAAGAAATGTCAGCCACTATTAACTCCTTCTTCGTTTTCCTCATGAATCTTCTCTATGGCCTCCTACCCACCACTTTTCCCAGATGGCCCATGCAAATCAACTGGTGATCTTGACTTCTGTGGGCCTAAAGATTATTCTGTTTCATCAGGCACCCTCAAGTAAGTCTGAATTCCCTGAGACCCATTCTAGTTTCATTGAATAGATGTTTGCTGAATGAATGTGCAGGTATGCTTGGCTGCTGGTTTTTTGGATCTGCTGTTTCTAGCAGCTTCCATCTCTATTGTTTTGAGGGTCAGTACTAAACCTCAGCCTCCAGTATCTGCCTGGAATCAGGAGCTGGAGGGCTGAGCACAAGAGAGAAGGTGTGAGCCACCTGTACACAGCACCATGGTCTTTGGAACATGAACAGCCTCATTGCTCCCTGTCCCTGTCCTCATCTCATGCTCAGGTCTGCATGCTGTTTGGCAAACAGAACCATCTTCCCTCCTTCTGGAAATCACCATGGCATCTTACTAGAAATGATTTCTCGTGGAGAGCAATGGCTTTGGGTTTGTATAGAACTGGTGTGACCTGACGCGAGGTGCTTACTTACCTCCCTAAGACTCAGTTTTTCACCTGCAATGTAGGGATAACAGTATTTGCCTTGAGGGTAATAAAATGCTAATTCGTGTAAGGTATAGCATCTGGCACTACAATAAGCACTAGTGGTGGCCATTTGAGCCAAATGCCAAAATTTCTAGCCCACCCTCCCCCTCCCACCATGGAAAACACTTCCTGGCCCCCTTGTTGGGTGGGGCCTTGTGACTAAGTGGCCACTGGCAACATTCAAGATGGCGGCTACTCTGTCAGTCCCACAGGAAGGAGACCTGGATTGGAGTTCCCAGTCTCCAACCTGTGATGGACATAATAAACCTTTGCTTTTTTAAGCTACTGAGATTTGGGGGTTGTCTTTCAGTACAGCATAATCTAGCCCACCAATCTAGCACTACATAAACATTGGCCATTTAGTCTATCATTGAGTGCGGCAATGTGTATAAAGATGATGCTGGGGTCAAACCATTCCTCACATCATATGTGTAGTTGGAGGAGCAGTGGCATTAAACCAGAAGGTTGGAATGCTACTTCTGTATTTACTGGTCATGTACTGACCAGGGGTAAGTCACCTGTCTCTCTGATTTTGTCAAATGGTGATGCATATCTATATCCTCCTCATGAGGTTATTTTAAATTAAATGCTGCATTTTCTATGAAAATGTTTTGCATACTTTACGTATAGTGTTTAACTCTCCAGATCTTGAACCCAGGTACTATTTATGCCAGTTCTTTTTCTCCCTCATTCCCACCCCACTTTCCCGATTTATAACCACACACATAGTTTTGCCATACACAGTGGAGGAGGGGAGTTTTTTTCCTGCAGGGGCCTGTTAGGGACTGCACTTGCCATCTGGACACATCTGCACGCTTTAGACGAGATAGCATGGGGTCTCTCCATATGGGTGGGTGACCTGGAAATCATGTAAGTGGAAATGAAGAACAGTTGTTTAAACAATGAGTTCCCCTTTTGTTAGAGTTCTTACGAAGAGCTGGGCTTGGTGTGCCACCTAGCTGTGTGTTCCATTATCTTGCAAGAAAAAGTGACAAGCAGAAAAGTTAAAAAATACTTCTATTTTAGTTTTCAAGGACAGAAATCACCAGGATTTAGTTAAACAAACCCTTTTGTTTTTGAGAAGCTTATGTCTGGGTAGTATGATCTACTAGAACCATATCTCTTTGGAAATGAAGATATAGTAGTCCTGGCTCCAATATTAAATTTGCCATTTGTTTGCCAGCTACCCCTTGGCTCATATGAGATCCAGGCAATGGCTTAACTTCTCCAAAATACACACTATGAAATGTTCAAAAGTGCTTATTTAAGCAGTAACCATAGTGTATATTTAAAATAGAAAAGTAGGTTACAAATGTTTCCTTGGGGGAGGGGAAAGACTTAACATGGAAAATCAACATGTCCACAAACTTCTCCAATTCTAGGTCAGCGAGCGTAACTGGAATAAATTCTTTGGTAAATTCAGACTGATGTGTAAGACACAATTTTTTTCCAGTTACACTGACTTTTATTTCTCTAATTACAGCCACAGAGTTGTCATATTTTTGCTGCAGTATTTTCAAGTACTAAAAAGTCAGAGGCATTAAACTATAATTGATTTTAAAATAGGTGTAATCACTCCTGTCTGAGAAAGCAGTCCATGTTCATTTCAGACCCCAATGAACCACAAGAAAACACATTTTCACCAAGTGTTGATCAGATACTTCCAGCGGCAAACCTCTTTCTGGAGAGTGTATCAAGAATTGCCATGGCATATGAAAATGAGTGGATGCTTGCGGGGGTTGTGCGGCTTTCTCTCAAGCCCTACATGAGTCTTGCCGTTTTTATATCATTGTATTTAGGCAGATTTAGCTTTCCCTTTTACCAGTGCTATGTTTAGATACCCATGTTCCCTTGAACAAGTTGTGTCATTCATTTATCCATTCAAGCACTCATCATTCATTCAGATGGAACCATCCTCTGGCATCAACTTCTGTAGTTGCTGGATCTCCAGGGTTACTCCCCTTGGTCTGTCTGGCCCTGCAGAGTGTTCATTTCTCCTCTTCACTCTATGTGGAGTCCTCTCAAAGTTAAGTGGCATTCCAGAGAGAGGAGGGCAAGGATGAGAGCTGGAAAAGGTAGAAGATTGGGCAAGCTCTGCTAGACCCTCCTATCTGCTTCCCTTCCATTCCCTTCTTTTCCCTATGCTACTTCCCCTTCCCTCTTACTCCCTCCCACCCACCTCCCTTCCCTTCCTTGTCTCTTTCTTCTTTTCCTCTGACTCATTAATTCAGCAAACATCTATTTATGACCCATCCTGTCTCCCACAACCTGCTAGGCCCTGAGGGTGCAGAAGTGAATAGATACAGCTCTAAGCCTGTAGGTGCTTTCCATCTAGTGGGGGAAGATGTGGAGCCAGAGAATTACTGTACGTGGTGATAATGCCTCGCTAGAGCAATGTTGCAATGAACTTTTGCAAGCACAGAAGAGGGAGGGGCTGGTGCTCTGCCTGGTAGACCCAGGGAGCCTTCTCAGAGGAGGGGGCTTCCTGGGTGGATCAGGAGAATTGGCTTTGACTGCTGAAGAGTGAAAGGCTCATATTTATCTGGTGATCTCCAAAAGATATGTTAGGTAAGATGTTTATGAATAGGCTACTGAAATGTGGTAAGTAGAAGAGCTTCCTTTAAGGCCTGAAATACTAAAATGATATCTATTAATACATTGTGTCACAAGTATCACAGACTTTATATCAAAAATCCAAAGCCTGGGCTTCTGGACAAGGCTGCACCTCATTCACTTCTGGAATGTATTATTGGAGGCCGGCTATGATGTCTCTGAGGCCTATTTACTTTCAGTGGCCAAGATTAAAGCAGATCAGTGCCATACAATGAGGAAGAGCGGTACACTCTCAGGTATGTGAGTTGCAATGTTTCAGTAGTCCATTTTGCTGGGATATAGAGTGGCCAAAGTTATGATTCTCCTGTTTCCTCACATAATTCTGATCAATCCAACAGACCTCCCTGATTACTCCTTTCTACAATTGAAGCCAACAAGTTTTGAAGACAAGAAATCAGGAAAAAGTGTTAATTTTGAAATGGCTTCTCTTTATCTTCTTGCAGTGACTCTTTTTTTCTATTTTCTATTTTTTATTTTATTTTTTTTTTGAGACGGTGTCTTGCTCTGTCATCAGGCTGGAGTGCAGCGGTGAGATCTCGGCTCACTGCAACCTCCGCCTCCTGGGTTCAAGTGATTCTCCTGCCTCAGCCTCCCGAGTAGCTGGGACTACAGGCAAGTGCCACCACACCCAGCTAATTTTTGTATTTTTAGTAGAGGTGGGGTTTCACCGTATTGGCCAGGATGGTCTCGATCTCTTGACCTCATGATCCACCTGCCTCAGCCTTCCAAAGTGCTGGGATTACAGCCGTGAGCCAGTGCGCCCGGCCACAATGACTCTTTTTTAGGGGTTTGTCCTTAACATTCTTTCTGTCTCTCCACTTTTTCGTGGCTTCAACCACAGCCTTAATACCTTCTGTCTTTCCAGCTTGAACCTCTTTTTGGAGTACCAGCTACATCCCCTCTTTTATGAGAGCTAGTAAGAGTATTATTGCTTGATTAACAACTTTCCTGAGTGAGCAGTTAACATTTCAAATTAAATAGGTGAAAACCTACATTATTTCAGGATTTTCTCTCCCAAATTGTTTTTCCCGTGATCCCTCTGCCTGCTGATGGTAGCAGCAACTTTTTCCATCACTCAGTATTGAAAACACTATTTCAAGGTGGCCTCAATCAAAATGAAGGCAGCTATTCTTTGACCTTCTGCTTCTGTGGCTTGGGTTTGGACAGCACTTTGGTTAATATTTCTTCCCTTTGTTCTCCATAAGCAAGCCCCTTTGCCTGCCCTCTCTCCTCTCACTCTCTTTCATCCTGCATTTCCTGGCTTATTAAACAGAATAATAACCTTCATTCATTCTTTCAACGAGTATTAACTCAGCACCTTCCCTGGACCGTGAACTCATGGACTCACTGACACAGCAATGAACAAGGAAATGAAATCCTTCTGGGCTTTACAGTTCAGTGATCATAACAGATTTTGAGCATTTGTTATATGCCTGGCTTTGAGTTAAGTACTTTATATGTGTCACTTTGTTTAATTCTCATAAAATTGCTATAATACTAGTAATATCTTGATTGAATTTAAGGAAACTGAGTCTCAGACAGGTAAGTTGCTTGAGGTCTGCCAGATAGTTAGGAATAGATTTGGGCTTTACCACATTTGTACCCCTTTTGATCCTTGAACATCTAGACTTTGCCTTGATCCTTATTGTCACGTATGACTTAATTTCAGAATTTGTCTGACCCAGCAATCATCCAGGTGGAAGAACCCAGGCACTCCTCATAAAGATACTTGTGTGTGGAATGCAGCCAGGATCTGTCTGGACATGGATCTATCTGGAAGTGTGTCAGTGCTTAGGGATGCGGGGCAGGGGAGTGGAGGGAAGGGGGCAGGAGGGGACGTTTCTGTTTTTCACAGGAAGCTGAACACTAACCAGAGGAAGACTAAACCTCCAACAGGGGGTAAAAGTCCTTCCAGACAATGCCACAACTGCTTTTCATAGCATGGTTGTTATGGTGATGTAAGGGGCGAGGGGATGAGAGTTGAAACTGGTAGGAAATCACCTAATATTTCAGCGTGTGAAGATTTCCTGGATGTAAATGAGCCGAGTTAGAATTAGGTGGGGAACATCGTAGAGCTCTCCTGGTGATTCTGTAAACATGATGTCACCTGTATCAACATCTAAGATCCTGCTGGTTAGTATCTGTATTATTCTGGACCCCCAGGGGCCTCTCAGCAAGTAGTCCTGGCCTCCATAATTGCCTCTCACATACATCAGATTAAATCATGCCCAAGTCCTGTAAAATTTACTTCCATGAAGCCTCTGGCATCCATTCTCTCATCTCCGCCAGGGCTTCCTTTTGTCTGTCTGGACCAGTTTCATAAAGCAAGGCTATGATCTAGCCACTCTACTTATTGTAGCTGTTCACTGTCTTACCTTACCTCCCACCCTGGCTGGGAGAGTCAGCCCATGGCCATTTGGGGGAGTTTTCCCCAAAGTCCTTCCAGGACTGTGTGGGCCTACTTTTCTCTGTGAGTTGCTAAAAGTAGAAGTCACAAGCTTAAGTACTTATCACCAAAGTAAGAGAAAAATTTGTTAGATTCATCAGAACAAGGTTTAATTACAGCAGGAATCTCATATCATAGCCATAGGAGGTATTACAGTGGTCTGGTTAGCTGTCTGGGCCTCCCCAAACATGTTTTCTTATCATGATTATGTAGCCACACACAGCCCTGAATCAATTCGCCCTCCTGGGGTGCTGCTGGAGGTAAGACCCTTAACTGGACTATTTTTTTTTTTCAAAGAATTCTGGGAGAAATCCTGTTTTATCGTGTGCCATCCTGGGAGCTGCCTGCCAGTTCAACCCTGCCCTCCTTTTGTAATAAAGAGGTCTGGGCAAATGCTGACATTCCTCCAAACTAATTTGACACTACTAACTGAGGGCCTGCTTGTGCCATGCGTGGTGCTAGATGCCAAGGATACAGCAATAAGACAGACACGGTTCCTGCCTTAAGGCAGCTTATGGTCAGGTGTAAATGACAGACATTAAAAAGCAATTTGGCCCGAGAAAAGACGTTCAAAGTGGTGGTGGCATAGAACATAGAGCAGGGAGGTGGCTCCTTGTCTTCAATCTGACAGAGTGACAAGGGGAAAGAATTCCAGGGAGAGGGAACAGCAGGGTTGAAGATCCAGAGTTGAGAGGGAGCGTAGTGAGTCTGAAGAACTGAAGAGTCCAGCATGGCTACAAGAGAAGGTGGACAGTGAAGGGAGCCCTGAGGCTGCAGAGGCAGGCAGGAGCCCAAGTACCAAGGTCATGCTAAGGAGTCAGCCCTTATCCAAACAGCCGTGGGCGGCTATGAGGGGATTTAAGCAAGATGGTAACAGGTTTGGTTTTAAAAGGTCACCTTGGGTATTATGTAAAGAATGAAACGAAAAGGGACAAGTGTGGTGTCACGAAGAGCTTCTAGTAGTAATAACCCAGATGGCAGACAATGTTGGCTTAGAAGGTGGGGTGGAAGGTTTGAAAATAGAATCCACAGGACGCAATCATCAATTGGGTGCAAAGAAATGGAGGAGTCAGAGATGACTCCCACGGCTCTGACGTGAATGACTGGGTAGATGACACGGCCATGGACCCAAACAGGACACACTCCCAAAGGAGGGGGTTGGGGGACAGAACCCATGTGGAGTTTGGAGTCACTGTAGAAAGCCAGGAGGGGGTAATCACTGGGCTCAGAAAAAGAGCCAGGCCAGAGATGCATACCTGTTTCTGGATGGAAGCCAGGAGAGGGAAGGAGATTGTCAGGGAAGGGGAGAAGAGAGGTGGGCCTGGGACAAAATTCCAAGGGGTAAGCAGGGGAGAAGGAAGCAGCAAGGGGAAGAAGGAGGAGTTAGAGGGTCAGGAGGAAAACTGGGACTGACAGTTCGAAATTCCCCCAAGGGAGGATGGATGTCAACTGAATTAATTTAATTAAATATCTTCAGATTCCATTTTGAGTTACCATCTTCTCTATGCTGTGTTGAAGCCCTACTCTGATACTTGACATTTTTAGTAAAAGTCTGTTACAAACAAATGGTTTGGGGAAAATAAAGGAGAATCCATTGTGTTCTACATTTGAAGACTGTGGATCAGAGAGGGGACAGCAAGCAGCCTCAGGAAGTGCAAACCCAGCTGGGACTTTGGGGCCCAGGTGGGGGCAGGAGTTTAGGGTCTGGAGCATCAGGTAGAGTCAGGCATCACCACTGATGCCAGACAGATGGGGAAGGGGATGTAGGACAAAAACTCCTTTCCCCCAAACCCACCAGTGGGAAGAAGAGGCTTGAGGAGGGGAGGGCCAGATCCCACTATTGGGTGGAGAAGAACTTTCCAGGCAGGCATGCTTCAAAGTAGAAAGAGAGCTCCAATTCCTTGCCTAGCTTCTCTCCCCATGCAGGAAATGACTGAGGATCCCCTTTTAGGGTCTCATTCTTCATTATCCCCTGCTGCTTTGAGAGATAAATAGGCTACTTATACTTTTGACTGCTGCCTACTTCTGGAAAGTTCTTTAAAATCCCAGAGTTTTCTAAGGGTGCCTCAGTTTCATTAGTTGGCTGGGGGACTGGAAGAGTGTCTGATGTCTCTCTTGCTCCTCGCTCCTCGTTGCTGCTGCTGGGGGATGGAGTGCACACCTCTCTCCTAGTTTTTCCCTCTGGACCGTGAAGTTTGGCTCCCTCTGGTGGTTTGAGAATGACAAACCTAACAGGTTGATGGGAAATGATGTGCAGTTTGGAGTCTTGAATTTGTATCTCCTTGGGTGCTTCTTGCCCAGTCTACTTGGTGCCTAGGTTTGTCCTTCCTTGCGGCACTCATCTAGGGAAGTTGCATCTCTGATTGATGACCGGTAGGGAGGGCTTTGAGCCTAGAGGACAGCTTCTAGGCTTGGGTCAGTTTTTATAGATTTCCTGTGGCATAATACTCTTGTTTTTGGTGGGAGCCCTGGGCCACATCAAGGTGAAGAAAATCCAATTCTAGCTGAAGTTGCAGTTCTGGACTCTGTCAAAGACAAGAAGAGACAGACTAGGAGCAGATATGGCATGTGCAAGCAAGCGATGGAGGTACTCAGAGACATGATGCCTATGTATCCAACTGCCTACGTAAGTCTGCACTTGGATATGGTCTCCAAAACATCTTAGACCTAAGATACCTAAAACTGAACTTGTGAACATCCTTCCAAAAGCAGGTTCTTTCCCAGGAACTGTCTCTGAAATTCCCACCTTGGAGTCATCCTAGTCACCTTCCTCTCCTTTACCTCATCTCCAAGTCTATTTCATCAATGAGCCCTGACGTTCTTTACTTCCTGTTTTTCAAAGTTGTTCACTTCTCCATCTCTGCCACCACTGTCCTTCTCTAAGCTATCATCAGGGCAGCCATATACAGTTGGGAAGATTACTAATATGCATTTAGGTTCCTCTGTGTCTTTTCATGGTTTAGACTTCATTCATTTTTATTGTTGAATAATATTCCATTGTATGGATTTACCACAGTTTGTTTATTCATTCACTTGTTGAAGGACATTTTGGATAATTTCAGTTATTGGTGATTATGAATAAACCTGCTATAAACATTTACATCCAAGTTTTTGTGTGGCCACAAGTTTTCAAATCAATTGCGTAAATATCTGGGAGTACACTTGCTGGATCGTATGGTAAGAACATACTTTGTTTTGTAAGAAACTGTCAAATTGTCTTTCACAATGGCTGCAAAATTTTACATTTTCTCCAGCAATGAATGGGAGTTCCTGTTGCTCTGCATCCTCACCAGCATTTGGTTTTGTCAGTTTTTTGGATTTGGGCCATTCTAATAGGTGTATAGTGGTATCTCATTACTGGTTTAATATGCAATTGCCTAGTAACAAATGATGTTGAGCATCTTTATGTATACTTACTTGCTACCTGTACATCTTCTTTGGTGAATTGTCTGTTCAAATCTTTTTACCATTTTTAAATAAACTTTATTTTAAGTTCAGAGGTACATGCGCAGTTCACTATATAGGTAAATTGCATATCATGGGGGTTTGGTGTACAGATTATTTCATCCCCTAGG
The DNA here is from genome assembly GCF_000001405.40 of Homo sapiens. Taxonomy (NCBI): domain Eukaryota; kingdom Metazoa; phylum Chordata; class Mammalia; order Primates; family Hominidae; genus Homo; species Homo sapiens. Next base: position 103,876,746 of record NC_000012.12, on the reverse strand, counting down.
TAATAAGCATAGTACTTAATAGGTAGTTTTTTGATCTTCACCCTCCTCCTACACTCCAGCTTCAGGTAGGCCCCAGTGTCTGTTGTTCGTTGTGTGTGCATTTGTTGTGTTCATGTGTACTCAATGTTTAGCTCCCACTTATAAGTGAGAACATGCAGTATTTGGTTTTCCGTTCCTGCATTAGTTTGCTTAGCATAATGAACTCCAGTTCCCTCCCTGTTCCTGCAAAGGACACGATCTTATTCTTTTTTTATGGCTGCATTATATTCCAAATTGTGAATATACCATATTTTCTTTTTCTTTTTGAGACAGCATCTTGCTCTGTTGCCCAGGCTGGAGTGCAGTGGCGTGATCTTGGCTCACTGGAACCTCTCCCTCCTGGGTTCAAGTGATTCTCATGCCTCAGCCTCCTGAGTAGCTGGGACTATAGGTGTGCACCACCACACTCGGCTAATTTTTGTATTTTTAGTAGAGTTGGGGTTTTGCCATGTTGGCCAGGGTGGTCTCGAATTCCTGACCTCAAGTGACCCACCTGCATCAGCCTCCCAAAGTGCTGGGATTACAGGGATGAGCTACTGTATCCAGACCCATATTTTCTTTATCTAACCTACCACTGATGGGCATTTAGGTTGATTTCATGTCTTTGCTATTGTGAATAGTGCTGCAGTGAACATACACGTGCATGTGTCTTTATGTAGAATGATTTATATTCCTTTGGGATATACTCAATAATGGGATTGCTGGGTCAAATGGTAATTCTAAGTTCTTTGAGAAATTGCCAAACTGCTTTCCACAATGGCTGAACTAATATACACTCCCACCAGCAATGTATGAGCCTTCCCTTTTCTCTGCAACCTTGCCACCATCTGTTATTTTTTGACTTTTATAGCCATTCTGACTGGTGTAAGATGATATCTCGTTGTGGTTTTGATTTGCATTTCTCTAGTGATTACTGATGATGAGCATTTATTCATATGTTTGTTGGCTGCATGTATGTCTTCTTTTGAAAAGTGTCTGTGCAGGTCCTTTGCCCACTTTTTATTGGGGTTGTTTGTTTTTTGCTTGTTAATTTGTTTAAGTGCCTTATAGATTCTGGATATTGGACCTTTGTCAGATGGATAGTTTGCAAATATTTTCTCTTCTATATGTTGTCTCTTTATTCTGTTGATGGTTTCTTTTGCTGTGCAAGAGATCTTTAGTTTAATTAGTTCCCACTGTCAATTTTTGTTTTTGTTACAATTGCTTTTGGTGTCTTCATCATGAAATCTTTGCCAGAGCCTATGTCCAGAAAGGTATTTCCTAGGTTATCTTCTAGGGCTTTTATAGTTTCAGGTTTTACATTTAAGTCTTTAGTCTATTTTGAGTTGATTTTTATATATGTTATACAGAAGGGGTCTAGTTTCAATCTTCTGCATATGGCTAGCCAGTTATCCCAGCACCATTTATTGAATAGGGAATCCTTTTCCCATTGCATGTTTTTGTCAACTTTGTCGAAGATCAGATGGTGGTAGGTGTGTGGCTTTATTTCTGGGCTCTCTAGTCTGTTCCATTGGTTGATGTGTCTATTTTTTACACTAATACCATGCTATCTTTATTAATGTAGCTATGTAGTAAGTTTTGAAGTTGGATAGTAGTCATGTTTTAATTTTGTTCTTTTTCAGTACCATGCTGGCTATTGTAGTGGATACAATTGTGTCTTCCAAAAAAGATATGTTCAATTCCTAAACTCCTTATTTAACCTTATTTGGAATCTAACCTTACTTGGAAATAGGGTATTTTCAGATCTAATCAAGTTAAGATTAAATCATACTGGGTTATGATGGTCCCTAATCCAATGACTAGAGTTCTTATAAGAGAGAGAATTTTGAACATAGGCACACAGAGAAGAGAGCACCACATTAAGACAAGGGCGGAGATTGGAATAATGCATCTACAAGCCGAGGAACACCAAGGATTTCACAGAGTCACCAGAAGCTGGAGAGAGGCAAGGAAGGATTCTTCCCTGAAGCCTTCAGAGAGAGCATGGCCTTGCTAATACCTTGGTTTTGGACTTAGCCTCCAGAACTGTAAGAGAATAATCTGTTATTTTAAGCCACCTGTTTGTGGTAATTTCTTATAGCAGTCCTAGGGAGCTAACATAGCTATTAGGGGTCTTTTGCCTTTTCATATAGACATTAGAATTAATTTGTCAGTATTTACATAATAGCTTGCTGGGATTTTGATTGGAAGTGCATTGAATCTATAGGTCAAGTACTGAATTGTCATCTAAACAATATTGAGTGTTCCAGTCCATCACCGTGGAATACTTATTCATTTATTTAGATCTTCTTTGGCTTCTTTCATTACAGTTTTGTGGTTTTCTGCATATAGATTCTAAATTTGTTAGATTTATGCCCATTTTATTTGCTTTCGGTGCTATTACAAATGGCATTGTGTTTTTAATTTCTAATTCTAATGTTTATTGCTGGTGTATTGGAAAGCAATTGACTTGTGTGTTAACCTTGAATCTTGCAACCCTACTATACATTACTTGTTATTTCCAGGAGTTGTTGATTCTTTGGGATTTTCTACATAAACAATTACAGCATTTGTGAACAAAGACAGTTTTATTTCTTCCTTCTCACTATGTATACCTTTTATTTCCTTTTCTTGTCTTATTGTACTAGGTAGTACTCCTAGTATGATATTAAATAGAAGTGGTGAGAAGGGATATCCCTTTCACTGGCATCACTCTAGTGAGCCCATGCCACCATTATTATCTCTCACCTGGCCTATTGTAATAGCCTACTTACTGGTCTTCCTACTTTAGTTTTTGTTCCTGTGAAGTGTATTGTCTGTGCAATAGCCAGAATTAGGTTTTAAGAATATAGACCAAATCATGTCACTTCCCAGATTAAGGCCACTCCAATGGGCTGCAGTTGTGCTTATGATACAATTTAACTTCTCAGCCTAACCTACAATACCTTATATAACTTGGCCCCTGCATGCCTGGGTAACATCACCTTTTATGATTTTTCTTCTTAACCTCTAGATGCCAGCCACATTGGCCTTCTTTTTGTCCTTCAAGTACATTTCCCTTTGGGCCTTGGCACCCACTGTTAACTTCCGCCAAAAATGCTCTTTGTATTATTGATATTTGTAGCACCAGTTTTTTCTGGTTATTCAGATCTGAGCTGAAGCATGACTTTCTCACAGTGGCTTCCTCAATATAATGTTACGTTTAGCCATTCTTGATCATGCTAATGTATCTTAATTTTTTGTGTAAGTTTTACTGCTACCTGACATTGTCTGCTTTACTTTAAAAAAATCTGCTCCTGCTTCCCTGCCCGTAGGCCTTCCAGCCACTGGCAGTCAGGTCCTTGAGAGTAGGCCCCTTCCTCTCGGGTTTATCGCCATGTCTCCTGTGTCTGGAGCAGCACTGGGCATGGGGTGGGTGCTGACTGGCATCTTTCTATATCTCTATCCTTCCCTTGAATCAAATGCCCTTGTTGTCTCTACTCTTCAGTCTTCTCCTTTCAATTTTCTAGACTCCACACTTTTTCCTGCCCTAGAGCCTTTGGACATGCTGTTCTCTCTGCCCAGAATTTCCCACATTCTCCCTCACCATTTTGCTTCAAAACTTTCTGTTCTTTCTTTAATGCTCAGTTGAAGTGTCACTTTTCTGGAGAAACCTTCCCCAGTTTATATTACCGTCTCATTCATGATTATTTTCATAGTTTTAATTTTGTATCTACTTGTATGATTATGAGATGGTCTGTCTTCCTTATTATTTTGACAGCCCAAAAGGCAGGGCCTGGGCCTGCTTTGACTCCTCCTTTGTCTACTCCCCCCAGGACTCTGCCTGGTCCTTGACAAGTGCCCATGGTGCTCAGGAAATGATTGCTGAAGAAATGAATTCACTAAAGAAGAAATACCAGATTCTATTGGTTCTAAGATGCATACTTTCTCAAACTAAACATTTCTGAAGTAAGGATGCATCTTGCAATTGAGGCATGTTAGAGTCGATGAAAAACAGTATAAATTGTTAATAAATATGTTAAAATATTCTATTTCACTAGTAATCAAATAAATGCAAATTAAAACAACAGTAGGGGCCAGGCGCAGTGGCTCACGTCTGTAATCCTAGCACTTTGGGAGGCCCAGGTGGGCGGATTCCCTGAGCTCAGGAGTTCGAGACCAGCCTGGGCAACGTGGTGAAACCCCGTCTCTACTAAAATACAAAAAATTAGCTGGGCATGGCGGTGTGCACCTGTAGTCCCAGCTACTCAGGAGGTTGAGGCAGGAGAATTGCTTGAACCCAGGAGGCGGAGGTTGCAATGAGCTGAGATCATGCCACTGCACTCCAGCCTGGGCAACACAGTGAGACTCCATCTCCAAAAAACAAACAAACAAACAAACAAAAACCCAACAACAGTAGGATGCTATAATTTCAGGTACCAAACTGGCAATTATTTTTTGCAAGGATTTTTATAAACAATAATAATATTGGTAAAGATGTGAGAAAATAGGTACTTTTACATGATACAGGTAAGAATTTATATTGGGACAATCTTTCTGGGGAGTAATTTGGCAATATGTATCAAAGCCTTAAAAATATGAATCTACTGTGATTTTCAATTTCTAAAAATTGTTCTAAGGAAATAATCGGGTGTTTACATACATTTCTGTGAATAATTCTCATTAGGTAGCATCTTATAATAGTGAAAAATTGACTAATGATAATCTGTAAATGGAATAAAATCTGGTCTTAAGTATGTATGCTCTCAAAGAATATTTAAGGATATGGAAAATTGTTCACATTATGTTTATGATAGATTTTAAGTACCATGAGAGCAGAAATGATTGATTGTATTATGTTTGATATATATCCAGTATCTAGCACATCTACATTAGGTGTAGGATGATCCCAATTTTAATTTTAAAAAGGTGTATATGTGTGTGTGTGTTTGTGTTATATGGTACACACAAAAGATTAGAAGTCATATAGCAATATCTTAAAGATTACCTTTGATGCAATTATAGGTTTTTAAATTTCTTAATTATAGTTTTCTATATTTTCTAAGTTTTCTATAATAAACATATATTAGTTTTATAATGAGAAAAATTATGTTTGTCTTCTCAGACTCTACATTGGTGCTAAGTCAGTGAATGTGAGCATGTGGTAGGGTAACAGGAAGGGTTTATGAATAAGGGTTTCTTAAGGCAAAGGAGATTGTTGAATTGAGTATTAAATGCAGTGATGGACATCATCCATTTCAACCTGAGCCCTTGTCAGGAATCTGGAAGCAAAGTCCTCCTGGATGTGCAGAAGCCTCACCCTGGGCAGGAGCCCATCCCTGCACTGTTTGTCTAGGCATCCTTGTTTGCCTGCTCCAAGCAGCTCCTCCTGACTCGGAGGCTCCCTGTCTCTTGCTTCTTCCTCTAAGTTCTCATTCCCACCCCAGGCCCCATTGCTTGAACGGCCACTTTGCACAAACGTCCTGGACTCTGGCTCTCAGCATTCTGTCTCCCTTGTCTGTGTTTTAGTTTTTGCTTTTTGACTTGAAGCACCATAGCTCCAGCCTCCCTACAAAGCTGAGGGTTGTGGAATGTGATCCATGGAAAAACAGGCAGAAAGAAAGCAGGAGAACAGTCAAGGCTGAGGTGACTTCAACGTGAGCAAAGGAACAGATGAGGAGCAAAGAATATATTTATGTCAAACATATTAAATGCCATAATTTTAACAAATGAACAAATGTAGACATTTAGATACTGGAACATATGGAAAAGGAAATTCTAAAAATGAAGCTTTGCAGCACCATGTATTTAATTGGGTCTTTAAGTTAAAAAATTCTGTTTTCATATGTGTATAAGGTATAACTACACACACACACACACACACACACACACACACACACACACACACACACACACACACACACTGTATGTCTCCTTATTTTGTTCTTTTAGGATTTTCTTTCTGTTAAAGCCAGCAGTTCAAGATAGTTGCAACAGAGGGCAGAATGGTGTAAGAAATTTAAATATCTTTTTCTTCTTATCTGAAAATCACCCCAAAATACAAATTAGAGCAATGCATGGATTGAGCTATAAATACTCTTTATTGACTAGTTTTCAACATTTACATACAAAGATTATTAGTTATTTTTCATGTCATAGTATAAACTGTTTGGCATTATATGTAAATCTTAATACAAGCAAAGTGCTGAACCCTTGAGAGAGAACCTGAACTATGGCTAATGCATTTAACTTCTATATCAATATTAAGATTAAGCAATGGGTACTCTTTGTTCTTTTCCAAACATGCTGTGGGATTATTTACTTTTCTTTCCATTCTAGTGCTGCAGTGCAGGCTTATTGAACTTACTGTCCTTGACAAATGTCGATTAATGTTCTTTATTGGGAGTTTTTTGAAGTTTATGGGCAAGACCAATGAAGCAGAAGAGTTGTTCTTGAGTGTTGAGGACATGTTAGTACAGGTAAACTGAGAGTATATTTTAAATCCTTCAAACTTTATTCCTTTTGTGTTAGATATTTTCAGATATTATTTACCTTTGTTCATGTAAAATTAATTTAATGCCATAGAGGAATCCATTTTGTTCGCCAATGAGGAAGCTATGATTTTAACCCATGCCCAAACTGCACATTAATGACAACAAACAATAAGTAGATAGGAATCATTATAGAATGAATGAGTACTGATAGTTGACACTTCGGAAAAAAAAAAGAAATGTTCATGAAGCAAAAATGGGAATACACTGGTAGATTGAAATGAATTAATAAAAGACTAGCCAAAGACTTGGTTATAAGTTTCATAAAGATGTTGGGAGGCCAGGCACAGTGGCTCACGCTTGTAATCCCAGCATTTTGGGGGGCCAAGGCAGGCGGATCATGAGGTCAAGAGATTGAGACCATCCTGGCCAACATGGTGAAACCCCATCTCTACTAAAAATACAAAAATTAGCTGGGCATGGTGGCGCGCACCTGTAGTCCCAGTTACTTGGGAGGCTGAAGCAAGGAGAATCGCTTGAACCTGAACCTGGGAGGCGGAGGTTGCAGTGAGCCAAGATCGCTCCACTGCACTCCAGCCTGGTGACAGAGGAAGACTCCATCTAAAAAAAAAAAAAGAGAGAGAGAGATTGGGGAAGGTTGATTGATGTCTTGGCCCTATATTGATTTGCTTTTTCTGAAATATGAACTTTTGGCTTTGTTGACTACAATGAAAGCATCACTCATAACATAACTCATAACATAACATAACTCATAACAACTATATGCTTATGATGACATTTAGCTACTATTTTATTTAATGTAAGTTTATTTTTTGGGGGGACAGGGTCTTGCTCTGTCATCCAGGCTGGAGTGCAATGGTGTGATCATGGCTCACTGCAGCCTCAACCTTCCCGGCTCAATCAATCATCCCACCTCAGTCTCCCAAGTATCTGGGACCACAGGGGTGCCCTACCACGCCTGGCTAGTTTTTCAATTTTTTGGAGAGACAGGATTTTGCTACGTTGCTTAGGCTGGTCTCAAACTTCTGAACTCAAGCGATCCTCCCATCTTGGCCTTCCAAAGTGCTAGGATTATAGGTGTGAGTCACCACTCCTGGCCTAACTGCTATTTTTTTTTTTTAAGTATTAACTTTCACTGATTTTAGTAGAATTTGTGGATTTAGGGTAGTCTAACTCAAGACAAAGCTGTTTTTATTTTAAAACAAAGACATTTAAACTTTCGTAAAACACTGCCCTCGTCGCCATCAACATATGTCTTTCTAGAAGGAGTTCTAGTAAAGAGACTTAAAAGACTCAGCAATGAAAGTCCTTTTATGGCAGAGACCATGTTTGTTTATCAATTTTTGTTCCTCCATGGCATATTATAGCCTGTGGGTGCTTAATAACTGTCAGAAGTGAATCTATAAATCAATTTGAACTGGCAGGTTCCTCCATGCCCTTAGAAGGTGGCATGCAATTGTGAACAGAGCATGGGCTGTTTTCATACTGACCCAGATTTCAATCCCAGTTTTGCCACTTTCTGCTTGTGTGATCTTGGTAGGAATTTTAACCTGCGCTTTGGTGAGTTCTCATTTTTGAGGATTCTAATATCTATCTCAAGGGACTGTTAACATGGTCAAGTAAGAAGGTGCATAAAGCACTTCACATAATGTCTGGCACACAGTAAGATCTTAAGTATGGTAGCTATTTTGTTGTTACTGTCTTTGAGTAATGAAGCAAATGAGGCCTAGGTGAGAAATATAAGGGAGTTTGATTTAAGCTTTTAAGAGAACTTCCCACTTCAGAGTGCTCCTTCTGGAGGCATCAATCTTATGATTCTATCTTCAAAATATTTTTGCAGCAGTTCTTTGGGACTAGCCACCATGAAGACTATTAAAAGAATGTTTTTAGGCTCTGAAGGCACTTCCAAAAGAGGTTTTATGACTATTTTGGGCAATAACAACTTATTTGAAATATGTGCCTGACATTCTTTTTTTTTTTTTTTTTGGTTTCTAACAGGTTATTTTTAATACAAATCAAGTTTGGCATATTTCATTTTTAACATTACTTCGCTTTTGAAGTGGTAACTGAACCTCTCTAATGCTGCGTAAATGGAGATCAAAATATTTATAGAGGCTTCATCATACATAACCCAGCTCCAGGGATACAATAGCAAGAATCAAACATGATTTCTCCCCTCAGGCAGCTTGCAGTCATTTGGGAGAAATAACTATTAATAAGACATTAGTCCAATGATTATTCAAATCAATATATAATTACAAACTGTCTTAAGAGCTAGTAAAGAATATTAATGCTATGTAAATATAGTCGTACATCACTTAACAACAGAAATCTGTTCTGAGAAATGCATTGTTATGTACCTGACATTCTTTTTGTGTGGTCGTCGCTTGTTATAGCAAACTAACATTCTTGAGGGGAAAGATCTTGTTATTTGTGATATATGCATTCTGTACTGTACTGCTTTTATAATTTCTTCAGATAAGGTCATTTTAAAATTTAATCCAGTGGTTTTCAACTAGGGGACAATTTTGGTCCCCAGGGAACATTTGGCAGGGCTGGAGACATTTTTGGTTGTCATAGCTTGGGGGAGAGTTGCTACTGGCATCCAGTGGGTAGGCCAGAGGTGCTGCTGAACATCCCATAGAGCATAGTTCCTCACAGTGCAGGGTTATCCTGCCCAAAATGCCAGTGGAGCCCAGGTTGAGAAACCCTGATTTAGGTGATATGTTTATTAAAAATTGATCTCTGGGGCTGGGTGTGGTGGCTCATGCCTGTAATCCCAGCACTTAGGGAGGCTGAGGTAGATGGATCACTTGAGGTCAGGAGTTCAAGACCAGCCTGGCCAACATGGTGAAACCCCATCTCTACTAAAAGTACAAAAATTAGCTGAGCATGGTGGTGCGTTGGGTCATTGAATTCACCTAAAAATAATTTACTACCCCCCCTAAAATTATCTTTACTTCCCCATCTCCCTTCTCCTGAGAGGCAGGGTATAAAAATGTCTGTATTCTATAATTCCCCACTGTGCGTGCTAACAAATGTGTATGCCATTTCTCCTATTAATCTGCCTTTTGTCAGTTGATTTTTTCGGCGAAACTTCAGAGGGTAAAGGATAAGTTTTTCCTTGGCCCCTACATCCTGAAATAAATATGCTAGACCAGTAAGGGGAATTTAAATTCAAGTCTCTGTGCACAAATGTGTCAAACATAAAGTTAGCTGCTCTCTGGTCACATTTGAATTCAAGCAGCGTTCACAGCTATTCATTTGAATTCTGGATACCACCTCCTCTGAAATCTTTAACACATGCAAGACATTGTCACGTTATTCTTTAAAATTTTTTATTTCCACTGGGCACGGTGGCTCATGCCTGTAATCCCAGCACTTTGGGAGGCCGAGGCGGGCGGATCACTTGAGGTCAGGAGTTCGATACCAGCCTGGCCAACCACAGTGAAACCCTGTCTCTACTAAAAATACAAACATTAACTGGGTTTGCAATGCCTCCCAATACATCTTTCACCATAACCATTATCTTATATATATATTTAGAATTTCCTAAGAAATGATGTAAAGCATACAGTCTTTTTCAATGTCATTATGAATAAGCCTTTGTTGGGTAGGTATCTGGTATCTGTATGTATCCTAATGCTGTGTTTTCTCAGGGGTGGTTCCCTTTTCATTTTGTACAGAGCCAGTCCATGACAGACATGCTTCTCAAAGTACAGAATGCTATTGGAGAACTGTATCTTGAAACTGGAATGACTCAGGAAGGGTTCCAGTATTTCCAGAAAGCATGGTCAAGCATGCTGCGTCTTTCACTCAGTGACTTAGAAGACAGCCGGGACTTGGTGAAGCAGAAAGGTACGGTGGGCACATGCAGAGGGAACAGCCTCTCATGTGTCACAGAGTCAATCTCCTCCTGGACTATTCCCACCTGTGAGAAAAAGGAAATGGATGTGTGTGTTTTGTTTACTTGGTGTTTTTGTCTTGTTTTGTCTAGTTTTTGAGACAGAGTCTCGCTCTGTCACCCAGGCTGGAGCACAGTGGTGCGATCTTGGCTCACTGCAACCTCCACCTTCTGGGTTCAAGAGATTCTCCTGCCTCAGCCTCCCAAGTTGCTGGGATTACCGGCGCTCACCACTATGCCCGGCTAATTTTTGTATTTTTAGTATAGATGGGGTTTCGCCATGTTGGCCAGGCTGGTTTCGAACTCCTGTCCTCAGGTGATCTGCCTGCCTCAGCCTCCCAAAGTGCTGGGATTACAGGCATGAGCCACGGTGCCCAGTCTACTTGGTGTTTTTGGAGGGCTGGTGGGTATGTGAGGATTGAACATAAAGTGTTCCTGATTCTGATGGACCACCCTATTAGAATGTCATTGTCTGTTAGGGTGAGCTTCAGAGAAGGAAGCTTCAAGCAGTAAGGTGGCGGCATCATGGTTCAACTCTGAAACCAGCTTTTCTGGGTTTAAACCCCTTTTCTTCACTTATTAGCTCTCTGTGCCTTTAGAGACGTTACTTAAACTTTCTGGGTCACAGTTTTTATATTTATAAGGTAGGGATAAAAATAGCATCCACATTACATATGGATGCTATGTTGTGAGACTAAAAGCTGGAAAGCACAGAGAATGGTGCCTGGCACATAAGTAGGTACTAATTGATGAATGGCAGCCAATGTTTTATTCTCCAGTATTTGATGCCTGAGGCCACTGTGATACCACTGATATAGCAGAGACAAAGAATGTTTAGTGGATTAAGGTATTAAGAAATTTTGACTCACTCATTTACAGTCATACTAGAGGTCTCTAGACGTGTGTCACACTTACATGGCTGTATCAATTAGATTTTGTTGCATAAAAAACCATCCCAAAACTCTGTGGCTTAAAACAATGTTTATATTTGCCATGAGCCTGTAGGTCAGCTGGGGGATTCCACTGGTCCAGGATGGGCTCAACAGATTTGGGCTTGGCCCGGGCAAGCATCTGAGGTCAGCTGGCAGGGCTGATGGGGCTGGCTGGTCCAACCTTACTTAGTTGTCTGGTGGTTGTCTGGCTGGGATGACAGTGGTGGCTGGACCATGTGTTCCTCATCCTCCAGGAGGACAGCCTGGTCCTCCTCACTTGGCAGCTCACAGGATTCCAAGAGGGAGAGCAGAAGCCTAGACTTAGGCTCAGAACTGGTACAATGCCTCTTACCACCGCATTCATTTGGCCAAAGCAAGTCACCAGGCTGTTTCCACCTCTTGATAGGAGGAAGTACAGAGTAGCATAGCATGGCAAAAGGTAGTTGGGTAAGGACTAGTGTAGAGAATCGCAGCTGTTTCTGAAATCTGCCCCATGGCTAGAAGATCAAAGGTCGCCTCGGGCAATTCTGTCCCATGGCTAGAAGATCAAACGTCGCCTTGGGCAAGCTACTTACCCTCTCTAAGTTTCTCATCTGCAAGTTCACTTTGGTAGTGATAGTTATCATTCATTGAGTGCTTACTGTGTGCTTTATGCTGATGATCTCTTTTATCCTCAAACATACCTCATACAGCATGTATAGCTGAATGTCAGAGAGATTAAATAACTTAAACTACATCAGCTCCTGAAGCTATCAATCTGAAGCTGAGAGTCCAAGCTAGGCTGTCTGACATCAGAGCATGTCTGGGCAACTCCTTGTTGTACAGAATTTCTTCTAGACATTTATGAAGCTCTAATCCTTGGTATATAGAGTCTAGCTTCCACGTTGTTGTCCTAATGCAGGCAAGCCTGGTCACAGGTATGCTGGGACCTTGGTGGCAAACAGGGCCACTTATATGGCACAGTGACAATCAGGGCCACTTATGTGGGAGCTGGGCCTGGCCCTCCAGAGGCAGCTGAAGAGTCCAAAATGCAGAGTTTCAAGGGGTCAGGCCACCATGGCTTGGTATATATATGTGTTAATTTTCCAAGGAGACCAAATCAGCAGGGGTAGGGGAGTGGGGACCTGGTGAAATGGGATGCCAGGAAGTCATTTGTGGCAGCTTTGATAGGAGCATGCTGTAGTTCTGGTCCCCTGACAAGGGTTAGGTGTGGGCTTATGGCTTGAGCAAGCAGATGAAGAGGTGGGACCGAGGATTCCACCCTGACCAGCATTCACGCACTCAAGAGCTGTTTACCGAGTGCCTGCATGCACCAGGTGCTATGCTGAGTCCAGAAAAGTGGTCTAGGCAGGAGCACCAACTCTACCCTCTAAAGGAAGTGCCACAGAAAATAGAAGTGAGCCAACCCATGAAATGATTGCAAGCTGTCATAAATGCAAACAAGAAATAGAGCTAGAGCATTGGTGTGTGTGTGTGTTGGTGGGGGGAATATTTGTGAAAGGCAGATCAAGATGCCTCTTTGGGGAGGAGACAGTGAAGCTGAGACCCAGTGGACTATTGGAGCCACAAGTGGTGAGAGAGGGGGCAGTCCTGGTAGAGGGAAGAGCATGAGATGGGGGAGGGCTGGGCCTGTCCTAGAAGTGGAAGGAAGCCTCAGTGAGCAAAGAGCAGGAGGCAGCTGGACCCCAATTGTGCAGGGTCTTGGGCTTCGGGCCTCAGGCAGGCATTTAGATTTTATTCTAAGTGCAAAAGGAAGCCATTGCGGGGACTTAGGGTGGGGATGACACCTCTGATTTCTGTCTTGAGAACACTTTTGCTGCTGCATGGAGAATGGATTACATGTTGGGTAAGAGTGGACACAGAGAGACCAGTTACATGACTGTCCTGCCCTGGTGTCCAAGTGCAAGGCATGAGGCCTTGGGTGGAGGAAGACAGAGAAGCCTACAGTGGGCATTGGGCAATGAATTAGGCACTACTGATGATGGCAAGAGATGCTACTTGATAGCTTAATGCTAATCCTTCTTAATGAAGCCTGAATTCCATAGCACAAGGAGTTAAATCTGCTCTTCTGTGCTGCCAGCAATGCTCTAATAACACCTTCTTGGAACATTATTCTATGAGTCTGCTAGAGCTGCCATAACAATCAGTGGACTGCAGCCTGGGTGGCATAAACAATAGCAACTCATTTCTCAAAGTTCTGGAGGCCAGAAGTCCAAGGTCAAGGTGTCAGCAGGGTTTTTTTGTTTTGTTTTGTTTTTCTCCTGAGACCTCTCTCTTTGGTTTGCAGATGACTGCCTTCTCCCTGTGTCCTCATATGGTTTTTTCTCGGCATATGTATGTATGTGTGTCCATCCTTATCTCCTTTTCTTCTAAGGATACCCATCATATTGGATTAGGGCCCACCCTAATGACCTCATTTTAACTTACTTCTTTAAGGACCTTATTTGCAAATACTATCACATTCTGAGATACTAGGGGTTAGGACTTCAACATACAAATTTTGAGGGAACTCAATTCAGCCCAAACAATTTTTTTTTTCTCTTCCCATAACAAAGTGTGGCTTAAAAACCATTTTCTACTCTTTAGGAGTCTGTATTATTGTCAAAATATTTAACTCTCAATAAAGGAACAAAATTACGGGGCCTTTGCAGAGAGTGCATTCCCAAGGCAGTGCATATCTAGGTACAACCCATTATTTATTAATTGGGTTTGTGAGACTCATTCGTGTGCTTCTTGTTATAAGGCTGTATAGTTTTATTGTGTCTTATTGCAGGACTGTACTGGCTGCCTTCTGTAGGGCTCAGTTACCTTGGCTTCATTGTATCCATATTTTCACTCTATTTCTGACCTGTTCATTTGCAAACAAACTCAGAATTTGGTTTCAATCTATTGTCTTGGCTCCTTGGCTCTAAACTGCTGTGCATACACAAACATGTCACGTGAAAACCAACCTCCATGCAGTATATGTCAGTAGTTTATTTATTAAGAAAAACCTGCCTATTGCCAGTGATGAAATGATATTAAATGCCATGCCTATTGACATCTTAATTCTTTTGTGGAAAAAAGAAAACCCTTAAGCATTATATTCTTTGCCAATTTATTCCCTGCAGTCAGAGTTTTGGACAATCTGGCAAAGTCAGCATCTGAAGAATACTTAAAAGAAAACCACATTTTGGAATATGCAACTGAAATTTCCAACTTACTGGATAACAATCCCCGTGATCAAGCTACCATGAAATACATCGAAGGTGTTCTAATGTAAACATGTATTAAAAATTTTTTTTTGTTTTCTGTACTAGCTTTTATTCTTTCAATTAAGATATTTAACCTATACCTGTTCATCCATTTCCTAACTGATTTAGTTAAGAAATGCTGATGGTTAACGTTTTTATTCTCTAGCTTAGTGGTTCTCAGCCAGGGGCAATTTTGGGCCCTTTCCCACCTAGGGGACTTTTGGCAATGCCTGCAGACATTTTTGTTGTCATGTCTTGGGGGATTATTATTGGCGTCTAGTACGTAGGGGCCAGGGACGCTGCTAAACATCACACAATGCACAGGACAGCCCCCCACAACAAAGATTTATCCAGCCTAAATGTCAGTAGTGCTGAGGGTGAAAATAGTGCTCTAGTGTTTAAATTTTTTTTTAAGAGTCAGGGATCTTGCTCTGTCACCCAGGCTTGTTTGCAGTGGTGCAATCATAGCTCACTGAACAGGGCTCAAGCGATCCTCTTGCCTTAGCCTCCCAAGTAGCTGGGACTACAGGTATGCACTACCATGCCTGGCTTATTTATTGATTTATTATTTTTTTAGAGATGGGGTCTTGCTATGTTGCCCAGGCTGATCTTGAACTCCTGGCCTCAAGCAATCCTCCTGCATCAGCTTCCTGAGTAACTGGGATTACAGGCAGCAGCCACCACACCCAGCTCTCTAGTTTCTTTATAAAGATGTGCAAATTTCTTATAAATCACTTTGAAGTTCTCGCCTCGCTGCTATTATAAATTGCTCTTTTTTATATTTTCCAGGACAGATTTTTTATATAAAATCCAATATGTTTATGAGAATTATGTTTGATTGCACAATGAATGTAACCAACATGCCCAGTAAAAAATGCACATGTGTTTTTATTTTCAGGTTCGTTGCTGGAAATACCTCTCTTGCAAAAATGAAACTTCGAGAGTGCTTAAATATCAGGAAAAGCTTGTTTGGCAAGAAAAACATGCTGGTTGGAGAAGTTATGGAATTTTTAGCGGATTTGCTATTTTTTCCCCAGAGAGATAGTAAAAAGTAAGTTTTTATGAAATGTTTCAAGAAGTGTGTCTTCCTGTCTCCCCGCCAAAAGTGCCCCTACCAGTGGCAGGGAGGTCTGGGGTTACTCATCAGGGGTAACTCTTGTAATACTTCTTTGGCTCCAGCCCTGCTCAGAAGCCTGGGGATTCACCCCACCATAATGTATTCAAAAGGAGCTCTTGGGCTGGGCATGGTGGCTCACACCTGTTAATCCCAGCACTTTGTGAGGCTGATGCAGGCAGATCACTTGTGGTCAGGAGTTTGAGACCAGCCTGGCCAACATGATGAAATCCCATCTCTACTAAAAATACAAAAATTAGCTGGGCATGGTGGCGTGTGCCTGTGGTCGCAGCTACTTGGGAGGCTGAGGCAGGAGAATTACTTGTACCTGGGAGGTGGAGTTGCAGTGAGCTGAGATCGTGCCACTGCACTCCAGCCTGGGCGACAGAGCAAGACTCCCGTTTCAAAAAAAAAAATAGTAAAAGGAGCTCTTGGCTCACAAGTGGTGAGGAGGTTCTGGCAGTAGAGAAATGACATAGGAGTACAATGTGGTTGTGAGTGGTTCCCAGTGCCACTCATAGGCCTTGTGAGGAAGATGCTCTTACTTCTGGGTCTCTATGCAGCCCTCAGCCATGGCCGTTGTCTGTGGTACCACACCATCCTGCTCTCTATTCTGCAAGACCTAGGCCAGAGCCTCCAATGCCTCAGGTCATGTTCACCAGCCACCTCTCCTTGCTCAGGGAGTCCTCTTATTCTCCTGTGATGTGCGGGGTTCCCCTCAGTGCCTCACACAAGACATCTCAGTTTAAAATACACTTGTAGGTGCCACCCTCCAGACTGACTGAGTGTGAGCATCTTCCAGGGCTGACCGCTACTTCTCTTGGCAGGTTGCTATGAGAGAAGGTTCTTTGTGAACCCACAGACAGCCATGCACACACTTGCTTCCATAGCCGATTTAGCTGTGTGGATGGTTAGGGATGCTCTAGGCTACATTATGAAGTTGGGAAGTTTTGTTTTGGTAGCCCCTCTTTCCTACTGTCACTGAGTTCGTTTCCTGGGCTCTATGTTTGTCTCAGACGGAGCACATCAGCCCCACCAGGGCCCAGGGCTTCAGCTGCTATTCCATAAGGTGAGGATTCCCTGTTCCCTGGCTTGCTTTTCCATTTCCATTTCCCACGTTCCTCCAAGTCATTTTCCTCCAACCAGGCAGGTGACCTCTTGTTGCTTTTGCTTCCAGGAAGACTAGGATATTGGTCATCTCTTAACACTTGAGTGCAAATCAGTATTAACCCTTTCTAAAAGGCATTTAAAGGGTAACTACCTTTTAAAGAGTAGCCCAATTAAGGGAGGACCTAAGGGTACAACAGTGGGTGCTATACAGTAGTGGTGAGATGGTGGGCTGTGGAGTCTGATTGCCTGAGTTCACCTTTCATTTCTGCCACTTAGTAACAGTGAGAAATTACTGTTAAGGTCAAGCACTTAACATCTTGGTATCTCATTCATTTTCTCCTTGGTAAAATGAAGGAAGTAACAGTGTCTTCCTGGCAGGATCTTTGTAAGGATTAAGAGATCCTATATGTAAAGAGCTTAGCAGAAAACCTGGCACACACTAAAAGAGTTTGATAAATTGAGTCATTCATATTTTATTATTTTGCTCCCCAGCAGGTGTTTTTTGAGGCACTTGATACCACATACGCCTCCTCTTACTCATGTTAAGACCAGCACTGTGAGCAGAGAACAGGACTTTCTTTACAGAAGCAAAAAGCTTGACTGTAGAACCGTTGCCTCGTAAAAGAAAAATCTAAACACGTAGCATACTGACTGAGTCATCTGTCCTGCCTGGCTGCCCCACCCCAAATCACAAGACACCGAGTACTGCCCGGCCAGCCTTGATGACCATACATGGATGGCTTCCTCCAGGCCTCACTGTCAACAGCCAACCTTCGAAACAACGGAGTAGCCAGCCATCTCCTTGTTGAAGGTTATCCTTAGGTGACTGTGTCTTTCACTTTGGTTCAAACCAGGAGACATTTTGTTGTGTAACTTGACTCACCTCTCAAGCACGTGTAGACCCTTTGCCCTGGTGGCCAGGGGCCCTCGAGACAGCACTCATGCACCACAGAAGTGATCCATGGGATCCTGAGGGCCTTGTAGAAGGGGTCTGGGTAGGGTTGGACAAATGAGGTCAAATTAAAAAATTAAAGTTAAGAAAGCAGATCAGAGAAGAGTGAACAAAATGTTTTAAGAGGAACAGTGACAGATTCTTAGTGAAATGATTGTCATCTACTTTCCCCCAACCATTTGCCCATCCATCTGTAGTTATCCTTCGGTCAGCATCCTTGGCACAGTCACCTTATGGAATGGCAGCTGAAGCCCTGGGCCCCGGTGGGGCTAATGCGCTCAATCTGAGACGAGCATAGAGCCCAGGAACTTCTTCCCTTACCCAGCTCCGTTTTGTCTCCTCTTATGAAAGTCATCAGAAACAACCCCAAAGTGTCCTCGGCACTTTTGACCTTGTTGGCCCTCTCCTCGCAAGCATTTGACAGAGTTGAAACTGTACTCTCCTGGGTGATCAAGCCGGCTCAGCTTCTTTTGTGGGTTCCTTTTCTCTCCCTGCCTCTTGCCCAAACATCAGCATCCTCTTGAGTTTGGTTCCTGGGCTCTATGCTAGTCTCAGATGGAGCACATCAGCCCCACCAGGACCCAGGTCTTCAGCTGCTGTTCCGTAAGGTGAGTGCTCTTTGTCTCCATCTTCTCAGGCCTCTGTTAGCAGCAGCAGCCATATGCTTTCATCTGTTTACTGGACATCCTCACTTGAGTATTCCACTGGCACCCCAGAGTCAATGTGCTCAAGACTGGACACATACACCCTCACCCCCTGACGGAATTCTCCTTCTCCCACCTCACTTGGTGCAGACACCATGGCATCATCTTAACGATACATCTTAGCAATGTTTATCATCAGTCACTGTGCTGACACATTACACTGATTTTCTCATTTAATCCCCATAACAACTCTGTTATCTGTATTTTTTTTTTTTTTTTTTTTGAGACAGGGTCTTGCTCTCTCATCCAGGTGGGAGTGTGGTGGTGTGATCCTAGCTCACTGCAGCCTTGAACTCCTGGCTTCAAGTGATCTTCCCGCCTCGGCCTTCCAAAGTGTTGGGATTACAGGCATGAAGTACTGCGCCTGGCCTATTATCCCCATTTTGAACATGAGAAAGTTGAGGCTTAGGAGGCTGAGATGCTTGTTCCCCAGCTCTTAGGTGGCGGGGCTAGTGTTAGCACCTGGGAAGTCTGATTGAAGAGCCGCTGAGCCTGACCTCTGTGGCCCACTGCCACATCTGCCTGACTTTAGAGCTTGAGCTCTTAACCACATCACTCTCTGCACAAATAGCAGCCCCCCAGCACCCCTAGCATCAGCACCACCACATCCAGTGCAACACCACGCCCTAGTAAATCTCCCTTCGCACCTGTGGCCACTGTGTCAGCTCAGACCTTCATCGATCTTCTTCCTCCGGCCTAACTGGTCTCCCTGTCTGTGGCCTCACCTGTTTCAGTGTGTCCTCCACACTTCTGCCCAGGCAGATTCTAAAATGTACATTTGATCATATCAGGTTCTTAATGAAAACTCTTCACGTTAAAGTCAAAATCCTTAGGTTTGCACTCAAGGTCCTTTGTGGGTGGACTCCTGCTTTGCTCTCCAGTCTCCCCTCCTACCTCAAAGAAATTCTCAGAGGGCAAGGGTTAGTCATACTCATCTTTGCTCCCCAGCCCTAGCACCAGCATTCAGTAAATGTTTGTTGAATGAATGAACGAATGCATGCCAGCCTTCTTTGATGCAAACTTTAATTAAATTTCTCTTTTCTAGATCCCAAAGGAAGCAAGTACTTAAATATTATAAACAAGTGATAAAAATAAAGGAAAATGCAGAAACTCTGGCCAAGTCCTCACTCCTCAGGAAGCAACTGAGCATCAGCCTCAGCGATACGTTGTGTAAATTAGGTAATCACGCCCTTCTATTTGTTATATGCAGGTGACTTTTCCCTTTGATTCACCTCATACTTCGCTTATTTTTAAAAAGTCTCCATTTTTGAACCAAGCAACTCCTGTTTCACAGACTTTAAACTATTTTTGCTACCTACTTATGTTCTCCTAGTAGGAAAGGTATCTCTTAAAATCGTTTCCATCCCATTTTTCATTCTTTTGTAGGCTGAGCTCCTTGCTTGACCACACTCCTCCCCCGTCAGTGTAGGTTCCCACCTTTCTTCCACTTCTGTCCTAAGACATTGTTTCTACTGTATATGAATAGCTTTCCATACCTTTTCATCTGTGATGCTAAAGTAACATGTGACCAGAAATAACGAGATGGCTTTTCACAAGGGCCCACCCTTGATTTTAGCTGTAAGACATAAGTCTCGGCTGTGCGCAGTGGCTCATGCCTATAATCCCAGCACTTTGGGAGGCCAAGGCAAGGTCACTTGAGGCCAGGAGTTTGAGACCAGCCTGGCCAACATGGTGAAACCCTGTTTCTACTAAAAATACAAAAATTAGCCAGGCATGGTGGCACACGGCTATAGTCCCAGCTACTCAGGAGGCTGAGGCGGGAGAATTGCTTGAACCAGGAGGTGGAGGTTGTGGTGAGGTGAGATTGCGCCACTGCACTCCATCCTGGGCAACAGAGTGAGACTCCATCTCAAACAAAACAAAACAAAACAAAACAAAACAAAACACTATCAGGGGTCCTGTCGTCTCATTGCCACAGGGCATTATCTGTTCTTCAACCAAAACAAGTAATTTTCAACCGGGGTGATTTTGCCCCCCAGGACGAAAGTCTGGAGAAATTCCTGATTGTCGTGACTGGAGCTGGGAGGGAGGTTAGGAGATGGGAGTGCTACTGTTATTTAGTGGGTGGAGGCCTGGGATGTGGCTGAACATTTTACAATGCCCAGGAAAGCCCCTCACAACAAAAAATTATCCACCCTCAAATATCCACCCTCAGTAGTGCTGAGGTTGAGAAACCCTGACCTAAACCAGCTGCTTTTCCCAGCTTGTGTGCTTATCATCTGTTTTACAAGAAAACATGATTGCTTTCAGGATAGTCACTTGCTGAGGAGGAAAAAAGCTTTAAATGCCTGATACCTGTAGGAAAGAATATTTTCAATGTGTAAATTTGGGAATGTGTATGTGCATTTTTTTTTTCACTAAATATTTCTACGCTGAAGCAGTTTTACAAACAGAAAATACAGATACAAATTTAGAGAAAGTTTATGGACAAAGAACTAGTATATTTAATCTGATCGTTTCATATAATATTCTGTTATGTAACAGTTTTCGTGTCTGGTCTGTGATGGGAGGATAATATATTCATTTACTTTCAGATATGAAGGCATCTGTAATAGTAGCGATTGCAGTGTTGTTTTTTTTTTTTGTGACTTCTTAAATAAGTCTACATTTCAGTTTTGCAGTCTATACTCACGGTGGTTAGACCAAGCATTTTTATGTGAGGAGTCATCTCTTGCTGCTATTTCTTGCCGTTATCTCCTGCTGTTGATTGAAGTTGATTCCTTTAATATAAGGCCCACTTCTGGCCCACAGGAACGTTGTAGATGGTTAATCCAACTGCTAATGTGAGATTTGTGTGCTGTGGTTTCAATTGGTGAATGGTGAGAGCAAATCAATATCTTCGGTACACAAAGGCAAGAGTGGAGGGAGGGAAAGTAGTCTGTTTATGGAGACCTCTGAACCAGCTGTCCTTCAACATGTAACAGGTATTTTTAGTTTTCCTACCTTTAATGGAAATTTTCTATCTAAATGGAAATGTGCCTGAGTGGACTCCATAAAATAAGAAGTAAGCCAGAGCCGCAAATTGTTGGGACTTCTCACCATTAATCATTTTTAAACATGTCTTAGGCCCGCTGCAGTAAAAAGTGTTACCAAACATTAGTCCTCAAAGCAGTTCACTTTGAGGTCAACAGCTATGTATTTTTCATGGGAGTTGGATTATATTTTACTATGTATAATATAATATACATGTATAATTATGCATACTATGGTATACATATAATTACGCTGCATTTATTCAGCAAGTCTTTAAGTACTTTATACCTTGTAATGCATATCAGAATGATATGGTGGTATTATCTTACCCAGCTAGATTGTTGATCTGGGGTGGTTTGGGAGAATAATTTACGCTATAAAGAAAAACAATTCAGCTGGGTGTGCTGGCTCGCGCCTGTAATCCCAGCACTTTGGGAGGCCTAGGTGGGAGAACTGCTTGAGCCCAGGAGTTGAGACCGGCCTCTGAGCAACATGGCAAATCCCCATCCCTACAACAAATACAAAACATTAGCTGGGCATGGTGGCTCGCACCTGTAGTCCTAGATACTCAGGAGGCTAAGATGGGAGGATAACTTGAGCTAGGGAGGTCAAGGCTGCAGTGAGCCAAGATCCTGCCATTGCATGCCAGCCTGAGTGACAGAGTGAGATCCTGTTTCAAAAAAAAAGAAAAGAAAAACAATCTATACCCCTGACCCCCAACCACCCACTTGATGTTCATAGCATGAAGCCACCCACCTGAAGGCAACTGAAATGATTGCTTGCATCTGCCTTTGTGACTTTGGATTGTGGCTCATATGCGAAACTACTATTAATATTTGCTTCCTTTGTTTGTAGCTTGTCTCCACTGTGGGGCAGATCCTTGGGTGCCCTGCAGGGGAGATACCCATCACTTTGAAGTGGTCCCCTAGATTATCCAATGTGACTTTTATGAATGCCATGTGGCTTGTATTTTAATTCATCCCAAACATGCCTTCTAAATTTGGTAAAAATCTGTCTTGGTCTCTTCTGGATGCAGTAGCAGATAAAGAGACAAATAGACACTAGGTTGCCCATGCTCAAAGGATTGTACTAACTGCTCTGCAGGATACAAAAACAAAAAAGATAACTTCTGTCTTCAACTTCAAGCAACTTATTTTTTTTGTTGTTAGGTGGCAATATAAACCTATAATAAAAAATATAGCACATTAAAGATTTAAAGCATAGCCTGGCTGGAGGGGATTGAACTGAGTTTTGGTTTTATCTTGGCCATAATCAGCTGTGTGACCTGCAGCAAGTCACAATGCCTCTGGCCCAAGTCTGTCCCTGGCCCCACATCATAAGATGTGAAGGGGATCAATTGAGAGCTGTCAAGAGGGGCTATGAGGAAGCATCGGGACAGAGGAGGTGTGTGGAGTGGGAGATAAACAAGAAGAACAGGCAGTGGTGGGAGAGTTGAATCAGTGTGCTGATTTGAAGGAAATTCTCTCCTGTAGGGAAGTGGCGACTTAAGACTGAGGAAGGCTTGGGGGCCAGTGATCCTCTAATGGGCTTGTTCTATTTAGGAAATTGTTTTGGAAACTCTTGAAAATTGTTTACAGCTCATCAAGGCTGTCTAAAGTCTGTCCACAAATGTGCAGTGAAGAGTTCCCTGTCCATCTTATGGAATTTAACCCTTACCCTTGTCACCCTCTAAGGTACTAAAGTAAGTAGCACAGGTTGAGCATACTTAATCCAAAAGTCCAAAATCTAAAACTTTTTGAGTGCTGACATGATGCAAAAAGGAAATGCTCATTGAAGCCTTTCAGATTTTGGAGTTCTGGGATTAGGGATGCTCAACTGGTAAGCGTGATGCAGATATTACAAAATCTAAAAAAATCAGAAATCTGAAACCCTTCTGGTACCAAGCATTTTGGATAAGGGATACTCAACTTGTACTTTACTACTTGAAATTATATATTTATCTGTTCACTAGGGGTTTTTTTTTCATCTCTCTTGCTATAAAGAAGAGACATGATCTGTCTTCTCCACCATTGTATACCATGCTCTTAGAACAGTGGGTGGCACTTAGCAGGTACTCATAAACACTTGCCAAGTGAATGAATGTAGGATAGAGGAAATGCCTTAGCTAATTCAGATTTACCCTCCCACTTTAGAAGTGCAAGTATTGATTATTAAGGGCATTTGAATGTTAATTACTTATATGCTTATCATTCATTTATTAATTATAATATTTACTGCACCTATTAAGTGACAATCTCTATGTTAGTTCCTGGGAGTATAACAATGAACCAGACCCACAGAGACCAACACTGCCTTCCCTGAGCTCACATTGGGGGAGAAGGCTGTCAGGCAACTTAAATACACAATTTAACTGCAATTGTGGAAAGTGTTACCATGGAGACAGCAGTTAGACAACTAAATACACAATGGCTTAACTACAGTTGGGGAAAGTGCTATCATGGGAAAATACAAGTACTAACAGGTGACCTTGATCTGTCAGATGGAGGGGCGTGGGTTGGGGATGCATCTCAGGAAGTGATGCTGAAATTGGATCTGCAGGATGAGAGGTGGCTCACTAGTAGTGGGAGAGAGGGAGGAGAAGAGTCATCCAGGCAGTAGGAACAGAATTTTCGAGGCTGGGAGGAGTTTTAAGGGCCCGGAGTGCAGAGAGCAATGTGGGGAAGGAGGTGCACAAGGAGGATATTGGAGAGGTGTTGGGAGGGCTGGGTCACAGCCCTCTCAGGCCCAGTCAAAGATCTGGGGTGTTACCATAAGAGCAACTGAAACCAGTACAGGATTTTTGCAAAGTAGGTAAGTGTGAGGAACCCAGAGCCTTTCCTCTAGCATAATCTTCACAAGAGCTTTCTAATATTGTATTCTAAGATCATTTTGTGAATCCAGAATCCATGAAAGAGCACAAAGGACATGTTTGTGACACTCATTTTCTCTTCCTTTCTGAGATGCATATTTTAACCTCTCAAACAGACTGTGAACTCCTGAGGGCAGGGGCCTTATTATGTATTCTTTGCATCTTCGAAACATCAGAAACAGTGCTAGCTGTACGTAGATGGGGCTCTGTCACTGTAGGTAGGCTGAGAAGTGGATAAGCAGGTTCTTTCTGGGTAATTTGTCTTGGGTTATCCAGCAGAAATGATGGCTCTGCTCCAGGCTAACAGTATTGAAAGAAACAACCCAATTGTACTTTTGTCTATGGAAAACAATGATCTTCAGATGACTTTTCAGATTTCATTTTAGAGTTCAGGTTAATGAAAATTGCTAGCTTGAATGTCATGACACCTTTCTTGATCTTTTATTATTTTACTTTTTTTTTTTTGAGACAGTCTCTGTCACATAGGCTCTGGAGTGCAGTGGCGTGATCATAGCTCACTGTCATCTCAAACTTCTAAGCTCAAGTAATTCTCTGGTCTCAGCCTCCCAAGCAGCTAGGACTATAGGCATGCGCCACTATGCCTATTTTTAAAACATTTTTTGTAGAAATGAGGTCTCGCTATGTGACCAGGCTGTATTATTACATTTGAGCAACATGTATAATACAGTGTAATCTTCCAAGGGGTATGAAAATAGTGGGCTTCCAGCAATTTTTGATAATTAAGATTTTAATTATAAAATCACATTTTTATATGAGATTATAGTAAGCACATATTGAGATGACAGATTTGTGAGAGGGTGACAAATCCAGTTTCAAGTACAAATGTTAACCTAATAAGACTGTTAATTCTAGAGATTTTAGTGGGAGCCCTAACTATAAAATGAAGATTTTTGTGATTAATGTTCCAAGCTACCTCTGACACAGAGCAATCTCATTGCTCTCCTTTGATGAGTGTTTTACATTTGGCTATTGAGACACCACATAAGTGGGAGAAAAGAACAGAAATGTGGCTTTTTCATGTTCCATTATATCAAGCTGAGTGTTCTGTACTGAACTGTTTGTTTTGGATGAAGTGTGGTAGATGAACATTATGTTACTTCTCTCTCCCTGGGATTCTGTTTAAAAGAAATGCCAACCGTCTTAGTCAAATTTAGAAAGAAGAAATTAAACAAAGGCTCTAGTGTCTAGTGGGTGACTCTTAGCCCCTCTGAGAGTCAGTCCCTTCTCTTTGTTTCATTTTTAAATTCCCTCTCAGTCCCTTCTCTTTATTTCATTTTAAAATTCCCAGCTCAGCCAGAACCCTCTTCAACTGTAGCAGTTGGTCTCTTAATCCAAGTCAGATAAATGATACAGACAAACCTTACATTTTAACTTAAATATAAATCCATTCTTTCTCCAGACTTTTAAATGTGTAATTAAAATATCTCTCTCTCTTTCTCTTTCTCTCTCTTTAATGGGTCCTCTGATTGGAATTAGATGTCATCTTCTCAAAATACATCACCCTCCATTTCTAGTTTTGGTTTCTGAAGGGTGACAACAATTGTGATGCAGTCTGTGTGCAGTATCCTTCTAAGTTGCCGCCTTTTTCCCCCTCAATCTTTTGCAGTTATCTTGTCCACTCACAATTTGGACTTATTTTTCTTAGCAGCTCAGGGTATTGAGCCTTTCCCAAGAATTCAGTCTGGTTTTCAGAGAAAACAACTCCTTTTTATCTCATACTCATATCTTATTAGTCTGTATTGCAGTCAGTTAAATTACCTAATTAGATTGACATACTCAATTGACTCTGGGGTATACCAGAACCCAACTGTTGGGAATAGAAGTATGCCAGCAAAGTAGAGATAAGCCTGCTAGCTGCAGGCATTTAGTGTTACCTGGACATTGGGGAGTATGTTTTATAGAAGAAATGGAGAATCCTGGTTAATCCAGAAAACCAGTTTATGTGTGTTAACAGAGCTTACTTTTTATTTGTGTAGGCTTAATCATTTTTAATAGTTTATATATTGTAAACCGTATTGGGTGCAAAAAAAATGTCAAGTAGGCCTCATAAACTTAGAAAACTTTTAAACCTGGAAAGGGCTCTAGAGGTCACTGAACTAATTTTAAAGCTGAGGGAATAGCAGATACATCACATGACCTGCCCCAGTACATTTGATCAGAGAATTCTATGGATTAGATATTATAATCATCGAGGCTCACAAAGACCAGGCACAGCTAGTAAGTAGATCTCAGACTTGGCATCCATTTCTCTGACCCCAGTCCCAAGCCCTTCCCGCTGTTTGTGAACTCTAGGAGTTTGTGGTCTTGTTGGGGTGACAAGCACATGAAGAGAAGTGCAATCCAATGTGTTATGTACTGTGACGGACATTGGAGAGGGCACAGGGATGCACAGAAACGAGGCAAGAAGGAAGGCTTTCCAGAGACAGTGGCTTGGGCTGTGAGTTCTGACAGGTGCCTGGTGAAGAAGTTCATGAGGAGCATTTTAGGTAAGGAGAATCAGCATGAACAATGTCAAGGAAGGGAGAACTTGGGTGGTTTGAAACTCTGGAATGGGGAGAGTTGGGGAATGATGCTGAAGGAATCAGCAAGGTTTACCAGGCTCAAGGGCTTGACAGGGAAGCTGCTGTAGGATTTCCAGCACTAAGGGGCATGAGTAAGTTTGTGTTTAAGATAAAACAATCTTGTGACCAAATGGGGGATGGAATTGGTAAACTAAGAGGGGATGGTAGAAATAGAGAGAGAGTGTCAGATTTGAGACTTAGTAGGTAAATCCAACAGGCTTGGTGCTTGATTGGATGTGGGAGGTGAGAGAAAGCCAAAAGCATTTCCCAGTTTACAACTATATCATAGGTCAGTGCACCTGGGTTCATGATGCTGTTGGCATTGCAAGAGAGGGAGCATAGTTTGGTAGGGTGGGGTGGGAGCCACAGTGAGCTAATTTGGGGCCTGTTGAGTTTGAATTTTCTATCTAAGTAGAGACATTCAGTAGGCAGTAGGACATATGAGTCTGGTGCTTAAGAGCTTGAAGACTGAGCCAGAGAAAACATTTGGGAGTCCTTAGTGTACACTTGCTGGCTCAACTCAGTAGAATGGTTGAAAGAAGCAAGAAGAATGTAAGACAAGACAATGGCCAGAGATAGAACTTGGAAGAATGCCAGTATTTAAGGGGTGAGAAGAGGAAAGGGCTGTAGTAAAAGATGAAGAATGGCTCCAGAGGCAGGCCAAGAAGCAGTCAAATCAATGAAGCCAAGAGTGGAGAGTGTTGAGAACTGACTGCCAGATTGAGTACGGACCGCTGTGTTTAGCAACACAGAGATCACAGGGAATGTTCAATTTTGGTGGTAGAGACAAAAGCCTGTTTAAGAGAGAACAATCTGTTCCCTCTGCTTAAAGGTGGGGCTCCTGCACAGGCCCGTCTCCTTTAATTGGTGCAGTGAGTTCATGCAGAACTGGGGGAAGACAACAGAGGACGCTACTTGCCATCTGCAACCAGGTCCTTTTGGGCCAGACTAGGCCACGGTTTCAGTGGAGTGGGGTAGGGGAAAGGACCCCTTAACCTCTTTTACTGTTTTCTTTGGAGCAGAAATTGAGGGCCCATGGAGACATCCAATTGCAACCTTTTACTTTATTTGGGACAATGATACACAGCTTTTTCCCTAACCTGTTTATAGATACACACATTTATGGAAAGAATAAGCAAACACTTCTAGGTTAAGTTCATAGTTTAAAAAAAAAAGAATGAGCAAACACTTAGTTTCTCAAACTTAAGGATTTTGGACAAGGAAACTTTAGACACAGCCTAATTATCAAACAAAAAGAAACGTTCAACAAAGAGCCTTTAGATAGTGCCAGGCCTTCCTTCCTCTTTACAATTGCAGCCCATCTTCTAGAATCTAGACAGAGACTATGGGCTGTGATTGTCCTCACTTCTTAATCCCATTCGCTCCCAGCACAGAATAACTCAGTGGATGCTGCCCAGTAACGAACTATCCCTCCCAGGGGTGGTTCATCCACTGAGTTATTCATTCAGGGAAACTTCCTGAGACCTCTGTCAACACTGGAGAGATTTCACTGTCACCTGGAGACAACTGCCTGGATTGTTGCTGTTGGCCTGGGAAAAAAGTAAACATCTCTCACGCTGGACTGGCATTGCAAAAATCCACCTGTTAGGTGACAGCAAATATTATGTGAAGCAAGAGGAACAGGACTTAATTTTAATTTCAGTAGAATAAAAATTAGGAAAAATTGTGCTTTAGAAGAGTACTTAATAGGATAGAGGACTATCTTTGGATGAAATATCTTGTTTTGTTTTTCTAAGGAAATAATAAATATTCCACCATCTTTTTAATGTTAAGCACTGAAAATAAAGTGGGGAGACTAGGAAAACTTACTACTTAAAATCTGAGAACAGATTCGTAAGAGTGTTCCTCGGACCTTCCCCCCATCCCCACCCCCAATTCACATTCCACTGGAAATAAGATGGGTGTGGCTCTGTCCAGAAGTACAACATAGAAAAGGTAACTGATGCTTTCTTTCTAGATGTATTTTTATGGAAAATCTTCCCTGGAACCAACAAAACAGGAAGAATAGTGTTCTCTTTTCTCACTTCTAGAAGTTATGGTCCTGGATCCTAGGGACCTGAGTTGGAATCCCAGTTCTGCTATCTTCTTGGCTTGTGGACAATTGAGACTCTCTGAGTCTCAATTTTCTTACCAATCAAGTGGTTATAATATAGTCTACCTATAGGGTAATTGTGAAGATTTAATGATATAATATACACAGAACAGCCAATAGAGTACAAAATTAAATGTTAGGTTCCCTCCCCATCCAGGGCAAAGGTTTGAGGTGGGAAGAGGTTCAGTGACATCTCTCCAATTTAAATTCACCCATTCTGGTCTTTCCTTTTTCCTGGGTTGGGAGAACTGACTGGGTTGACCCAACTGGTACCAGCTCCAAGAAAAATGGAATAAACTGGGGGTGGGGATGAGGCAAGAATGTCCTTTCCCTGGCTTGCTTGCCGCCTGAGTCAGATTGCATCCAAGAAAGTTCTGAGGTCAAAGCTATAGGTCAGGTCTAGAATGGGTCACCAGGGAAAAGGGGCATGAGGAGTTGTGTGTGGCCAAGAGAGAGGCGGGTAGCAAAGGCATGAAGTAGTGTATGCAAAGGGCACCAGAAACTTGTCCGCATGAAAATCTCAATCCCATAGCAAGTCAGATTCTCTTCAGGGGACTTGGGCAGAATGAAGAGAGTCAGTCACACCTGTGAATCTGGTTATTGGTGCCCAGAGAATCTCTGAGGATGGGTTCTGTGTTTGCCACCACATGACACATCCAGTTTCTATTTTTCTCCACTTTTCCTTTTAAGGCCAATGCAACTTGGTCGTCAAGAACAGGGTAATTCACAAGTGTCTTCTGCTGAGCTAGACTGAGGCACCTGGGAACATCACAGGGAGTCATGAAAATAGTTCAAAAAGAAGAAACATAGTCACAGATCGCTAAGCAGAGACAGCAGCTGAAATTTCCTATAGGATTTCCAGAGAAAGCTTCAGGCAATGTGAGATACAGAGTCTGATCCACGAAGCAGAGCCACAGAGAGAGAACATCTCTGCGAGCAGAAGCCACGGCTGATATTCAGAAGCACAGTCCAGAATGGGGAAGAGGCAGCCTAGTGTAGCAGTGCAGGGCACGGACTTGGGGATGAGGCTGACCCAGGACTGTTCTTCCATGAACTAGAACAAGTTCCTTAAGCTCATCCAGCATGCTCATCTTTAAAAGACAAGTAAAATGAAACAGGCACTAAAAATTCTCTGGAAGGACACATTAGAAACTAACGTCAGTGATTCCATTTTAGAAGACTGCACAGATGGAGACAGAGAAGGGAAAGACACTTTTCACTTTACAGTTTGATACATTTTCATTTTTGAACCAGGTGGACAGGTGATGATAATTTATACCTTATAAGATTACACAGTCCTGACAGATGGTATTTATATATATTTGCTGTTATTGTTGTTAACACAGGAACACTGACTGGGTCATCTGTCAGTGTTTTTAGCCTTTACACAGGCAGCAGTCTCTTTATCACATTTCTAAGCAGTGCCTTACACACAGCAGCCTTACGTTATGTTTATAATCAATGGTATAAGTTCAGCCCCTTAAAAGCAGTCTTGTAAATGGGTAAAATGAATAAATAAGTACCATCTGCAAGTTAGATTGTAAAATGGATTGTTTTTATTTTAACAAATTTTAGAGAATTCAATTTTATTATTATTATTATTTTTTAAGATGGAGTCTGGCTCTGTCACCCAGGCTGGAGTGCAGTGGCACGATCTCGGCTCACTGCAACCTTCAGCTCCCGGATTCAAGTGATTCTCCTGCCTCAGCCTCCCAAGTAGCTGGGATTACAGGTGCGTGCCACCACGCCCAGCTAATTTTTGTGTTTTTGGTAGAGACAGGGTTTCGCCATGTTGGCCAGGCTGGTCTTGAATTCCTGACCTCAAGTGATCTGCCCGCCTTGGCCTCCCAAAGTGCTGGGATTACAGGCATGAGCCACTGTGCCAGGCTGAGAATTCAATTATTGACTGTGGCAGTTTGAAAATTTTTTCTCAATTTTTTTATTTTGATAAATTTCAAACCTTCAGAGAAATTTCAAGAATAGTGTAGTGAAAGGTCATATAACCTTCACCTATCTTCATCAATTTTTTTTAAATTGTAATTATTATTTTTTATAGAGACAGCGTCTCCCTATGTTTCCCAGGCTGGTCTCAAACTGCTGGGCTCAAGGAATCCTACCTCCTCAGCCTCCCAGAGGGCTGGGATTACAGGCATGAGCCACCCACCATACCTGGCCCACCAATTGTTAATATTTTGCCACATTTGTGTTCTCTCTTTCATATACAGGCACAGACACATATATACATATTTTTTTTTCTGAACTATTTGAAAGTTAGTTGCAAACATGACACTTTTATCTCTAAATACTGTACTTCAGCATATGTCTTCTGAGTACAAGGACATTCCCCCATATAACCACAATAATCAAACCCAGGAAATTTAACTATTACCTAAGACTATTATCTAACTATAGTCCATATTCAAATTTCCCCAAGTATCTAGTAATGTCCTCTATACCTGTTAACTTATTGAGGATCTTGCATTGCATTTGTCTCTTTTAGTCTAGATTTAAGTACCTTTGTTTTGTCATTATGACATTGACTATTTTGAAGAGTTGAAGTCAGGTTCCATCCTCCCATCCCTATCGCAATGTCCTTCAATTTGTATCTGTCTGATTCTTTCTTTCTATTTTTTTGAGACAGGGTCTCACTCTGTTGTCCAGGCTGGAATGCAGCAGTGCAATCTTGGCTCACTGCAACTTCGGCCTCCTGGTCTCAAGCGATCCTCCCACCTCAGTCTCTCAAGTAGCTAGGACTATAGTCACATGCCACCATGCCCAGCTAATTTTTGTATTTTTTGTAGAGATGGAGTTTTGCCATGTTGCCCAGGTTGGTCTTGAACTCCTAGGCTCAAGTAGTCTACATGTCTCAGCCTTCCAAAGTGCTGGGATTACAGGCATGAGCCACTGTGCCCAGCCTGATTGTTTCTTTATGATGAGACTCAGGTTAAATATTTTTGGCAGAATATTACAAATAAGTCATGTTTCAATGCCACCTTTTATAAATGTTTCTTATCCTTCTCTTTTAAATGTGTGAAGCCAGGAATAATAAAAAGTCTAATAATCTTATTTTCAAATATCTAGCAGGTCATTTATTGGCAAGTGACTCTTGTCATCACGTCATGATTGAGGCAGTAGGCTATTTATACAGATCAGTTGATTTAAGGGTGATCCACCTGGGATCTTCTCATTCATCAATCCATGGAATCCATGGAATCCTGCAGTGAGTTTCTGTTTCATGTTCCAAACAGAAATATGCTTCTGGTTATTCATGCTATATATATGACCTCTTGACAACTTTTGATCTTTTGCAGCCTTCTGAGAGAAATTGAGTGGATCCGGAGCCGGAGATATTGGCCTCAAGGTATGAGCCAGCAACATTCTGAGGGTTCTAGGAATGGCTTCTCATTATGGGAGCACTTGGTTAAATTAAACTACCACAGTGCTCAGAGTTCTAATACAGTGAGCTCTGCAATGTGCATGAATGCAGATAAATTACACAGGGCTAGAAGAATGGACTTGGCACCTCAGACAATTTCAGATAAATCAAAATGTGCTCCTGGAAAAGGGAAAAAGAAACCCATTATTTGCATATCTGCCGAGGAAAAGATACAACGGAAGACACAAAACAATGCTGAAATATGGAATGGCTCAGGAAAGGAAGCCTCAAAGAAAAAGACAGACTATTCCTCTAACATTTTATCTTTGGGTAAAATGAATGGTTTAATAAAGCTTTCAAGGCAAAGAATTTTGTTAGCTAAAAGTGAGAGTGGAGAAGGCGAAATCACCACCATTTACCACCATCCCCTGCCATGGCCTGTTAGCACAAAAAACCCTGGGGAATCTGAGTTCATATCAGAAAAGTGGCTTTTTCATAGCCCAGATTATATTTCAATATCTCAGAAGTCTTTTTTGCAGAGAAGACTTCACATTGAAACAAAACTGTTGAAGACCTCAAATGATATTAATAAAGAATAAAAATGTATCATGGGCTTTTTGACATCTGTTTTTTCCACTTGTCTTTAATTAGAACTCTTTTATTGGATATTTTGTTCTGAAGTACACAGGAAAGATAATAATCAAGGTCTAGAAATATGATTATTTAGGCACTTAAACACTGTAGCTCATTTTACTTAAGGAGAACAATTTTTAGGTGATTCACATTTCTATGGTAGGTTGATCTCATAGTGTTCCATGTTTCTATGTTGATCTCATAGTGTTCCATATCCAAAAGTATACAGAAGCAATGTTATTAAAATTCTAATTGTATTATTTTTGCATTGCTGTAGTTTATCTATTTTGAATTTATGAATTAATTTTCCATGTGAACAAAATTTACAATTGCTATCACCAACCCTTTTTATGAAACATGAATTAAAAAATATATAATTTGGCATAAAACTAAAACCATAAAGTAAGTTTAAAGTACCAGAGCCCGTGTATTTGATATCATATGTTTTAAACATTTTATTGTCTCATTTTATCAGTGATTTGTAAAACATTAACCATTAACTGTTAAGGATTACTTATTGGCTACTTTCTTCCCTGTCACCCACC
Source organism: Homo sapiens (assembly GCF_000001405.40). Taxonomy (NCBI): domain Eukaryota; kingdom Metazoa; phylum Chordata; class Mammalia; order Primates; family Hominidae; genus Homo; species Homo sapiens. The sequence continues at coordinate 103,843,176 of NC_000012.12, read as the reverse complement.
TAAATCCTACATACTATATGTTAGCAGGCCAAATGGAAGAATGGGTTCAGTTGTGTGGTTTTAGGAAAGTTATTTCATCTTTCTTGGCCTCGGTTTCATTACTGTCAGCCTTCTGTATCTGCAGGTTTGCATTCGTGAATTCAACCAACCATGGATAAAAATATTAGAAAAAAAATCAACAATGAAAAGTAATACAAATAGAAAATACAGTATCACAACTATTTACAGAGCATTTATATTGTATTAGGTATGAAAAGTAATTGAGGCCTGGTGCATTGGCTTGCACCTGTAATCCCAGCACTTTGGGAGGCCAAGGTGGGCGGATTGCTTGAGTCCAGGAGTTCGAGACAAGCCTGGGCAACATGGCGAGACCCCGTCTCTACAAAAAAATACAAAAATTAGCTGGTCATAGTAGTTCACGCCTGTAATGTCAGCTACTCAGGAGGCTGAGGTGGGAGGATCGCTTAAGCAGAGGAGGTCGAGGCTGCAGTGCACTGCGATCATACCACTGCACACCAGCCTGGGTGACAGAGAAAGACTCTGTCTTAAAAAAAAAAAAAGTAAACGAGATGGTTTAAAATATATAGAAGTATGTGTGAACGCAAATACTAGCCATTTTATATAAAGGACTTGAGCATCGCAGATTTTGGTATGTAGGTATGGGGCAGGTGTTCTGGAACCGATTCTCGGCAGGTATAGAGGGATTGACTATATTATAAAATTGGAGAAATTATGGAGTCTGCTTTTCAGGATTACTGAGAGGATTACATGAGATACTGCATACAGCAAGCCTTCAATAAATGGTAGTTTAAACCCAGATGCCACCTTTTTCCATGAAACACCTCCAGACCCCTCCATCCCACAACTGGAGCATACACTAATGCCTTGGGTTATTTGTCTTAAACTGTGTTCCACCCATTTCACACAAGCCAGTATGGTCTCCTTGGCAGAGTGCCAGCCTTGAGGGCCATTCCCCCTACTCCACCTGCTCAAAATTAAGTAACCACAGGACAGCTTGGGAAGTCCTTGCTGCCCGGCGATTTTCAGCAGGGTTCTGGCTGGGCCACATCAGTCTTTCCTGCAGAAGCTCTGTCTGACTCAGTCCACACAGAATTGCCCCCAGGCAGGGAGGTTGCGGTTCATTTGGCTTTAGTGGAACCACAGGCACAGGACGGGTGGAGCCTAGCAGGTTTGAGAGAAGACCTGTGCACCGAGCCGTTAGCGTGGGCAGGGGCAGGAGCTGGGTGACCATGTTCCAATGACCTCTGCCGCCAGGCGGAAACCTAGGCGGGGGGCGGGCATTGGCCTTCCAGGCTGTGTAATGGGAGGGCCCTTCAAACTTACTGAGGTCTTAAGGGGCTGGGATCCTCCAGCCGACATCAGCCCATGAGTGGAACCTCGGCCCAGCCACCCACTCACAGGTCCTCCTGGATAAATTTAAGCTGGGGATCGGGGACGTCTCAGAGGGGCCCCACGATCCAGGGGAGGTCCAGACTGCCATTAATTAGACTGCCAGAGGCCATTAATGCGGAGAGAGGTCACCTTCTAGGGCCGGGGCCAGAGCAGCTGGGGTGGGAGGGGCGCTGTCCTTGTGGCCAGAGCTGGGGGTCAGTCCCAGAAGGCAGGACGAAGGTGCGGCGGAGCTGGGCGGGCGGCGCTGGGGTCGTACCTCATCATTCCATCCCATGTGGCCTGCGCGCCACCACACCACACGGCCACCCCCGCGCCACCCTGAAATTGACCGCAGCAGGCTGGGCGTGGGGCCCCCGGCCCGGCCCCGCCCCGCCCCGTCTCCGCCCCCGTCCCAGACCCGCCCACTCCCCATCGACCCCGCCCCCGTTAGACCCCGCCTCCGGCTCCGCCCACTCCCCGCCCCGCAGCGGCGGGAGGGCAGGCCTGCGCCGCCACGTGTTCCGACGCAGGAGCTGCCCTCCTGCAGGGCAGAGCGCGGGTAGATCTTGGGCCGGGCAGCAGCAGTCGCAGAGCGGCGCGGCGGCGGTGGCGGCAGCAGGCAGCAGGCATGACCATGGCAGCGGCGGCGGTGGTGGCACGCGGGGCCGGGGCGAGGGCAGCGACAGCGGCGGCTTTGCGGGGTGGCTGCGGGACCGCGGCTCGGGGGCGGCCGTGTGCGGGCCCCGCCCGGCCCTTGTGCACTGCACCCGGGACCGCCCCGGACATGAAGCGCTACCTGTGGGAGCGCTACCGGGAGGCGAAGAGAAGCACAGAAGGTGAGTGAGGCGGCGACCCCGCCCCGGCGCCTGGGGCCCCTCCTGCGCGCTCAGCTGGGAAGCGGGCGCCCTAGGACCCGGACCAGCCCAGCTGCGGACCTCCAGGGCCTCCAGTCGCGAACCCCGGTGCCCACACCCCCAGCCGCAGGCAGCATCGCTCCTGCGGAGCGACTCGGGGAAACGGGGAAAAATGCGCTCTAGAAACTTCACAACTCGCGCCTTTCCCCGGTCGGGAAAGCTGTTGTATATATTCTTGGGATTTTTAGCCCGAAATCTGCATCTGAGGGGCTTTGGGCCGCGCGGGGCTGGGGTTCCTCAGGCCTCCCTTGGGAGCCGGCCACTCCCACGCACCGTTAGGTGTTGTTACTCATCAATAGTAATAATAGTAACAGCCGAGTCGGGCTGGCGCAGAGATGCCCAAGAGCGGGGCTGCTGGGGAGGTGGCCGATCCCGAGGCTGGTCTGTTTTCCTTTTGGTGGGGGTGGGTTGGGATGGGATGGGATGGGATGGGATGGAATGGGATGGAATGAGATGAGATGAGATGAGATGAGATGAGATGAGATGAGATGAGCTGTGCGGTGTTTGAAAGAGGAGAGGTCCAGGTGGGGAAGGTTCTGGGTTATCCATTAACCTCGGTGAGGAGGGGATTCTAAGGCTGTGAATGGGAACTTCATGGCCAGGTGCACATAAAATGAGCTTGGCTCGGTTGTTACTACTAATGAACTAATAAATACCAGTGCCGGGCACGTAGATTATCTCTAAATCGTTCCTGTAATCTACGAAGGAGGTTCCACATCCCCATTCTATAGATGGGAAAGGCGAGACTCAGGTTTAAATGACCTGGCCAAGGTGACGCCTGAATTTAGGGACTGTCTCAGCTCCTAACCCACTGTCCTGTTTCCTGTGCTCCGTTGACCATTTGGGAACCAATAATCCATTGTCGCTGTTGCTTCCAAGGAGGATTCAGAACCGAAATTTGTATATTGGTTACTTCTTGTTGTGGAGGTGGCACATAGATAGGGAGAGATTATTTGGTGAGCAAGAACGTTTTATAGGATCACATTTTCCATTTTTTTTGGCCAGAAGTCAGTTTAATGAAAAAAGCAAATTGGAGTGATTTTCAGAGGGGACGTAAAATGACTAGCAATGCAGAATTCTATGAAATGGTGGCTTACTTTCTTAGTTTCCCTTTGCCAAGAGTTAATTTTGCTTTGGCTTTTGAAGCTGTTGTGTGGTATGGTGGAAAGAAGACTGGCTTTGGAGACATTGGGAATTTTGCAGGTCTTAAGAGATGAAAGGAATATAGAAGATTATCAAACCCAGCTTTTGGGCAGGAAAGTTTTTTTTTTAACTTGTAATTCTTATTGAGATAATTGTATATTTACATGCAGTTTAAGAATTAATAGAGGGGCCAGGTGTGAGCTCACGCCTGTAATCCCAGCACTTTGGGAGGTTGAAGCAGGCAGATCTCTTGAGCCCAGGACCAGCCTGGGCAACAAAGGAAAACCCAATCTCTACAAAAAAATGCAAAATTTAGGCAGGCGTCGTGGCTCACACCTGTGGTCCCAGCTACTTGGGAGGCTTGAGTTGGGGAGGATCGCTTGAGCCTGGAAGGTTGAGACTGCAGTGAGTTGAGATTGCAACACTGTACTCCGGCCTGGTTGGCAGAGCCAGACCCTGTGTAAAAAATAAACAGAAAAGGACTAATAGAGGGAGATCTGGCATACACTTTATCCAATTTCTCCCAGTGGTAACATTTTGCAGAACAGTAGTACATTATCACAACAGTATATATTGATACAGGCCACAGATCAGAGTGTCATTTTATTTGTACTTGTGTGTGCACATGCATGAGAGCACAGATGTATTTCTGTACAGTTTTCTCACATGTAGGTTCATGTATCCACCACCACAGTCAAGGGACTGAACAGTTCCTCATAAAGATCCCTCATTCGGTCTTTATAGCCCCACCCATCTCCCCCATCATGTTCTCCCTTGTCCCCAATCCCTGGAGCACTATTTGTTCTCCATTTCTAAAATTTTGTCATTTCAAAAATGTTAGGCTGATGGAGTCATACAGTATGTAACCTTTTGGAGTTGTTTTTTTTCACCAAGTATAATTTCCTGGAGTTTTATCCAGTGTTATGTGTATTGTATCAATAGTGCATTCCTTTTTGCTGTTATTTCATGGTATGTACATAAAACAGTTTAATTGTTTGTTTAACCACAGATTAACTCTATTGAACCATTTACCCATAGTTCAAAGGACATTTGGGTTGCTCCCAGTCTTTGGCTGTTACAAATAAAGATGTTGTAGACATTTGTGTACAGGTTTTTGTGTGAACATACATTTTCATTTCTCTAAATGCCAAAGAGTACAATTGCTGGGTCAAATGGCAATTGCATGTTTAGTTTTATAAGAAACTGCAGGCAAAATTTTTGCCATCCTGATTTATGGATAAGGTTTGTTGCTTGCTGCCTGTGAGAACTGGGAGGTCAAAATAGGCTTGAGTTTCTTCATCTGTAAAATGGGGCTGCAGGTAGCAGTAGCATCATAGGGTTCAGGTGAGCAATGGATGAGTCCATCCATGAAAGGCATTTAGGACAGTGCCTGGCGCATGAGACAGCTGAAGCATGGGATGGGGAAGATCACCTTGTGATATGGTTTGGCTGTGTCCCCACCAAAATCTCAACTTGAATCATATCTCCCAGAATTCCCATGTACTTTGGGAGGGACCCAGGGGGAGGTAATTGAATTATGGGGGATAGTCTTTCTTGTGCTATTCTCATGATAGTGAATAAGTCTTGAGATCTGATGAGTTTATCAGGGGTTTCCGCTTTTGCTTCTTCCTCATTATTCTCTTGCTGCCGCCATGTAAGAAGTGCTTTTCACCTCCCGCCATGATTCTGAGGCCTCTGTGGCCATGTGGAACTATAAGTCCAAGTAAACCTCTTTTTCTTCCCAGTCCCAGGTGTGTCTTTATTAGCAGCATGAAAATGGACTGATACAGTAAATTGGTACCAGTAGAGTGGGGTGTTGCTGAAAAGACACCTGAAAATGTGGAAGCGACTTTGGAGCTGGGTAACAGGCAGAGGTTGGAACAGTTTGGAGGACTCAGAAGAAGACAAGAAAATGTGGGAAAGTTTGGAACCTCCTAGAGACTTGTTGAATGGCTTTGACAAAAATGCTGATAGTGATATGAACAATAAGGTCCAGGCTGAAGTAGTCTCAGATGTAGGTGAGGAACTTGTTGGGAACTGGAGCAAAGGTAACTTTTGTTATGTTTTAGCAAAGAGGTTGGCGGCATTTTGCCCCTGCCCTAGAGATTTGTGGAACTTTGAACTTGAGAGAGATGATTTAGGGTATCTGGTGGAAGAAATTTCTAAGCAGCAAAGCATTCAAGAAGTGACTTGGGTGCTATTAAAGGCATTCAGTTTTAAAAGGGAAACAGAGCATAAAAGCTCCGAAAATTTGCAGGCTGACGATGCAGTAGAAAAGAAAAACCCATTTTTTTTTGAGGGGAACTTTAAGCCGCCTGCAGAAATTTGCATAAGTAGCAAAGAGCCTAATGTTAATTCCCAAGACCATGGGGAAAATGTCTCTAGGCCATGTCAGAGACCTTCATGGCAGTCTTTCCCATTACATGCTTGGAGGCCCAGGAGGGAAAAGTGGTTTAGTGGGCTGGGCCCAGGCCCCATGCTGTGTGCGCTGTGTCCTAGCTGCTCCAGCTGTGGCTGGAAGAGGCCAATGTAGAGCTTGGGCTGTGGCTTCAGAGGGTGGAAACCCCAAGCCTCGTCAGCTTCCACATTGTGTTGAGCCTACGGGTGCACCGAAGTCAAGAATCGAGTTTGGGAACCTCTACCTAGATTTCAGAAGATGTATGGAAACACCTGGATGCCCGGGCAAAAGTTTGCTGCAGAGACGGGGCCCTCATGTAGAACTTCTGCTAGGGCATTGCGGAAGGGAAATGTGTGGTGGGAGCCCCCACACAGAGTCCCTACTGGGGTACTGCCTAGTGGAGCTGCGAGAAGAGGGCCACTCTCCTCCAGACCCCGGAATAGTAGATCCACCGACAGCTTGCACCTGCAGAAGCCACAGACAGACATTCGACGCCCACCCGTGAAAGCAGCTGGGAGGGAGGCTGTACCCTGCAAAGCCACAGGAGCGAAGCGGCCCAAGAGCATGGGAACCCACCTCTTGCATCAGTGTGACCTGGATGTCATGCCGATACAGGATGCATAAACATTCACACGTCCCAAAATCCCAAGTTAAAAAAGGAAAAAGGAAAACATTCCAATTGAGGGACTTTCTACAAAGTATATAACCAGTACTCCTCAAAACTGTAGGTCATCAAAAACGGGGAAAAGTCTGAGAAACTGTTTTAGCCTAAAGAAGCTGAACAGACATGACAACTAAATGTAGTCCATGTAGAGACCTGGAGTCAAAGGAGATCATTTTGGAGCTTTAAAATTTGACTGCCTGGCTGGATTTTGGACATGCATGGGGCCTGTAACCCCTTTGTTTTGGCCAATTTCTCCCATTTGGAATGGCTCTATTTACCCAATACCCGTACCGCCATTGTATCTGGGAAGTAACTAGCTTGCTTTTGATTTTACAGGCTCATAGGCGGAAGGGACTTATCTTGTCTTAGATGAGACTTTGGACTGTGGAGTTATGGTTAGTGCTGAAATGAGTTAAGACTTTGGGGTACTGTTGGGAAGGCATGATTGGTTTTGAAATGTGAGGACATGAGATTGGAGGGACCAGGGGCGGAATGATGTGGTTTGGCTCTGTGTCCCCACCCAGATCTCATCTTGAATACCATCTCCCAGATTTCCCACATGTTGTGGGAGGGACCCAGGGGGAGGTAATTGAATCATGGGGGCTGGTCTTTCCCATGCTATTCTCGTGATAGTGAATAAGTCTCACGAGATCTGATAGGCTTATCAGGGGTTTCCGCTTTTGCTGCTGCTTCATTTTTCTGTTGCTGCCGCCATGTGAGAAGTGTCTTTCACCTCCCGCCATGATTCTGAGGCCTCCCCAGCCATGTGGAACTGTAAGTCCAGTTAAACATCTTTTTTCTTCCCAGTCTCAATTATGTCTTTATCAGCAGCGTGAAAATGGACTGATATACCGTTGGACCAGAGTTTGGGCTTTGATGTGTGACAGTCCGAGGAGGATTTTGGAGTATGACAGCCGTGTTACTTTCCTCTCTGACCTTGGTTTCCTCCATTGCGATATGGGATTAAGGTGGAGATTTTTAGTGTGTGCTTGGCACCCAGCAGATGCTCAGTAGATAGTAGCTATTATTATTAATTATGAAATAACTATCAGTCTTAGCACATTTAGTAAGAGGTGGAGGTGGGTTATTTAGCTCTAGAGTCTGGGTCTCCTTGTGATTAGGGCGGTGCCATAACTAGCTTTGTGTCCTTGAGCAAGTCACCAAATCCCTCCTGGCTTTGGTTTCTGTCTCTGTAAAATGAGGCCACTGCACTAAATAATATCCAAGTCTTTTTAAGTGTTTGAAGTATTCACGTGTTAGAGGTACAGGATTCGGTGGACCCTATCTTCTCTTCATGCCCACAGCACAAATGCATGTGGTCCCTATTACCCCTGAGAATGTGGGGTCATTCATGAGGCTTTTTCTTCTTTGTCTTGTCCAGAACTGCACCATTCCTTCTCTCCTCTTGTTGAAGTCTGTGTGAATTTATGTGCCCAGCTTGAGTTCATCCAACAAGCATTTATTAAGCACCCAGCAGTGGGTTTGAAGGCTGCTGGTTCACAGTTGGATGAGTCTGATAGGGAGGGTTCAACAGCGGCTGAGTTACTGCCTGTACAGAGCTGGGGACCAGTGTTGCATGGATGAGGATTCTGGTAAACAGATGAGTGACATTCTACCTCAGGGGAGGCAAGCAGCGAGGCCCAGGGGCTCAGGGATGCGGGAAATGTGTCTCTGAGGCTGACCCTTGAGCTTTGTCTTGTAGGAAGGCACAGTCAGAAGAAGTACCGATGAATTCATTTAAAACATGTAGATCTCCCCACCCCCAGTTGCAAGAGGACAAAATAATTTTATTTTCTTACTTTCTTTCTGGCCACTTGATCTGTTTCTTTCATCCAAACAATCTGTTCAGGTGTCTTCCCTTTAAAAGGCTCCCAGAGTGAAGCCTGCACAGGGAAAGGATGCTTTTTAAAGCTTTGTTTTATCCTTTCTCTCCCATCCTTCTTGTCATTTTAATTAAAAAGTTTTTTTAAAAACTTTATTTTTTAGATCAGCTTTAGATTTACAGAAAAATGACATAGTTTTTGTAAGCCCTACACCCATTTCTCTTATTAATCTCTCACATTCCTATATTTGTTCCAATTAATGAACCAATACTGATACATTATTCATTGTTTACTCAGTTTTCCTTCGTATTTACCTACCCTCCTTTTTTTCTTCCAGCCTGCCATCCAGGATAGCACACTACATTTAGTTGTCGTGTCTGTTCGGCTTCTTTAGGCTGTAACAGTTTCTCAGACTTTTTCCTGTTTTTGATGACCTACAGTTTTGAGGAGTACTGGTTACATACTTTGCAGAATGTCCCTCAATTGGAATGTTTTCCTTTTTCCTTTTTTAACTTGGGATTTTTGGATGTGTGAATGTTTATGCATCCTGTATCAAACTCAGCTCAAGAAAAGCTTCTTTATATTTTTAGGAAAAGAAATAACTGGTTTAAACCTGTAGCAAAAACATTAGCTGCTGCAGTTTTCCCCTGGAGCAGTGGTTCTCAGTGGGAGCTGGAGGGGCAGTTTTGTTCCCCAAGGGATGTTTGGCAATGCCTGGAGACCTTTTTGTCACAGCCAGGGGAGAGGGGTGCTGCTGGCCTCTAGAGGCCAGGGTTGCTGCTAAACATCCTACAGTGCACAGGGCAATATCCCACAACAAAGAATTATCTGGCCTCAACTGTTGGTAGTGCCAAGGTTGAGAATCCTCGTTCTAAAATGAATTCTAAGAAATCTTCGTGTGATCATAATTGAAAGGGCTGGATATGCCTATGTGTGGTCTCTTCTTTTCTGTTGTGCTTTAATGTTGCGTGTGTCTTCTTTGAACTCAAGCTCTGGCCTTCCAGGTGTGCTCATCAGATACTTGGCCTGTCCTGTTAGGTACAGAATGGAAGCCTTCCTACTCCTCCAAGACGGGTTGCTCCAACCTTATATTTTGTTAGTCGCACGGATTTTTTTTTTTTTTCATTAGAATTAATCTTGGAGCCTGGTTTATTTAGAATGTTTCACTACTTGGCTGGGGTTATAGGCTGTATTAAATTGTGGAAAGAAGTATGGGGATTAGTTAGAAGCTTTTATAGGGTGTTGAAAGATTTATTCAAAGTTCTGGGTGGAGACCATTTACTAATCAGTCAAAAATTATGTGCTGTATTTAGTGAGGACTGTGTCTACATGATGATGTAAGCTTAGCGTGTATAAGCATAAGACACAAGGATAATAATAATTCTATATAATATGTAATATTAAATACAGTGAATAGTAATAGTAAGCATAAGTTCCTCAAGCAACTGCATTGGGTTAAAGATACTCTTGAGATAATTTTAAAATTAGACCAATATTTCTCAGACTGTTTCACAATCTTTTGAGAGATGTGGTTAAAGAGATGTAGAAAATACATGTTAAAGAAGCTTCTTTGTAGCTGGGCTTTTCAGAGCTAGCTTCGGAGCTAGTGAGTCAGAGCCTTTAAAATGAATGAATCTCTAAAATGAATGACGGGGGTAGTAGGTTTAGTGCTTCCCAAGTAAATTTGACTGTGGAGGCCCCTTTTTGAGGTGATAAGTCTATTTTGAGGCTTGACAGAATATACTTGGGAAGTTATAATAATATGCCTAATAAGAACATATGTTGATAATACTGAAAGATGCTTACAACCAGAAATGTGCTTTTTCTACGCAGCAGGGATATAGAGTAATGGAGTCATAGGACCCACTGAGAATCTGGAGAAAGCTGTGTGTTTTTTCTTTATAAAAAGACACATTTGCAGTATTACACATAATACTTGAGCACACACAAATGATTTTGTATATAACTTCAGGGGATTCCAGGGGAATCTTAGTGTCTTCTGGTGACCCAGTGCTCATTTAGTGCTTCTGTTACGCTTTAGGAAAGTTTGAAGGATTGAGCTGTTATGCTCAATGATCCTTATGGAGGCAGAACTCAGCATGGGGACTGTTTTTTAGATTTAAATTTGCTGCTGGGTCAAGAAGCCTGCCTGGAATAATGATATTTTTTGGCCTGACTTTTGCTGCTGAGTGTTATGATTTTCTGTAATTGCCGTGGAGGTGGCTCGCTGATCTACCAGTTGAAAGCTAGAGTTCATTTTCCCCTTTCATTAGGGTGTAAATTCTGGGTAGGGTAAAGAGGAAGTGAAAGGAGAAAAAATACAAAAAGGAGATTAAATAATTTTTTTGCCAGCTTTTGAAGGTAAGACAAATTAAAAAAAAGAATTCAGTGGTCCTCAAACTGATAGGCACATCGGAATCACCTGGGAAGCTTGTTTAAAAATGGAAATTCTGAGGCCCTAACCCTGGAGATTCTGATTCCTAAAATGTGGAGGTAAGACCCGGGAATCTATATTTTTACAGGCCGGGTTTGGAAACCAATCTTTTATTGAACTCTTAAAGACATGTGGAAACAGATGTCCTCTAACCGTCAAGAGTTCTTTTGGACTTTGGCTTTCAGCAGTCTGGCAGACTAGATCGTCTAAAAACCTTTTTGTATAGAATACCCACACGCTGAAAAAAAATATAGAGGACTTTCTCTTGAAGTCATAACTGAACTCTGAGAAACTGGAGAAATCTCAAGGACTAATAATGAAGAGGAAGCCGAGGCCAGGCGTGGTGGCTCAGGCCTGTAATCCCAGAGCTTTGGGAAGCCGAGGTGGGCAGATCACTTGGGGCCAGGAGTTTGAGACCAGCCTGGGCAACATGGTGAAACCCTGTCTCTACTAAAAATACAAAAATTAGCTGGACGAGGTGGCATGAGCCTGTAATCCCAGCCACTTGGGAGGCTGAGGCGTGAGAATTGGCTTGAACCCGGGAAGTGAAGGTTGCAGTGAGCCGAGATCACACCGCTGTACTCCAGCCTGAGTGACAGATTGGGATTCTGTCTCAAAAAAAAAAAAAAAAAAAAAAAGAGGATGCTGAAACCCGAATGATGACCAGCCTTGAAGGTGTGACTGTTCTGGGAACACTTGTTGGCCTTTATTGGTCGTGCCTGCTGGGAGGGAAGACTAGGCATTGGGCGCACACACACACACTGTTGGAGACTCTCCTATAAAACCTGGTGGCCACAGAGTGCTTCCTTCCGTGCAGGGAGACAATAGAGAAACTTCTCTCTTTTGGTCTTTGCTCTAGATATTTTTTCTGTGTGTGGGGGGGCAGGTTTTGGAAGTGTCCCGTGACCTTGTAATCACAAGCTCGTCCTCACATGGATTTGGGTTTGAATTTATTCTTCTTGTATTGTCTGGCAATCTGTATGAGTCCATTCTTTTACATTGCTTTGAAGAAATACCGGAGACTGGGTAATTTATAAAGAAAGTGGTTTAATTGACTCACAGTTCCACATGGCTGGGGAGGCCTTGGGAAACTTAGAATTGTGGCAGAAGGCACCTCTTCACAGGGCATCAGGAGAGAGAATGAGTGCCAGCAGGGGAAATGCCAGATGCCTATAAAAGCATCAGATCTCATGAGACTCACTCACTATCACAAGAACAGCATGGGGGAAGCTGCCCCCATGATTCAGTTACCTGCTCCCGCCCTTGACACATGGGGGTTATGGGGATTACAATTCAAGGAGAGATTTGGGTGGGGACACAGAGCCAAACCATATCACAATCCCAACTGAGAAACTGAGTGATAGTGATCTGGGACTCCTGGTAGAAGCCAGTGCAAACTCTCTGGATAAATAGACCGTAAACCCAGGCCTCCTAGGATTCTCAAGATTAGATCTGAGCTTACAATCCAAAATTTAAAAATACACAAATAAGCCACCATAAGGGAGAACCAGCAGACTCAGCAGACAGCACAATTAATATGAATAGGACTTAAGATATTGGAATTTTTAGGTAAAGAATATATGTAGTGCTATCTATGAGTGTTTGAAACTTTTGGAGAAATAAGAGATGAAATGGAAAATGTGAGCAAAGAATATGAAACTACTAAAATGATCAGACAGGTTTTAAAAAGAACCAAATAGAAATTTTAGAAATTAAAGTTTCAATCTTTAAAATTAAAAGTTTAGTGGAATGATTTTAATTGGCAGATTAGAAAAAGAAGAAAAAAGAATTAGTGGTCTGGGGGATAACTCTGAGAACATTACCCAGACTATAATATAATCAAAGAGATGGATATTATGAAAACAGTTGACAGACTGATAGCGTGAGAGGTCAAACATATGTCTAATTGGAGTTCCAGCAGGAGAGATTGGGAAATGGGGGAGAGAAAACACTCAAAGAAAAAATTGCTCAGAGTTTTCCAAAACAAATGAAAGACAGAATCCTCAGATTTAGAATGCAAAGCAAATCCCAAGCAGTATGAATAAGAAGTAATATATACAAAAGACAAAGAGAATATCATAAAAGTAGCCACAAAGACCCAAAGGCATAGTAGTTAATAGTATAGACCATGGAGCAACATACCTGGGATCAAATCTTAACTTCACCATTTATAAGCCATGTGACCTTAGGCAAATGATGTCTGTGTGTCTCAGTTTCCTTATATGTAAAATGGGGCTAACAATAATACCTGTCTCCGAGGATTGGTAGGTTTAAATGAGTAAATGTATGTAGAGTTTTTAAAATAGCGCCTATTGCGTAGTAAGTTCCTTGTAAATGTCAACCACGATTATTGATAGTATTATTACTACAAAGGACTAGGAGACTGATAGAGTTTTGAACAGTGATAGCAGACCATTCAAGACAGTAGATCACCTCAAAGTGCTGAGAGAAAAATGTCAATTTAGAATTGTATATCTAGCTCAATCATTTAAGAAAGAGTGTAAAGAGACCTTTTTTTTTTTTCTGATTAAAAGCTAAGAGCTTTACCATCAAGGAACTCACTAAAGGAGGAACTTTTAAAGGATGTATATGTGTCAGGAAAAAAAATCCCAAAGGTCTTAGATGGAAGTGAAAATGGAGAAAAAAGAAATTGGTAGAGATGTGAATAAATCTAAACAAATATTGACAATGTTGAAATCAGTCCAAAAGTGGGTAGGAGAAAAGGTAAAAGACACAGAAAAAGCAAGAAATAGCATAGAATGTGATGGGGGAAATATTTCCAAATATATTAATAATCATGATAAACTCAGATTAAAAGACAGATTGTCAGATCAGATACAAGAAACATTCCAGCTGGATGCTGTTTATAAGAGATGTACTCCAAAACAAAGATGTAGAAAGGTTGAGATTAATAGAATGGGAAAAGATATCTTGGGTAAATGGTAACCAAAGAAAACCAGCAAGTTATAAATATCAAACAAATATTGAAATGGTATTAAAGGGAAATACATACTATAAGAAAGGTTGCAAACCACAGTTCATGGGCCAGTTGTAGCCTGATGTCTCTTTTTGTATGTTAAGTTTTATTGGAACATAGCCACACCCATTTGTTTCTGGTTCTCCTTTTGTGCTAGGATGTCAGAGCTGAGCAGTTGCAACAGAGACTATATGCAGAGCCCCAAATATTTACTAACTGACCCTTTATAGAAAACATGTGTTGTCTGCTGAACTAGAACTACAGAAATATACCTACATGGGTGACTCTCACTAGAATAATTTTGAGTAAAAAGGAAAAAGCAAGTATTGCAGGCATATACCAATTACAAAAGGTTTTAAAACACATAAAAATACTATAGATTACTTGTAGGGACACACATGTATGTGGTAAAAGTCTAGAGAAATGCAGGAGAGGCCGGGTTCAGTGGCTTACGCTTGTAATCCCAGCACTTGGGAAGGCCAAAGTGGGCAGATCACTTGAGGCCAGGAGTTCAAGACCAGCCTGGCCAACATGGTGAAACCCTGTCTCTACTAAAAATACGAAAATTAACTGGGCATGGTGGTGCATACCTGTAATCCCAGCTACTTGGGAGGCCGAGGCAGGAGGATCACTTGAAACTGTGTGGCAGAGTGTTGCAGTGAGCTGAGATCACACCACTGCACTCCAGCCTGGGCAACAGAGTGAGACTCCGTCTCCAAAAAAAAAAAATAAAAAGAAAGAAAAAATGCAGGAGAGTGGTAAACACCGAAATCTGGGTAGTGGTAATGTCAGAGGCAGGAGGAGCCTGCAGGTGAGGGTGGAAGGGATTTTATATCCCACTTGGATGGTAGGGATGTGGGTGTTCTTTGTATTATCTTGACCTTTCTTTATGTCTTAGAAATAGCAGGATATATTCTTTAAAAGTCTTCCCCATAGTTTAGGCATATGATGTTGATCCTGTGGTCGTACAAGAAAGTAGTAAAAAGATTTAAGGGAGAAACATGCCACATCATAACTTTCACATTTTCAGATAGGAAAGAAATGCCTAAAATAGGAGAACCTAAGACTCTGGCCAGTGGAGGGGCCTCTGGAGGTCATAGAGTTCAGTCCTCTGCTGGAAGAAGGAATCCCTTTTTCCATAGACTTTATTAGTGGCCATCTGGCATCTGTTTGAGCTTGTTGTGTGATCACAAGGCTGCCCATTTTATTTTGGATGGCTGAGTCACAGAGAGTACTTTTGATTCCCCTTCCATATGATAGTCGCTTAAATATGAAGGTGGTGATCATGCATCATCACTGCAACTCACCTTTGATTTGATCATTTTGGAAGCTCAACTTTGCTTTCACTCTAGTTTGTCAGTATCCCTTTGAAAGTGAACCATTTGTTCCTGACCATGTGTGGTCTGACTGGTTCATGGTGGAGGGAAGCAACTGGCTCTTCCTTGGTGAACAAACACTGTACTTCTGTAACTTTAAAAGTTAATTCGTGTTCAGTTTGTGGTCAGCCAAATCCTGACTTTGTCCTTCTTGTATTGACATGATGTAATTTTAGAGAAGGAAAACAAAAGCTTTAAAAAAATCTTCTTTGCAAATAAGTACTTAGAAGACAATGATAGAATTCTATTATTTTTTAAAAGTCAAATACTACATGTTATATCTAGGAGAATGCAGAGAGAAAGAGAGGCTAGCTGATTGATCAAGCTGGGTTTTATAGGAAATTTTTATACTTTAAAGGATTGGTCCTTAATTTGAGTAACTCTTTTTCACTTCACTAGGGTTTTGAGGAACTGTTTCATGATAAGTTAATTGATAAGATAATGATGTATAAACCTGAATATAATTTTAATTTGTATGTAGAGATGCAACTCTCTGCATAGACTGTAATATTTTGTTCTCATTCGAGCAGAAAAATCTACTTGAGAAACACTACTAGTGAATATTAATCCTTAGCTAAGGTAGCAGACCTTTCAAATGTTTTGCCCTCAGTACTCTTTTATACACTTTAAATTATTGAAGATCCTAGAGTTTCGGTTTATAGATTAGTCTCAAGTAGACTTTTAAATAATGTATTCTGCCCTTATGTTGATAGTGATTGTATTAGAAATTAAAACCCAGAGAATTTTAAGATATGTATTTATTGATTCATTTAATTAATTTATTTTTTAAATAAATTCCCGGGCTGAATTTATTTAAAATTCTGACTCTGACTCCCAGGCTGAAGTGCAATGGCATGATCACAGCTCACTGTAACCTCCATCTCCTGGGTTCAAGCAATTCTCCTGCCTCAGCTTCCCGAGTAGCTGGGATTACATGTGTGTTCTACCACACCCAGCTAATTTTTTGTATTTATAGTAGAGACAGGGTTTCACCATGTTGGCCAGGCTGGTCTCGAACTCCTGACCTCAGGTGATCCGCCTACCTTGGCCTCCCAAAGTGCTGGGATTACAGGCATGAGCCACCGCGCCCAGGCATATGTATTTATTGATTCATTTAAAATACCAGTCTGTTACCTGTCAACATAAATCACATGCTTTTTATGAAAAATGACTATTATCCAAAATAAAAGAAATTTAGAAGAATGTCATGGTTTTATATTTGTGCAAAGTTCTGTGGTGTCTGGATTAATAGACAGATTCTTAAATCTGATTCTGTCTATTGCAGTATCCTCTGGCAAAAGAGGTGAGAGTGAAAAAGGCAGATTGTCTCTGTATTTAATTTTCATTGCTTCTGTAACAAATTACCACAAATTAGTGATTGACAACAGTACAATATATTGTCTTCATAGTTCTGGAAGTTAAAAGTCTGACATAGATCTCACTGGGGTAAAATCAAGGTGTTGCAGGACTGCATTTCTTTCTGGAGGTTCTGGGGGAGACAGTTTTCTTAAGCTTTTCAGTTTCTAGAGGCTCCCCACATTGTTTGTAGCCCCTTGCATTTTCAAAGCCAGCAATGGCTTTCTGAGTCTTTCTCAAATCACATCCCTCTCACACTGAATCTTCTGCCCTCCTTTTCCACACTTAAGGACCCTTGTGATTACATTGGGTCCACCTGGATAATCCAGGCTAATAACTTTATTTGAAAGTCAGCTGATACCAATCTTAATCCATCTGCAACCTTAATTCTCCCTTGCCATGTAAGATAACATATTCACAGGTTCTAGGGATTAGGACGTGGATATCTTTGGAGAGCCATTATTCTGTCTGCCACATCTTACTATGAGAATAGTTTTGATCTCAAAGATTCCCTGGAGAGGAGGTTGGGGAGGTTTCCCAGATTATGCTGGTAACTGCTGATCTAGGAAAAATTATTTGTTGAATGAATGAATAGAAAAAAGAAGGGACTGACAGTTAGGAAGCACCTACTTTGAGCCAAGCACTGTGCCAAACATTTGACCTACCTTGTAATGTTTAATGGCTGTGTGACTTTGGGCCAGCTGCTGCTTAGCCTTATTTTCCCCATCTGCATATGAGGGATTGTAGTATTTACTTCATGGAGTTCTTGGGACATTAATTGAGGTGATGAATGAGAAGAACCCGGTGCACAGCATGTGGATGGCATTTATATAGGCATACATATTTCTTTTCTACTTCCTGTATATTCTAATGAAAAATTTTTGAGTTTGCCTATTTTTTGATCATTCGACATGGCTCTCTTCTCTTCGATAGGGTCTTGCTCTGTTTCCTAGGCTACAGTGCAGTGGCACAGTCAAGCTCATTGCAGCCTTGAACTCCTGGGCTCAAGGGATCCTTCTATCTCAGCCTCCCAATTAGCTACCTGTGCCTGGCTACTTTTAAAATTTTTTTTTAGAGACAGAGTTTTGATTTGCTCCGCAGGCTGGTCTTGAACTCCTGGCTTCAAGCCATCCTTCTGCCTTGGCCTCCCAAAGCATTGGGATTACAAGTGTGAGCCACTGTGCCATGCACAATTTTCTTTTTCTAAGGACTTTTTCCCCTGAAGCTGAATGTACTTTTCTTTTTGATCAGTTCCGTTGATTTTTTTAAAGATTTTTTTTAAAGATTAGGTTGTCATTAAACCATTACTATATTTAATTTTATTTCAAATGTAGTTGTATGTAGTTTTATTTTTGTAACTTCAAGAAGTGTGATGGATTTCTGTGGAGTAGTCAAAATACAGATATTACTTACAGGGTAATAAGAGGTATAATTTTAACTTTTGGTGGGAGTAGTATAAATGTCATGTGCATTATTAGTTAGTCAGATGAGTAATTGTATTTGTCATGGATTGCTTCTCCTCGGAGACGATGCAAAATATATAAACTAATGGAAAAATGAATGTTTCTTCTTAGATTATCAGACACAATGAAACTGACTCTTGAATTGCCTCTTCCCGGGGGGGCATGCCCAGCCCCATGCCAAGTTCCTCTGTCTTGCATCAGTGTGATGTTTGTTGGTCTTCCCCACTGCCTGTGATATTGCTCTGTATTTATAATCCCCATGTGGTGCCCTGTGCACTGTCTGGCACATTGTAGATATGGTAAGTGCTTATTGAAAAGGATTTCCTATGGATCTAGTAAATGAGAAAACCAATTTACAAGGATACTACAGGTTGTATGATCTCACTGATGTAAAATTCTAGCAAATGCAAAGGAATCTTACCAAAAGAAAATGAGTAGGGCCTGGGGCTGGGCAGGGGTGGAGGGAGGGTGGGCTGGAATTTAAGGGAATGTGAGGAAAGGCTAGGGGGTGTTAGGTGCTCATTGCCTTTATTGTGTTGGTGGCATCACAGATGTCTCTGCAGCATATGTCAAACCCCATCAAACTGTATACTTTATGTGCAATTTATTATATTGCACCTCAATAAAACTATAAAGTGAAAATACAGAAATAAGAGAAGGACTCCAGTTTAGCCTGGCTTGAATCTGGTACCCACCTCAGGAGTGGCCCAGCGTGAGTCAGGTGTTCTGCCCTGGACCAGCAGCTGTGACTGGAGGGGCAGGTCCCAGAAGAAACTGGAGAAGAGTCACTTCTTACATAAGGATTGGAGCATGCTGGGCAGGTAACCCTATCAGTGTTCACTTTCACCGTGGAAAGGATACCTTGGGCATTTTGTTTCGTCTCAACATCTGCCATTGGACTGTTGCAGAAGTAAAAATGACTTAAAACAGAGTGGTTATTAGAGATACTGGAGAAAACAGTTTCTGGGTAAAAATTTAAATCTCTTTAAGGTCTAACAGTTACACACTCTTAAGAATTGTCATCTCAACCTTGGCCTTCAAAGTCACACTTTCTATTCAACTGTTTCCTTTACTGTAATGAATTATTAGCAGAAAGGATATTAAGTGGACACAACTATATCAAATAACATTTGTTGGCACTGAGTGTAACATACCAAAACATAAACAAATGTGAAATTGCATTATGATCAGCTTGTTCCCTAGCATATTAGAAGAGGTTCACATGTTTCAACCATTAATAGCAGAACTGACTTTACTGCCCTGTGCCTAGCCTGACTGGGCAGAAGGAAGTTGGAACTTGGTGAAAGTTACTAGGAGATAAAACACCTGAATTAGGGTGTCTTTTTCTTGTCATTTTCACTGGCAGTTAGGGATGTGAAGTTTAAAAGTTTAAAATTTGGATATAGGACCTTGAGTTCACCTGTAGTGGAGTTAATGGAAAGGGTAAATACTGCCTCAGTGTAGAAACAAAA